>NC_000010.11:125055943-125367423 GCF_000001405.40 Homo sapiens | reverse complement strand
TGCAGTTGTTCCTAGTATTATTTTGTCATCTCTTTTACTTGGTAGTAATGTTCCCTCTTTCATTTCAGAAATTTGATTTTAGTAATGATTTTAGTTAATATGAATCTTCTCTCTTTTTCCTGCTCAGTCTAAAGGTTTGTCAATTTTTTTAGTTTGTTGGTTTTTGTTGATTTTCTCTGTTGCCTTTCTATTCTCTATTTTATTTATTTCCTCCTCTGCTAGCTTTGAAGTTAGTTGCCTTACTTTTTCTAGTTTCTTAAGACAGAAGTTAAGTTTTTCAACTCAGATCTTGCTTTTTAAAACATGGCTATTTAGAACTATAAATTTCCCTCCAATCACTGTTTTCGCTACATCTCATGAGTTTTGGTGTGTTGTGTTTTCATTTTCATTGATTCAAAGGATGTTCTAATTTCCCTTGTGATTTCTGCTTTGATTCATTGGTTATTTAGGAGTGTGTTAATTTCCTCAAATTAGTAATTTTCCCAAATTTCCTTCTGTTACTGATTTCTAATTTCATTCCATTTGGTTGGAGAACATACTTTGTATGATATCAACACTTGTGAGTGAATTTGGATTTGTTTTATGGCTTAACATATGGTCTATCCTGAAGAATGTTCCATTCGCACTTAAAAAGAATATGTATTCTGCTGTTGGGCAGAGTGTGCTATAGATTACTTTTAGGCCTACTTAGTTAATAGCATTGCACATATCTTCTGTTTCCTTGTTTACCTTCTTCCTGGTTGTCTATCTATTATTGAAATTAAGGTATTGAAGTCTACAACTATTATTGCTGAATTGTCTATTTCTGCCTTCAATTCTGTCAGTTTTTGTGTCATGCACTTTAAAACCCTATGTTAGGTGCACATGTGTTTATCATTGTTAAATCTTCTTGATATGTTGACTCTTTAATCACTATAAAATGTCTTCCTTTGTCTCTAGTAAAGATTTTTTTCTTAAAGTCTATTTTGTCTGATATTAGTTTAATCACTCTAGCTCTTTTCTGATTACTGTTTGCCTGGTATATCTTTTCGTATCCCTTCACTTTCAACCTATTTGTGTCTTTGAATCTAAAAGGTACCTCTTGTAGACAGCATATAGTTGAATCATTTTTTACCCATCTGCCAATATTTGTCCTTTAGTTGGAGTGTTTAATCCATTCCATTTAATATAATTACTGATAAGATTTTTGTCTGCCATTTTTCTATTTACTTTATATGTCTTATGCCTTTTTGTATTTCTGTATTCCTCCATTACTGCTTTTTTGTGGTAATTATTTTCTCATATGTTATTTTAATTTTATTATCATTTCTTTTGCCCCTCCTTTTTTTTATTTTTATTTTTTTTTGAGACAGAGTCTTGCTCTGTCACCCAGGCTAGAGTGCAATGGCATGATCTTGGCTCACTGCAACCTCCGTCTTCCAGGTTCAAGCAATTCTCCTGCCTCAGCCTCCCGAGTAGCTGGGATTACAGGCATGCACCACCATGCCCAGCTAATTTCTATTTTTAGTAGAGATAGGGTTTCACCATGTTGGCCAGGCTGGTCTCGAACTTCTGACCTCAGGTGATCTGCCCGCCTCAGCCTCCCAAGGTGCTAGGATTATAGGCATGAGCCACCATGCCTGGCCTTGCCCCCATTTCTTAAAGTTATTTTCTTAGTACTTGCCTTAGGGATTACCATTAACATCCTAAACCAACTTAAGTTAAATATTATCTAAAAACTATGCTCTTATATAGCATTATTTTCTCCTCCCATTCTTTGTGCTGTTATTGGCATACAAATTACATTTTTATACACCTTATGTCAGTTAACACAAATTTATAAGCATGAAGAAAGGAAGAATTACAAACAAAAATACATTAATATTGCCTTTTGTATTTACCTATGTAGTTACCTTTACTGGTGCTCTTTATTTCTTCTTTCTTATCTAATGTTCTTTCATTTCAACCTTAAGGACTCCCTTTAGTATTTTTCCTCAGCCAGATCTGCTAAGAACAAAATCTCCCTATTTTTGTTTATCTGGAAATATTTTGACATCTTCTTCATTTTGAAGGATAATTTTGCTGGATATAATTCTTGTTTGACAGTCTTTTCTTTCAGCATTTTGAATATGTCACTCACTGACTCCTGGCTCCCATAGTTTCTGATAAATCTTGTTGAGAATCCTGTGTATGTGATGAGTAGCCTCTTCCTGGCTGCTTTTAAGATTTCCTCTATGTCTTTGGCTTTTAACAGTTTGGGTATGATATATTTAGGTGTGAATCTCCTTTCAGTTTATTTGATGTTTGTTGAGCTTTTTGAATATATACAGTGATGTTTTTCATCAAATTAGGAAAGTTTGGGGTGATTACTTTTTTAAATATTTTCTTGCCCCATCCTCTCTCTCCTCTCCTTCTGGCATTCACAGTATGCGTATGTTGGTATGCTTCATGGAATCCCACAGATCTCAAGGCTGTTCACTTCTTTGTTGTTGTTGTTTTTTCCTCTCTCTCTTTATCCTTGGACTGGAAAATTATCTTACTGACATGCTCAAATCTGTTGTTAAGCCTCTCTGATAAATTTTTTATTTCAGTAATTGTACTTTTCAATTTGAGATTTTCTATTTGGTCCTTTCTCATAATTTCTATCTCTTTTGATATTCTATTTTTGGTGAAACATCATTCTAATATTTTAATTTTTTATAAATGGTTTCCTTTAGCTATTTGAATATTTTAAATAAGTAAACCAATGTCTGGAGTTCCTTGGGGATAATTTCTATTGACTGGGTTTTCTTTCCCACTGTGTATCAACAATGCTTTCTTGTTTATTTGCAAGTCTTGTGTTTTTTGTTGTTGCTGCTGCTGAAAACTGGATATTTAAAATAATATAATGTGGCAACTCTGGAAATCAAATTATTCCCTCTCTGCAGGGTTTGTTGTTGCTGTGGTTGTTTTCTTGGTGACTTTTCTGAACTACTTCTATAAAGTCTTATTCTTTGTTGTGTGTAGCCATTGAAGTGTTTGTTCAGTTAGCTCAGTTGTCAGCCAGTGATTGGGCAGAAATTTCCTTAAATGCCTATTACCAATAGGTTTCCTAGTCTTTGCTGAGGAGTTTTGTGTGCATGTTGGGGGTATTACTTCAACACTTAGCCAGGCCGTTTAAAAATCAATCTTGGCCTTCACTTCCTGCTTATGCAGAGTCTCAAAATTATCCAAAGTGGAGAGCACAGGGCCTTCTCAGGGCCTTCCTGAGCAGGGGCATAGCCCTTGGGCATGTGCACAGTCCTAAACATGTGCCTGGCCTTCTAGATTCCCAAGACTATATCAAAGCCTTTCAAAGACCCCTGTGGACATTTCATTTCCTAGCTTTTCCTTTTAAGCTTTTAGGTTTGTGTACTGTTTCCCCAAACTGTTATCTACCATCTTGGGAAGCTGTAATGTTAAACAATTGCCTAATTGTTTTAGACAACTGTCCCTGGGGAAAAAAAGCTGTTCACACTGGATGAGCTACCAGTCAGATCAAATAAAGACAGCCTTGTGTGGGGGTCTTCCAGAAACCACTAGACAAGTCAGATAGTGGCAATTCTCTGGAAATGAGGCTTTGAAGGAGCTTCAGCTCTGTTCTTCCCTTTCCAGGGTCTGCCAGGCCACTGGTTTTCACCATGATTGCAGACTATTGGTTTTCAAGGTTACTACTACGGAGCTCAGGAGTGGGCAATAGTAATAAGGCCAATTAGATTGCCATAAAGCTTGCATTTCATACAAAGATACAGTCGTTTTTCTTGAATAAATGCTCCCCAGATTGCTGCAAGCCTTTGGTTAACTTCAGCAAACGTTGACTCTGACCATTTTTGCCGATGATCTCATTGTTTCTATAGAGGAGATGATTTTTGGAGGTCCCTGCTCCACCTTTTTTGCTGATATCACCTCCACCTCAACCATCCTATGGTGCCTTTAAGAGGAAAGTATGATTCATGGTCCAGATATCAACAGTGAGAGCTCTGCTCTTGAGGCTGCAGTAGGCAGGTTGGGATTTATGGAGCAGAAGGAACTTAAAGAGAACCTTGAAAGAGAGAATTTTAAGTAGTCTACCTGACAGAGTAGGGAGGAGGGTACAGCACCTTCCAGAAAGAGGAAATACTGGGGTGTTTATTGTTGTAGTAAATGTTTTTAGTTCAGACAAGAAAGTCACTATAGACTCAATATCAAAAAGTACAAAAGAAAAAATAGATTTCCAATGCGTGCAAGCCTCTGATCCTATCATGGGGCCATGTGACTCATTTAGACCAATCAAATGTGAGTGAAAATAAAGATGGACACCTTCGGGCCCAAGAGGGCTAGGGCATAGCTCTTTATCCACCCACTGAATGAAGGGGATTGTGAGGCCCTGGAGGAGGCATAGCCATGAGCTGGAAGGAGCCTAGGTCCATTATATTGGTACTGGACTTGTCCTGAGCAAAACTTTACTTCTAGTGTGTTAAGCTACTGGGATTTCAGAATTTTTCTTTTACAACTACCGGCATTATCTTAACTAATACAAACATCATTAATCCTGAATTTTTTTTTACATATTCCTTTCTAGTTCTTATCAGCGTGCATTTACTTTTGCATAGCTGTTATCATAGCATACAGACCATTTGTATTCATTTTTTAACATATAGATCTATTAAGATATTTTCCATGTCCACCATTATCTTTATAGTTATCATTTTCAATAACTAGATAATATTTCACTGAACAAATGTAAACATGTCTCCGATTGAACATTTGTTTTTCAATTATTTTTGTCTTTTTGAGAAAAAACAAAACAAAACAAAATAACCAAAGAAATACAGTGTTCTCAATGGGGTAGAAGAACCTATTGTCAAACAACTTTACTATTAGCTGGTTAATATACACAGAGAGCTCAGGAGAATGAGATGGCTTTCCCTCAGCGTCACTTGTGATTGAGACCCACGCTGGAGGACCCTGGAGGACCTTATTCTCTTTCCTCTGCTTCTCACCCCTGGGGTCCTCTCCTCCACCTTCAGCATTTGGTTCCGTCCCATTCCATCCAGGGAGACCCAGAGGATCCCTCCACAATCCCTGTCTCCCACAGACACAAAGACACAATTTCTGATCTTGCCTTGAAGCCTGCCTGGAACAACAATTAAACACCTCCCTCAAATCAGTCGGGAGTGTGGCAGGAGACAGAGAACAGATTTTAATTATGTCATCTGAGGATCGTTTCACAAAGAAATGATCTGTAAGGTGTGAGCACGGAGTAACAAAACCACACAGAATTATGCAGTAACACCGGGGAATGATTTCGGAAATCGGCAAAAGGTTGTCACCCTCAGCCCTCACTCACTTGATCATCCCTTTAAAGCCCACCTCAAGGGTCATCTTCTTGGGGAAGCCTTCCCTGACTCTCTGATCCTCTGTGTCTAGTTCCTTGAGGGCAGACACCGCACCTGCTAAAGACTCTGCATCCCGGCACCCACCAGGTGTCTAGGCATCCTGGGACATAGTAGCTGCCCAATAAGTGTTTGATGAATAAATTCACCAATGATTGAATGGATTAAAAGGATGGAGAAAGTAGCAAGAAAACTAGGAAAACAAGCATAGACTCTTGATGCCGTATTTGTCAGTGTTTGTACTTTTACTGTACAATCAACTGTTAAAGTTGGCCATAATTTGTCACTATCCCTAAAATTAGAAATACAGATTACAGCATCTGTTGGAAAACCAAATTTTTAAACCTTTCAAATGTGTTAAGCATGCAACTACCAGAATAAAAATGTGTATTTAATAACCAAAGAAATACAGTAAGACTTTTCAGGCCATTAAAAGGAACTCCTAACCCAACCTCTCACCAAAAGACAGCCTGGTGAGCAGAATAAGGGTTGAGAGTAGTCGATAAAATTCACTCAGCAGAAGGAGGAAAAAAAAAAAAAGAAAACAGGAAAACAGAAACATCAGCCATGTGCGGTGGCTCACACCTGTAATCCCAGCAATTTGGGAGGCCGAGGTGGAAGGATCACTTGAGGTCAGGAGTTCGAGACCAGCCTGGCCAACATAATGAAACACTGTCTCTACAAAAAATACAAAAATTAGCCAGGTGTGGTGGTGGACACCTGTAATCTCTGCTACTCAGGAGACTGAGGCAGGAGAACTGCTTGAACCTGGAAGGTAGAGGTTGCAGTGAGCCAAGATCACACCACTGCACTCCAGCCTGGGCAACAGAGTGAGACTCCATCTCAAAAAAAAAAAAAAGGAAACATGTCTTTAAAATCCCTGTATACACAAACACATATCATTTATTTATCCTAAAAAGAGGTAGCCCTCTACAGAAGAATTAAATGATTGTATATTTTTAGCAGCTTTGAAAATCTACTTTGCGGACCAACAGACCTTCTGATTTTTATTTGTTTGTAAAATATTTCCTTGTTTGAAACAGCAATTGATTGTCTATTTTGTATTTAATAAAGAGATAAATTAATAAGAATTTTATACTTCAAAGTATTATAAAATGCCTATTAGTCTCATATTGGGCAAGGAAAGGTACAAAAAAAAAATCCATCGAGATATACTACCAACAGATGGAAAGAGGAACAGGCATCAGGATAAAGGAAAGAGACAAAGAGCAATGGACAAAGAGTGTTTTTTTAAAGTGAGTCTAATAATAAATCCCTCAAATGAGCTGCATTTTGGGGTAGGACTTCATCTACTCAACTCACACTTCCCACGTTTGTTAACTATAGGGCACAAGGACTCAATCAAATACAGTCCCCAGGCTAATCAGTGTGACAGGTCATTTAAAAACAACAACAACAAATTTTGGAACAAAAAGACTGGAGTTTTAGGATGGAAGTGCCCTTTTTGCCTGGTATGACCTTGGAGCCCCCGTTTGTCTCTACACCAGGACCATACAGATCTCGTGCTTTTTTGTTTGTTTGTTTGTTTGTTTGTTTGTTTGAGACAGAATTTTGCTCTTGTCGCCCAGGCTGGAGTGCAATGGCACGATTTCAGCTCACTGAAACTTCTGCCTCCCAGGTTCAAGCGATTCTCCTGCCTCAGTCTCCCAAGTAGCTGGGATTACAGGCACACACCACCATGCCAGGCTAATTTTTGTATTTTTAGTAAAGACAGGGTTTTGCCATGTTGGCCAGGCTGGTCTCGAACTCCTGACCTCAGGTGATCCACCCACCTCAGCCTCCCAAAGTGCTAGGATTACAGGCATGAGCCACTGCACCCAGCCTATCTCATGCTCTTATGTAGGTAGAAATGTTTTGGTAAGCTGTAAATCATCAGTGAATGTGTATGCACATAATGTTTTGAAATATTATTCAACACTTTTTCCCTTCTGGTTGGTTCCTGTTTTTTCCCTTTCAATTTAAAAATAGACTTTTGAAAGTCCATGCCTGGGCCATTGTTTGACAGCCAGCCTTGCCTTTGCTTTGTAAGCAGCAAGAGCTTGAGAGAGAAAGGGCTTTGAAATTTCTAAAAACTTGGGTCTCAAAACTAAAACCTGGTGGACTGGGGCGGGAACACAGCGTACGGAAGGATGCGTGCCAGAGCAGGGCAGGCTAGAGAAAGTGAGGAGCGGGGAGCTGGGATTTACCCGCTGGTGGGGGTCCTCTTCTCTCTCCAACCCTCAGGGTGGCATCTGAGATTCTCCTGATGGATTTGGAAACCCAAAATTAGTGAACCCAGAACTGATCCCCAGTGGAACTCTGATAGGAAAGAGCCTTGAAGAGAATTGGAAGAGTGATGCTGAGTGCAGCTGTAGGCAGAAGGGAAGAAGCTGCTTCCTCAGGCCTAAAGAAATCCCCTGTGTGTGTGTGGAAAGCAAAAGGTTGCCAAGGAGCCAGGATGATGATATGGTTGGGCTGTGTCCCCACCCATATCTCATCTTGAATTCCCATGTGTTGTGGGAGGGATCCAGTGGGAGATGATTGAATTATGGGAGTGGGTCTTTCCTGTGCTGTTCATGATGGTGAATTAGTCTCATGAGGTCTTATGGTTTTAAAAATGGGAGTTACCCTGCACAAAGTTTCTCTTTGCCTGCTGTCATCCATGTAAGATATTGGCTTGCTCCTCCTTGCCTTCCACCATGATTGTGAGGCCTTCCCAGTCACGTGGAACTGTAAGTCCAATTAAACCTCTTTCTTTTGTAAATTGCCCAGTCTTGGGTATGTCTTTATCCACAGTGTGAAAATGGACTAATACTGTAAATTGGTACCAGTAGAGTGGGGCACTGCTGAAAAGATACCCGAAAATGTAGAAGTGACTTGGAACTGGGTAACGGGCAGAGGTTGGAACAGTTTGGAGGGCTCAGAAGAAGACAGGAAAATGTGGGAAAGCTTGGAACTTGTTGGGAACTGGTGCAAGGGTGACTTTCTATGTTTCAGCAAAGAGAATGATGGCATTTTGCCCTTGCCCTAGAGATTTGTGGAACTTCGAACTTGAAAGAGATGATTTAGGGTATCTGGCAGAAGAAATGTCTAAGCAGCAAAGCATTCAAGAGGTGACTTGGGTGCTGTTAAAGGTATTCAGTTTTATAAGGGAAGGAGAGCATAAAAGTTCAGAAAATTTCCAGCCTGACAATGCAATAGAAAAGAAAATTTCATTTTCTGAGGAGAAATTCAAGCCAGCTGCAAAAATTTGCATAAGTAACAAGAAGCCAAATGTTAATCCCCAAGACAATGGGGAAAATGTCTCCAGGGCATGTCAGAGACCTTTGTGGCAGCCTCTCCCATCACAAGCCCAGAAGCCCAGGAGGAAGAAATGGTTTCATGGGCTGGGCCCAGGGTCCCTCTGCTGTGTGCAGTCTAGGGACTTGGTGACCTGTGTCCCAGCTGCTCCAGCCGTGACTAAAAGGGACCAATGTACAGCTCAGGCTGTTCCTTCAGAGGGTGGAAGCCCCAAGCCTTGGCAGCTTCCACATGGTATTGAGCCTGCAAGTGCACAGAAGTCAAGAATTGGGGTTTGGGAACCTCCGCCTAGATTTCAGAGGATGTATGAAAACGCCTGGATGCCCAGGCAGAAGCTTGCTGCAGGGGTGGGGCCCCTCATGGAGAACCTCTGCTAGGGCAGTGTGGAGGGAAAATGTGGGGTCAGATCCCCCACACAGAGTCCCTACTGGGGAACTGCCTGGTGGAACTGTGAGAAGAAGGCCACCATCCTTCAAACTCCAGAATGGTAGATCCACTGACAGCTTGCACTGTGCTACTGGAAAAGCCACAGACACTCAATGCCAGTCCGTGAAGGCAGCCAGGAGGGAGGCTGTACCCTGCAAAGCCACAGTGGTGGAGCTGTCCAAGACCCTGGGAACTCACCTCTTGCATCAGCGTGACCTGGATATGAGACATGGAGTCAAAGGAGATCATTTTGGAGCTTTAAGATTTGACTGCCCTACTGGATTTTGTACTTGCATGGGGGCCTGTAGCTCCTTTGTTTTGGCCAATTTCTCCCATTTGAAATGGCTATATTTACCCAATGCCTGTACCTCCATTGTATCTAGGAAGTAACTAAGTTGCTTTTGATTTTACAGGCTCAAAGGCAGAAGAGACTTGCCTTGTCTCAGATGAGGCTTTGAATTGTGGACTTTTGAGTTAATGTTGAAATGAGTTAAGATTTTGGAGGACTGCTGGGAAGTCATGATTGGTTTTGAAATGTGAGGACATGAGATTTGGAAGGGGCTGGGGTGAAATGATATGGTTTGGCTGTGTCCCCACCCAAATCTCATCTTGAATTCACATGTGTTGTGAAAGGGACCTGGTGGGAAGTGATTGAATTATGGGAGCAGGCCCTTCCTTCACTGTTCTCGTGATAGTGAATGGGCATCATGAGATCTGATGGTTTTAAAAACAGGAGTTTCCCTACACAAACTCACCCTTTGCCTGCTGCCATCCAATTAAGACATTGACTTGCTCCTGCTTGCCTCCTACCATGATTGCAAGGCTTCCCCAGCCATATGGAGCTGTAAGTCCAATTAAACCTCTTTCTTTTGCAAATTGCCCAGTCTTGGGTATGTCTTCATCAGCAGCATGAAAATGGACTAATACAGCTGGGTATCACTGGCTGGTGCACACAGCATGGCTGTGGGTGGGCTGTGAGCCAGGCATGGTCCTTCCCAGGACAAACATCCCCAAAAGCTGCTATAGGGCGAGGCCCATTCTCTGCCAAGTCCAGCCAACACAGGCCAAGGTAGACCAGCTGGGGAATCACACCTGGAATCAGCCTGGGTTTACTCAGTTTCCTTGTATTGGCAAGATGGGTGGAATTGGGGGTCTGGAAACAAGTTAACTCCCAGGGTACATAAAGTGACCATCTTTGCACATCCAAGTTTGTGACTGGCAAATGTGCCTGCAATACATGAATGCTATGGGCTTTGCATTCAAAGTGCTTTGGATACTGTCATACCAGGTGTATTACTATTATTAATTGCTTGCTAAAAGGGAGATATAACTTATTTATTCAGTAAATGTTTATTGTCTCGGCACTGAGAAAGGTACTGTAAATATAGGAGGAAACAAAGCAGCAAAGTCCCCGCCCTGGGGGGTTCCCAGCCTGGTCAGGGATGCCTTTCCTGAGAAGGTGACATTAAAGGAAAGAGTCAGGAAGGATAGTTTTGGGAAACAGAAAGTGCCAGGTATCATGGGTGTGGCCCAGGTGTTTGTGCGAGGGCAGCAAGGTGGCTGGCATGGCTGGGCAGAGCAGGGAGGAGGGGAGAGGAGCCAGGCTGTCAGTTAGGGGCAGGGGCCACTGTGGAGTGCCCAGACCATTCTGAATATTGGCTTTGACTCTGCATGGGATACAGGCCATCGAGGGTTTCTAGTAGAGGAAGGACCTGATATGCGATGAACTCAGCAAGTGGACGGGAGAGCCATGGGGACGCCTGCCCAGGTGACGGCCTTTCATGGCAAGAACACACATGAACAGGGGCATGAAGAGCCATGCCTTTCTTGGGAACTCAGTGGGTTTTCTTTTTGATGATCCTGTTTGGTCTCTGAGATTTATTACATTAGGGAAAAACTTAAGAACCGGCATGGCATCACTGCAAGGAAGAAAAGGGGGCCACCATCATTTGTCCATTTTATAGCTCAGGATACACAAAAGAGACAGAAAGATTTGCCCATGGTCATAAAGCAGAACAGCGGGGCAGAGGGCCAGATGCCAGGCCTCATATTTCCAGCCCTGCCACACTTACCTGGCAGGTGCCACCACCAAGGGTGGGCAGGGCCTTCAGAGGGGAGGCCAGGCCCTGGGGGCCGAGGGGCAGGCAGGTGGCAACCTGGAACAGAGTTCTTTAATCTCTCTCTCTCTCTCCTCTCTCTCTCTCTCTCTCTCCCCCACCACGCCCCACCTCTCTGCTCCAGACAGGGAATGAGAACAGCAAACCTCAGGAGAGTGAGAAATAAAGAACAAATGGCAGCGAGGTGCTTTATGGATGACGGCAGGATGCTAAATAACAGTAATGCAGCCGGGAAGGTGCAGCATAAACGATGATGGAAGGAATTCTGTCACCATGACTCAAGTTTTACAAGGCCAGCTGGGAGCCCAAGGCCGTCTGCCTTCCCTGTCCGGGTGATGGAACACCCCTCAGCTCAGCACCCCGGGCCCTGCCTCAGTCTGCAGCTCTGGGGCTGGGCGAGGACGCCTCTCGGAACCACATTAGCGTCACTAACAGCAGCTCACAGCGCATTTACACGGGGCCGGGACGTCTTCCCTGTGAAGGTGGCTTTCTGATTGATCTCACTTCTATCCTGTTCTAATGGAGACGGTCACGGGGGAAATAGATGGCCACAGTCCTGTGACAATCGGCCCCCACTTCTCACCTTCTCTGCCTCTCCCAAGGCTAACAAAGATCACCTGGTTTATGCATCACAGGGAATGCAAGCTGGGGCTGGAGCAGCTTTTTATCTTATTAATTTTTTTGCCTTTGCTTCACTGCCTGCCCTCTTAATTCTTCACTGCCCCCCTGGTTTTACATAGATCCTGGTTCTCCCTGCACGTCTCTACCCTCAGCCAACTAATTTATTGAATGGCTCTTACCTAAGGCCAAATGAAGTTCTCCTTTATTGACACAATTTCTCAAAGTCTGTAACGTGTAGACAACGACTTCACCTCACGTTCTCTTTAATTAATGGAGAGCCACTCACCACCCTGGGTCCACCAGCCACACACCTGTGCACCTCACATGTTAATTTCTTTTTCACCCTGCTGGCTGTATGCTTCGAGGTCTGGCCAAATGATAGAGACACAGAGAATTGCTTCCTTTCCTTTTTTTTTTTTTTTTTTTTTTTTTTTTGAGACAGGTTCTCACTCTGTCGCCCAGGCTAGAGTGCAGTGGCATAATCTTGGCTTGCTGCAACCTCAACCTCCTGGTCTCAAGCAATCCTCCCACCTCAGCCTCCCGAGTAGCTGAGACCACAGGCACACACCACCATGTCCAGCTAATTTTATTTATGTATTTATTTATTTTTGAGATGGAGTCTCGCTCTGTCGCCCAGGCTGGAGTGCAGTGGCGCGATCTCGGCTCACTGCAAGCTCCGCCTCCCGGGTTCACACCGTTCTCCTGCCTCAGCCTCCCGAGTAGCCGGGACTACAGGCGTCCACCACTACACCCGGCTAATTTTTTGTTGTTGTTGTATTTTTAGTAGAGACGGGGTTTCACTGTGTTAGCCAGGATGGTCTCAATCTCCTGACCTCGTGATCCACCCGCCTCAGCCTCCCAAAGTGCTGGGATTACAGGCGTGAGCCACCGCGCCCGGCCTCGTCTAGCTAATTAAAAAAAAAAAAAATGTATAGAGAAGGGGTCTCACTGTGTTGCCCAGGCTGGTCTTGAACTCCTGGGCTCGAGTGATCCTCCGGCTTCGGCCTCCCAAAAGTGCTGAAATTATAGAGGTGAGCTGCTACTTTTATTCAGTTCTTCACTCAGAAACTGCATGTTGAATGAATAAACACCACACAGCTCCTGCCCC
Organism: Homo sapiens; assembly: GCF_000001405.40. Classification (NCBI taxonomy): domain Eukaryota; kingdom Metazoa; phylum Chordata; class Mammalia; order Primates; family Hominidae; genus Homo; species Homo sapiens. The sequence goes on along the minus strand of NC_000010.11, from coordinate 125,354,479 downwards.
CACGAGAGGGTCAATGGGATTTGGACACGGGCTGGGCCATGGATTACGAATCATCCTCTGTTGAGTCACACAACATAAAATAAGGGATCACGTTAATTGTCCAGAATCATTTTTACCTAAAAGATACTTTTATTTGAAATATCCAGGTAGTTGGGTAAAATTGGAGTTTGCTAAATTGTTTTTGGCCAAACCCTCAGCTAGCTCCCTCTGATTTGTCAGCTCTTGTCTCTGCCTGTGAAGCTATAAAAGGGGAACCCAGAACTGCTTCCTGTTGGTTGTGCCCACTTGCCAAGTTCTAGCCTTACAAAACCCTGTCCTCTAAGATGAGACTCTAAATATGTTAGGCAACCTATTTCAATCCTTTTATTTCACTAAAAGTCACTGAAAGAAAGCACAAATCCTGGATTAGTACATAACTTCTGTTTGCTCTTTTACTAACGAAAAGACCGAAAACTCCCAAAACAGAAATTCTCTCTGCTCTACCTTGCCAAATCACTAGCTTAAGAAGAAGGCAGGGCATTCTAATTAGAACTAGACCCAGCACAAGCTAAGATGTGTTTTAAATTATTTGAATAGCTAATATATTCACAAAGATCAACATTTTTTAGCATGAAAAGGTAACCAGGAAAAAGTCTTCTTCCCAGCCATCCCTTCCTCTCTCAATTTCCACCCACCTCCATTTCCACGCACAGGTAACTCTGTTTTGATATTCTTAATGTATTCTTCTGGGCTTCTTTATGTAGATCAAGCAACTATTCATATAGATTCTTTGGTTACCCCCACACATACCTTCACATGTTACATGCACTCTTCTCCTTTGCTTTGTTCTGCATTATTGTGTATCTTACAGATCTTTTCTTATTTAGAGGTCTTCCTCCTTTACACATGGAATTCCATTGTCCTTAATAGAGAGCTTCTTTCTTTTAACATGGTATCCCATTGTATGGATGCCTCATCTGCTGAACTACCCATCTCTCAATGGTCTTGGATTGTCTCTACTCTTGTGATTACCATGCTGAAGTGAATAACCTGGTATATACAGCATTTTGCATGTGGACTAGTAGATCTGTAAGACAAATCTCAGAACTGGAATTCAAGGCCAAAGGGATATACTTTTCTAATTTTGATAGGTGTTGTCAAATAGCCTCCAGAAGGGTTGCTCCAATGTGCACACCCAACAGCAATATATAAACATGCCTGTTTCCCAGAGGCCCGCCAAAATGGTGTTATCAAACATGTTTCTCTTCCAATCGATTAGTTGAAAAATGAAGTCTGTTTTTATTTGCATTTCTCATATTGTGAATGAGGTTAGCCTCATTTTTTCATATGTTTAAGAGCAATTTGTATTTCTTTTTCTGTAAACTATCTGTTCATAAGCTTTATCTGTTTTCCTATCTTTTTTTGTTTTTTTCTTATCTGTTCCTAGAAGCTCTTAACATAAGGTGCTATGGTTTGAATGTATCCTCCCAAGTTCATGTGTTAGAAGTCTAATCCCTAATGTAACAGTGTTGAGGGGGTGACTTTTAAGAGGTAATTAGGTCATGAGGGGGCTCTGCCCTCATAAATGGATTAATGCCATTATCGTGGGAGTGAGTTCATTATCTCAAGAGTGAATTTGTTATAAAAGCAAGCTCAGCCATCTCTTACCCTCTCCTGCACATTCTCTTGCTACATGATGATTTCTGCCATGTTATGACACAGCAAGAAGGCCCTCATCAGATGCAGCTCCTTGATCCTGGACTTCCCAACCTTGAGAACTGTGAGCCAAATACATTTCTGTTATAAAGTACACAGTCTTTGGTATTCCATTAAAGGGATTAAGACCGAAGTTTAGTCCTCTTACTATGATTAAATTACAGTTTACCTGTCCTGTTTTCATTTGTCTTTTGATTTTGCTTTTCATGTTTTTTTTTTTTTTGCTTTTTTGTGTGTGTGATGTGGTTGTGGTTGTTTCACCAAACAGAAGGCTTTTATAATTGTGTAGTCAAATTATCCATTTTTTATGGGTTCTTGCTTTTGTGTCATAGTCAGAAAGGCCTTCTCTATTCCAAGATTAAAAAGGAACTCTCCCATTTATCTTCTAATATATTAATGGTTTTCTATTTTACATATACATCTTTGATTCATTTAGAATTTGTCCTAATGTACAGTGTAAAGTTTAGATTATTTACTTTTCCAGATGGCTATCCTTTTATCTCATCAGATGACAAGCATTTTTGTCATGTAACCCAGAAAAGAAAAGAAGCCATTACTATCACAGGCTTTCTTTTTCATCCTTAGATACACATTGACTTAAGGATCTGTTCTTGAAGCATCCTTCTTATTGCTTCCCTAATCTCTGCTATATGTTCAAACACCAGGAATTCCTTGCCATTACATTTGCTAGTCCATCTTCCCAAACACCCAACCTGCTTGTCTTTTGTCATTTTAATTAAGCTTTTTATTGAAATGTGACATCCATAAAGAAAGGCACACCATTCATAAGTAGCCTTATGAAGTTTTAAAAACCGAGGACCTCCAGATAATCATCCCTAGCTCAAGATCTAGAACATTGCAGCATCCAAGAAGGCCTCTCAGACTCTCTCCCAGTCTCTGTTCCCACTCACAATTTCTATCAGCAGATTAGTTCACTCGTTGTTAAGATTTATATCAATTAAAGATATATGTACTCTTTTGCATGTGACTCCTTTCTTTTGTGTTGTGCTTGTGAGATTCATCCGTGTTGTTCCACATTGAGTCCTTCATTTGTTTTTGTTGCTGTATAGTGTTCCATTGTGTGAATGTAACACAATGCATTGCTTCATTTTAATGCTGCTATTTGGATTGTTTCTAGTTTGGGACTATTACATGTACTGAAGCTATCAACATCCTTGGCAGGTCTTTAGATGCATCTCTGTGAGCTTTTCTATTGGGTATAGAGCTAGAAGTGGAATCGCTGGGTCTTAGGGGATTGCACATGGTTAGCTCCGACCTCTGCTGCTATTTGGTCTCTGTTTTTGTGCTCAGTTTAACAAAAATTTAGTCAGTTAAATCCACTGGTATTTGTTTGGTCCCTCCTGTATTCAGACACCTTACATAAACTATCTTACTAAATACCATGGCCCTGAGGTGTCAGAGCTGTTATTGCCCCTAGTTTATAGCCAAAGAACCTGAGCAGCATCACACTCTCTCAGTTGAGAAGTTTCACCGGTGAATCTGTAAAATGCTGAAGCTATCATATTTAATAAAGCTACTTATCTTCTCAACAATTTGAGTTTCACTCTGTTTTTTTTAAAACAGGCTTTAAAACAGGAATGGACTTTATTTATGGATACAAGAAGAAATTGCTAAGCACTAAAAGAGTGAGTGATGTGACTGATTCAAGTCAACATATATTATTCTTAAGTTGTCGTTTAAATTATGATGGGTTTTTATGTCTACAGAAGCTGGAATAAGAAATATCAAATACATCAGATGTAATGAGAGTCCATTTATTGATTCGTTTACTCATTAGTATTTCTCAACAAATATTCCTGAGCCCCTACTCAGGACTAGAATGTCAGGGCTGGAGCACAGTTCAGGTAAAGTGATAAAGTAAGATGGGCAAATATTACAAATGTCCTAGATGTTGAAAGCTAAGACGCTACAGCTTCCACTGAAACCAAAGCAAAAAACTCCAAAGCATTCTGACAAGTAGCATCAAGGACCATGTACAATAAAGAGCTATTAGAACAAAAGAGGGAGTTGGGAAGGCTTCTCAGAGATAAGATATTTGGGCTGGGTTTTGAAGGATAAATAGGAGTTCTCTAGACAGAGGAGCAGAGGAAAGAACTCATGAAAAAAAAACACAAATGCATAGTCAAGAAATGATATTTTATGTGTGGTACAGGGTAAATGAAGAGAGGAAGTGAAAAATTAGGGGAAGCAAGTGACAGATGTCAATCATTTCAGAGAGAGCCCTGAATGCCGAGGATTTTGATTTTATTCAGTGTGTACTTGTGAGCAGAGTAATGACCCAGGTAGATAGGCAGCAATTCTGAAAAATGTAGAAAGCATAGAATTGACATTTTTCAAAATAATAAGATACTATTTGGGACACTGAAGGATCCTCATTGGAATTCCTAGTTTTCAGCTTCATGCCTGGGGAGAAACCTGCTTTAGAACAGAAAGGTTCAAAACTGGAGGCCATGGAAGTTCTCATTCAATTAGATAAGGACAGGTTAGTTGATCAAAATGGTCAACTAAGCAGGAAATCAGAAAAAAAACATAAACACCTTAAACTTTCTTATTAAATTAAAACAAATAAATGTATATGTATTTGACAGTAATCTAATATGGGTATAAGGCCTCTTCTTTGATACTCGAGGGCATTTCAGGTGTATTTTTTACATGGATCACACCATAATATATTGGCATTCATTCCTTGTTGCAGGTACTTCATATGGAGCAAGAACTAAAGATATTTATGAGTAATCTCTGAATAATCTTCTAGATTCTTATAAATTTTCAATTTTCAATTTTTGTGACATTTTGCAAGTTTTCAATGACTCATCTATATTGAGTCTTTTCAGTAACATTCAACTCGTATTGTATAGACACAATTCTTTGTCTTTGTCCACTTGTATCTTATTAGCTCATGCAATATTTAATTAATTACCTGACTATAATAACAAGTGAAGATGACATGAACAGGTTTGGGAACTAGCACAACAGGCTCTGGGCAATGGCTGGGAAAAATACACAGATGTTCTAGACAAGTGGTTCTCAGTACATGATCTCTAGACCAGCAGCATTAGCATCACCTAACAACTTATTAGAAATGCAAATTCTCCAGCCTGCTCCAGACTGATTGAATCAGAACGCCTGGAAGCAGAGACCAGCAATTTGTGTTCTAACAAGCCCTACAGGTGATTCTGAGGCTCCCTAATGTTTGAGAACACAAAGAGCAACCTACTTATCCCAAGCTTTCTATGCAGGCATCATTCTGTTTCCTTGATGGAGGGAATGGAGGGCAGCAGTTCATCTGATCACAGCTTAAGAGGGCTTCTCGGCTGGGTGCGGTGGCTCGCACCTGTAATCCCAGCACTTTGGGAGGCCGAGGCAGGCGGATCACGAGGTCAGGAGTTCAAGATCAGCCTGGCCAGCATGGTGAAACCCTGTCTGTACTAAAAATACAAAAATTAGCCAGGTGTGGTGGCTGTGGTGGCAGGTGCCTGTAATCCCAGTTACTCGGGAGGCTGAGGCAGGAGAATCACTTTAAACTGGGAGATGGAGGTTGCACTGAGCCAAGATCGTGCCACTGCACTCTAATCTGGGCAACAAGAGTGAAACTCTGTCTCAAAAAAAAGAAAAAGATGGCTTCTCATACATACCTCTAGGGATGTATGTAGACATCCTCTTCTACCTAAATTGAATCAGTCTGTAGCAAATTCCTCTAATGCCCAACATCACATTCCCTGGACTGCCTCTGATTTCAGCCACAACTGGAGTGGGCAGTTCTGTGTGAGCTACAACTCCCATTGCACAGGCTGTCCATCTTTTCACCTTCTGTCTCCTGTCCTTCAATCAGGGGACAAGGGACAATGCTGGAACCCTTCCTTACACTTCTCAGGAGGTCCCAACTGAAGCAAGCCCCTTGCCACACTATGTGAAGATCATACTCCCTTTGCTCCTCCCCTCATTCTCGTTACTCCCTCACACCTGATTCCTAGGATTCTTCCCAAATAAACTACCTGCATCCAAATCCTTGCCTCAGGCTCTGCTTCCAGGGAAACCGACACTAAGACACACTCATCTTTCCTTAATCAAATGCCTTTGGTACATTTTCATCTCAGCATGTGTATTTTATCTCATTTCATATGAGTGATTGATACTGTATTTCACTGTATATCACATCTATAGCAACTTATTTAGCTAGTCATCTACTGGTAGATGGAGTGTTTCAAATTACAATGTGATGAAAATTGTTATACAAAAGTCTGTACTCTTATGCATATGTGTCTATAGGGAAATTTTCAAAAGTAAAATTGCTGTGTCCAAGGGTATAAACATTTAAAAATTGTATTAGTGCTGCCAGATTTCTCCCCAGAAAAGCTGTGCCAATTTGAACTCACACCTAAAATGTGTGATACTGCCTGTTACACTATATCTTTCCCACTACTTAGTGTTTGTGATGGCTAATTTTATGTGTCAACTCAACAGGGCTAAGGAATGCCCAGATAGCTGGTAAAACACTATTTCTGGGTGCATCTGTGAGGGTGTTTCCAGAAGAGATTAGCATGTGAATCAGTGGACTGAATAAAGAAGAACCCCTCTCACCAATATGCGAGGGCATCACCCAACTCATTGAGGGCCTGAATAGAATGAAAAGGCAGAGAAAGGGTAAATTTTCTATCTCTACTACAGCTGGGACATCCATCTTCTCCTGCCCTTAGACATCCGTGTTCCTGGTTCTCAGGCCTTCAGGTTCAGACCATTGGCTCCCCGAGTTCTCAGCCTTTAAGGCTTGGGCTGATACAACACCACCAGCTTTCCTGGGCCTCCAGCTTGCAGACAGCAAACCATGGGACTTCTCAGTCTGTGAACCAATCCCTCATTATAAATCACTTTCTATATATTTATATTGTTTTATATATATATATATATATATATATATATATATATCCCATTGGTTCTGTTTTTCTTGAGAATACTGACTAATATGGTGTTATCAATCTTTTTTAATCGCATAAGTTAAAATTGGTATCACATGGTTGTTTTATTTTATATTACTGTAATGATGAGTTTGAGCGTGAAAATTATTTATCTGGGTCTCCTCAGTGTGTTGCAAAGAATTTGATACTTTTAAGTTTTGGACTTGCATATCTTTTTAAGGTTTAATTATAGGTATTGTGTAGTATCATTTTACTATTATAAATGATCTTCCTAATATTACAGTTTTTAGCTGTTTATTGCTGGTGTATAGAAATGCCACTGGCATTCATCTATTTATTCCATATCCAGCCACCTTGCTAAAGGCTCCTTTAAGTCTAACAGTTTATAGCTTATTTGGGGTTTCCTTTATCCTTAGTAATTTTATCTGCAAATGATGACAATCATATACTTCTTCCTTTCAGATTGCAATGTCTTTGATTTATTTTTCATGTCTTTTTTATTTTTTGACTAGGACCTCCAGGACAATGTTGAATATCAGTGGTGTTAGTGGACATTTTTGTCTTATTTCTACAAATCAATATGATAAAAGCAAACAACCTAGATGAAAGATGAAAAAGACATAAGCCTATAAGTTCACAGAGGAGGAAAAAGACATAGCCTGTACATATAAAAAGAGATGTTCAATTTTGCTAGTACTAAAGAAATGCAAATCAAGACCACAATGAAATGCTTTTTTTTTTTTTTTTTTTTTTTTTTTGAGACAGGGTCTCACTCTGTCACCCAGGGTGGAGTGCAGTGGTGCAATCTCAGCTCACTGCAACCTCTGCCTTCCATGCTCAAGCGATTCTCCTGCCTCAGCCTCCCAAGTAGCTGGGATTCCAGGCCCCCACCACCACACCTAGCTAATTTTTGTATTTTTTGTAGAGATGGGGTTTTGCCATGTTGGCCAGGCTGGTCTCAAACTCCTGACCTCAAGTGATCCACCCACCTCGGACTCCCAAAGTCCTGGGATTACAGGCGTGAGCCATCGTGCCCAGCTGAAATGCTATTTTATGTCCAATCAACCAGCATAAAAAGCCTGACATACTAACTCATGGACAGGAGGTGTGGACCAGTGTAATACCTCAGACCTTGCTAGGACCTAGGAAATGAAGGGGAGCGTGCTGGAAATGTAAGCCAGTGTCATTGTTCCAGGGCTTGGGTTGGAGGGTGGGCATGATGCCCACTGCAGTCATCAATAAACATACAAATAAGTAAACAAAAGAGGGGATAAAGGAACCAATGCTGAGTGTGTGTCATAAACCAAGACTTAAAATGAACCCTATCCTGGGTATCAAAAGTCCAGAAAAAATAAAAAGGAAAAAGAAGCATAAAAAAGAAGGTAAAATTCATTTATAATTCCATTAGTGAGAGACATTTTCTGAACACTCAGTCTATCTTATGCATATATGTAGATAGATGATATTGATAGATGAGAAATAAAGACACAAGCAATACAACTACAACAAAGTTGGGACCATACTGTATACACCACTTTATATATTTATAGGTTTCTTCTATTTCTTTTTTTTTTTTTTTTGAGATGGAGTCTCACTCTATCACCCAGGCTGGAGTTCAGTGGCATGATCTCAGCTCACTGCAGCCTCCGCCTCCTGGGTTCAAGCAATTCTTCCTGCCTCAGCCTCCCAAGTAGCTGGGATTACAGGTGCCCACCACCACACCCAGCTAATTTTTGTTTTCACTAGAGACAGGGTTTCACCATGTTGGCCAGGCTGGTCTCGAACTCCTGACCTCAGGTGATCCAACCACCTCGGCCTCCCAAAGTGCTAGGTGTGAGGCACTGTGCCCGGCTTTTCTATTTATTTAAGGAGCTTAAAAAATTTTTTGTTGTATTTTGTGACTTAATCTAATGCTTTTCTGCTCATAAATGTTTTGAGAGAGGAAACGTGGTTTTATCTGGATGCTGTGGTGCACGTCTGTAGTTCTAGCTACTTGGGAGGCTGAGGTGGGAGGATCACTTGAGGCCAGGAGTTGGAGGCCGCAGTGGGCTATGCACTCTGATCTGGCCTGTGACTAGCTGCTGCACTACAGCCTGGGCAATATAGTAAGATTCTGTCTCTAAAAACAAACAAACAAAAAAATTAATTAATTAATTTCCTAAAAAGAAAAATAGTTTTAGTAAATGATAAAGCAGCTAAATTATCAGTGGACAATTGAGAAAATAGTGCTACTGACAGAGAGTAAAAAAATGAAAAATCTAATAGGGGAGTTCATTTGGGGTAAAGATGTTATGTATAGCTTTAGAGATTTCGAGTTGAAAGTGAACGCTCAGGTTGGGTATTTGGTTGAAAATTGAAGCTAGAAGTTTGGCTATGAAAATACAGAGATAGAAATTTTGGAGTCATCAGAGTGAGGATGATAGCTGAAGCCAGAAATATGACATTAGTGATGTCTAAAGAATAAGAAGGACTTGAAAATATGGTTTGTGTTAAAGGAGCAATATTACAAAGAGATAAATGAGCAGAGACTTCGTGAAAATCCACTATTCAGGAGAGAAGAGAGAGAGAAGGAAAAGAAACAAAGTCTCCAGAGAAGAAGAGATCAGAGAGAGAGAGAGAAAGAGAGCAGGGTGGTAAGTGTGGGGAAAGAAGGCAAGAGTTTGAAGGTGGTAGGGTCTAACGCAGCGCCAAAAATGGAGGAGGATAAGAAAGCGCTGCTGGCGGAGTGTCTGGAATGGAAACCGGGTTGGAACGAGCGAAGGGCAGTGAAAGAAATGGAAATAAGCCAGGAGTGTCCCAGAAGGCTGCAGCTCTGTGCCGTGCACCAGCTATAGGCCAATCAGTTCATCCTCCCCGCTCTTTGGGGTGGGTATTACCATCCCTGCCCCAGGGGAAGGCTTGGGGAGGTTGAGGCCATGCCCTTTGCAGGTAAGTGGGCTGGGATTCTGACGATGCCCTTTCTGCTCTGCCGTGCCGCCCCCACTCCTCCGGCTTTGAGAACCACGAGGCAGGAACTTCCTATTTGCCCAAGGCTGAGTGCACACCTGCACTAGTAAATGCTTAACCACTGTTTGCCGGGTGAGTGGAAGAATGAAGACCTTTTAAGAAAAGTTCTCAGAGGCTCCTCGTTGCACCCTGGGGACCGGTGTGTCTTTCCCCAGCACACATTAGCATACTGTCAACGCCTGAACACCACGCTTCTCTGCCTCATTGCTTAGGAAATAAATACATGTATCTTGCTGTGCAGAGAGTAAACCACTAGTGGCCAGATTTTTTTAAACATTTTAAATAAGTTCCAAGGGACTTTAGGACAGCAGGATGAAAGCCCTTTAATTTGAACTTTAGCATCTTCATATCTGTTATTTTCTCCAATATATGGTACGGAAATACTGAGTGAATATGTATTTGCCGATGTCCCTGAAATGATTTGAACATGAAAAGCCTCAAGAAATCAGATTTGCTGTTTTCCACAAGTAATAGAGAAAATGTGATATCTGGAGCCTCGATTACACCAGAGAATTGTGTTTCTTTTCTTCTTCTTCTTTTTTTTTTTAAATCTGTTTACTGATGAGGAGGAAAAAAGAGCAATAATGGGAAAAAAAATCTGCTTTCTGCCTAACACATGATTCAGCTGACAGCACAAAGAATCAGATAATTCTACAGGAAATTGACAAGCTAGATAGTGATTGGGATGTAGCTGTAGTGTTCTTCTCTAAGTACCCGCGATATTACTGTCTGATGCTTAACATTCACAAACCATTAGACCCAACATGTATATTTATGGTTTGATAATCAGCTGTCATTAACAGATGAATAAACAACATAATGTTCATGTTTAGAAGGAATGTACAAATGGAAGAAATACTGCCAACAACCCAAGAACATTTACCTTGATTCCCTCCACGAAAAATAAAGAGGAACAAATCTCTGTAATTTTAATAGTTAAATCATATCTGCTATTCTGTCTTATCTTGGCTGCCAGAGCTTCAGACAGATTTCTCTTTTTCACATAAAATTTACCATGTCAACCCGGCTTATCTGTTAGGAGAAGTTGCATTAAATTTACTAGATTAGAGATCATCATTCTGTGGCCCTGTCTCCATAGTCAGCCCACAATAGAGTTGATGTAAACAAACACGTTCAGCAATGTCTTTCAGGCTGATAAAATTATTCAGTACTTTTAGTTGTTCTACTTATTAGCTTAGGCAAGTCACTTAACCTCTTTGTAGCTCGAAGTTTTTCACTGCGATACAAAAATAATGCTATCTACTCTAACTACCTCATTGGTTATAATAATGGACCCAGAAGAAGTGTGTCAAGTAAAACTCTAAACATGAGAGTATTTTGTGGAAGACAATGTGACTATAGCATCTTAATTCCAGTGCGATGGGAAATTTACGTACAAATACATCTGCTTTGGGTTTAGTGGCTGGGGGGTCTCCTATGCTACAGGCCTTTTAAAACTCAACAATACTGGCATCCACATTCATAGCAGCATTACCCACGATAGCCAGAAGGTGGAAGCACCTCAAGCTTCCCTCCACGGATAAGTGGATGAACAAAATGTGGTTTATTCACACAATGGAATATTATTCAGCCTTTAAAAGGAAGGACGTTCTGACCCATGCTGTGACATATATGAACCTTAGGACCATATGCTCTCCAAAAAGCCAGCCACAAAAAGGCAAATTCCGTATGGTTTCACTTACATGAGGTACTTCAAGTTGTAAATTCCTACAGATAGAAAGTAGAATGATGGTTGCCAGGGGCTGAGGGGAGCAGCGAGCAGGGAGTTGTTATTTAATAGGCATAGAGCTGAAGTTTTGTAAAATAAAAAGAGCTCTGGAGATTGGTTGCACACAGTGGGAATGCACTTAATGCTACTAAACTATACGCTTAAAATGATTAACGTGATAAAGTTTATGGTGTATTTTACAATAAAAAATTAAGGTTTGCTGGATGTGGTGGCTCACAACTGTAATCCCAACACTTTGGGAGGCCAGGGCAGGAGGATCACCTCAACCCAGGAGTTTGAGACTGGCCTGGGCAAGGTGGTGAGACTCCCATCTCCACAAAAAAACTTTTTAAAATTAGCCAACTGGAGGCATGGACCTGTAGTTCCGGCTACTCAGGAGGCTGAAGTGGGAGGAGCTCTTGAGCCAAAGAGACTGAAGCTGCAATGAGCCATGATCACGCCACTGCACTCCTGCCTGGGTGACAGAGCACAACCTTATCTCAAAAAAAATTTTTTTTTAATTAAAAAAGAGTAATGAATCAATTTAAAAGAAAACCTCGACATTATCCCCCCAGGTCAAGATTGCAGACTGCTTCCTAGCATTTGTCTCCTTTCTCCTGAGACTCCATTAAAATAAGAGTAAAGGAAAAGGAATTTTTTAAATGTAGGAGCCCACACCAAAGAAAATAAAACAAAGGAAACCATCAGAGAATACATGATTTGAACCAATTTCCAGATGATGTAAAGGTGATCGGGGAGTCCTGGCTGCTGAAACAGAGCAAAGACAGGTGGATCCTAGACAGGAGTTGTGCACAGAAGAGGTCAGTCTGCCCAGAAGTGTCCCCAGAGTCTGCAGACTTGAAAACTGCAGATCTCCAGTGGGCAGCAGTGAGAAGTTGGGCATTTGTTAAAAGCCTCTATTCTGAATGGTCCAGCCCATACACACTCACACATCCCATTCTCTGCAGGCCCATCTGTGGTCAGCCAGACATCATTACCTAGGAGGAAAACCTAGAGTTCTTCTCTGAACAAATCTATGTAAAACTCTAGGGTGAACCAAGGCAGCTAGTGAGAGCGCTCTTGGCCCAGAACAGAGGCCTCCTCACTTGGTGCATGGGACCAACCCATCCTGGAAGTTGGCCCTCGGTCCCCTGCACCCCAGTGAATGCTGAGCCTTCAGGTCAACAAGCCCTAAATGTGCCTCAGGCCCCAAGTAGGCATTTGCATTTTCTTATCTTTAAATATACCAGACGTGAGAGGAGAATCCGGACTACGAAAGAGAAAGATAAATAAACAACAACATCAGCAAAAATGACTCTGCAAGAAACAGAGACAACTGAAGAAATAGACAAGGAGTTTTTTAAAACACCCTCTAATATCCTCCAAGAGATTTGAGATTATAGTGTTTCTTTAGAATAAGAAAAAGATATAATTTTTAAAAAAGAACAAGAATTACAGATACGTAACCAAAATAGAGCTGAAATAATATAATAAATGAAATAAAAATGGAATAAAAAGACAAGGGATAGAAGATGATGCCAAGAAAATCTTGTGAAATAAAGAGAAAAAAGGGCAGAGAAATAGGATGTTCAAGAGAAAAGTTAATAAATAGAAAAGGTTGATCCAGGAGATCCAATATTCATTTTAAAATGTTCTAGAAAGAGAGACTAGAAAAAGCAGAAAGGATGAAGACCAAAGAAATAATGAGGGAAAAAATTCCTAGAGCAAAAAGGAGAAGCGAGACTTCAAATTAAAAGCATGATAGTGAAAAAGACCACAGCTAGACATACCAAGTGGATATTCTCCATAGACTAACCCAAAAGAATTTCCCTTTTTTCCTGCTAGCAGTTCTCCACATTTGCAGCTTAGGTAGCAGGCAGAGATCCTATGACATCAGGAATGGCACGCCCCTCTCAGCCCCAGGGAATCAACTATAACTGATCTTAACCAATCCTAATAAATTCCATTCTCTTCTACCAATGAGTGTCTAGGAGTCAACATGTAGCCAGGTTCTGGCCAAAGAAATGTTCAAGAGATGTGTAATAAGGAGCTGTTCTTTCACAACAAAACTCCAAGCCTCATAAAGAGAAGTGATATTCTCTGCAATGGTGCAAGGAATGATGTCGGAGCCATCTTTCAACCACGAGGCAACAAGCCAAGGATAACAAGATTCTGTTCCTTCCACATCCTTCATAAGGCGGGACAGACAGAAAGGGCCTGAGCCCTTGATGAAACCACTGAAGTGGTGCGTCTAATCTGGGACCACCTACTTCTTACAAATATTGCTTAAGCCATTGTTAATTGAGTATTTTTGGTGGTTTTTTTTCTTAATGCTAAAAAGGTATTCCTAACTGATATAACATATATTTATAAAATTTCATAGCAGCAAGAATTCATAAAACAAAAAAACAAAAACAAAAAAATCCTAATGGCTTCCAGAGAGAAAGAAATTACCTAGAAGGAAACTGAATCGGCATCAGACTTATCAATAACCAAATGGATACTAGAGGTCAGCAAAGCAAGATCTTCAGAATCTTGCAGGTTTATCATTTTGAACCCAGTGCATTGAGCAGGGTCTTGGCTGGAAACAGCACACTCCAAAGGGATAATTGGAGAGTTTGATGAACTTATTCGTTTTCACAAATACGAGATGAAGAGAATGTATTTCTAATACATCTTTTTGAGAAAGTTACTCAAGGATGTAATATTTTTAAAATTTCAATAGGTTTTGGGGTAACAGGTAGTGTTTGGTTACATAAATAAGTTCTTTTTTAAAATTGTTTTTATTTCCATAGGTTTTTGGGGAACAGGTTGTATTTGGTTACATGAGTAAGTTCTTTAGTGGCGATAGCTGAGATTTTGATGAACCCATCACCTAAGCAGTATACACTGAATCCAATTTGTCATGTTTTATCTCTCACCCCCTCCCACCCTTCCCTCCAAGTCCCCAGAGACCATTGTATCATTCTTATGCCTTTGCATCCTCATAGCTTAGCTCCTACTTATAAGTGAGAACATATGATGTTTGGTTTTTCATTCCTGAGTTACCTCACTTAGAATGACAGTCTCCAATTCCATTCAGGTTGCTGCAAATACCTTAATTCATTCCTTTTTATGGCTGAGTGTTCATATATATATATATATATATATATATATATATATATATATATATCACAGTTTCTTCATCCACTTGATTGATGGGCATTTGGGCTGTTTCTATATTTTTGTAATTGCAAATTGTGCTGCTATAAAAATGGGTGTGCAAGTATCTTTTTCATATAATGACTTCTTTTCCTCTGGGTAGATACCCAGTAGTGGGATTGCTGGATCAAATGGTAGATCTACTTTTAGTTCTTTAAGGAATCTCCACACTGTTCTCCACAGTGGTTGTACAAGTTTACATTACCACCAGCAGTGTAGAAGTGTTCTCTTTTCACTGCATCCAGGCCAATATCTATTTTTTTTTATTATGGCCATTCTTGCATGAGTAAAATGGTGTCTAATTGTGGTTTTGATTTGCATTTCCCTCACCATGAGTGATGTTGAGCATTTTTACATTTTTTTTTTTGGCCATTTGTATATCTTCTTTTGAGAATTGTGTATTCATGTCTTTAGCTCACTTTTTGATGAGATTGTTTGGTTTTTTTTCTTACTGATTTATTTGAGTTCCTTGTAGATTCTGCAAATTACTCCTTTGTTGGATGTATAGATTGTGAAGATTTTCTCCCACTCTGTGGGTTGTCTGTTTACTCTCATGATTATTTCTTTTGCTGTGCAGAAGCTTTTTAGTTTAATTAGGTCTCTTCTATTTATCTTTGTTCCAAAAAGCTCCTAGAACTGGTAAATTATTTCAGCAAAGTTGCAGGATACAAAATTAATGTACACAAATCAGTAGCTCTGCTACACACCAACAGTGACCAAGCTGAGAATCAAAACAAGAACTCAACCCCTTTTACAATAGCTGCAAAAAAAATAAAATACTTAGAAATACACTTAAGGAAGAAGGTGAAAGGCCTCTACATGCAAAATTACAAAATACTATTGTAAGAAATCATAGATGACACAAACAAGTGGCAACACATCTCATGCTCATGGATGGGTAGAATCAATACTGTGAAGATGACCATACTGTCAAAGGCAATCTACTGTGAAAATGACCATACTGTCAAAGGCAATCTACATATTCAATGCAATTCCCATCAAAATACCACCAGCATTCTTCACAGAACTAGAAAAAACAATCCTAAAATTCATATGGAACCAAAAAAGAGCCCGTATAGCCAAAGCAAGACTAAGCAAAAAGAACAAATCTGGAGGCATTACGCTACCCAACTTCAAACTATACTATAAGGCCTTAGTCACCAAAACATCATGGTACTGGTATAAAAATGGACATATAAACCAATGGAACACAATAGATAACCCAGAAATAAAGCCAGATACAGTTAACTGATCTTCGACGAAGCAAACAAAAACATAAAGTGGGGAAAGGAAACCCTATTCAACAAACGGTGCTAGGATAAATGGCTAGTCACATGTAGAAGAATGAAACTGGATCTTCATCTCTCACCTTATACAAAAATCACCTCAAGATGGATCAAAGACTGAAATCTAAGGCCTGAAACCAGAAAAATTCTAGAAGATAACATTGGAAAAACCCTCCTAGATATTGGCTTAGGCGAAGACTTCATGACCAAGAACTCAAAAGCAAACGCATCAAGGATGTAATTTCAGCCACACAAAAAGTGTTAAAACCAAAAAGGAGAAAGGAGTGGGAAAGTGAGAAATGGGCAATAATGGAACTAATCACAAAATCCCAGAACAATGTTATACAGCAAGATTAGAAAACAGCCAGTCCATGGCCAGGCGCAGTGGCTCACGCCTGTAATCCCAGCACTTTGGGAGGCTGAGGTGGGCAGATCATGAGATCTGGAGTTCGAGACCATCCTGGCCAACATGGTGAAACCCCGTCTCTACTAAAAATACAAAAAATGAGCCAGGCATGGTGGCGCGCACCTGTCATCCCAGCTACTTGGAAGGCTGATGCAGAAGAATCGCTAGAACCTGGGAGGCAGAGGTTGAACCGAGATCTCGCCACTGCACTCCAGCCTGGATGACAGAGTGAGACTCCACCTCAATTTAAAAAAAAAGAAGAAGAAGAAGAAAAGAAAAGAAAGCCTTGTGGCTCCCATAGCACAGGTGACCAGCACAGAAGTTGATGAAGCCAGTTCTGCCGGGTCCCAAGCTCTGGCTGGAGGCCCCGTGTCCTCTGACATGTGTTGGCTGGAAAGGGAAAGTAAGGGCAGCAGAGGATCCAGAGCACGGGATGCCTACACTATGGCACCACATTTCCCAGGCATCTTCAAAAAGAAGGAAAGGAAAAGCAAATCCCTTGCAGTGGCGGACTCCTGCCCGTAGGGCAATTCCCCAGCTAGGAACACTGCTCCCAGGGCACAGCACTAAAGCTTCTAGTTCAATGAGACCCTTAGAAGACACTTGTTCATTTGGGGACAAGGAAATTTAAAAAAAAAAAATAAATAAACTTTTAATTGTAGCACAGTTTTAGATTTACAGAACAATTGTGAAGAAAATGCATATTTTCCATACACCCCACACCCAGTGTCCTCTATTATCAACAGCTGAATACACCAATGTTGATACACAATTAACTAAATAATAATTCATTCATTGTTACATGATAACTAAATTAGAATACAGGTAACTGAAGAGTGATAAACAATTGTTAAGATTTCTGCAGCTTCCCCCTAATGTCGTTTTTTGGTCCTAGGAGCCCATCCAGGACACCACATTTGGTCGTTACATCTCCTTCGATGAGATGTCACCATCTCTCTTGGTTGTGACAGTTTCTTAGGCTTTCCTTGTTTCTGATAACCTTGAGGATTTTGAGGAGCACTGTCAGGGATGTTGTAGGATGCCCCTGCATTGACATTTGCCTGGTGTTCTTCTCCTGACTAGACTGGAGTTACGTGTTTTGGAGAGGTAAAGTGCCCCTCGCATCGCGTCATTCAAGGGCGCATGCTCTCCATATCACTTTTCACTATTGCTGTTAACCTTGATCACCTGGCTGGGGTAGTGTTTGCCAGGTTGCAACTTTTTTTTTGAAGAGAACCCAGAGTGGTGGGGGCAGGAAACACAAAGTCCCCCAGTCAGTCATTGGGCGTGATAGTAAATAGAGCCATGACTGCTTCTACTCGTCAGTTCCTGGAACCATGCATTCTTCCTACTGGAGAGACAGGACCAGCCATCTACAGGTCTCCGAATGTGCATACTCTGTCCTGAAGTCCGGCACCCATCCTTCCAGAGGGTTCCCCTTGAGCTGGCACTACAGTTGTGCCTCTAGAAGGCTGTCCCAGCATTCACTGAGGCTGGCTGCTCCTGGATGGTGCAGTATGTAATATAAGCCACCGGCTCACTCCCACACCCCACTCCCTAAGAGGCAGGTCCCTTGGTCAAATGCTATGGTGGGTGGGATTTCAGGCCTGTGGACCAGGTCTTCTATAAGCCATCAAACAACAGTGCTGGCTGAGGCTCTGTGGACAATAAAGGCAGCCCATACCTGGAATAATGTCTCCCTTTGAGGATGAACCATTGGCTATTCCAGAACGCCAGGGCCCAAAGAAGCTGACTTGCCTCCAAGTGTCTGGTCTCTTCTAGAAGTAGTGCCATACCAGAGGTTCCATGTGGGTCTCTGTGGCTGCAGGCTGGACATTCAGAGGAAGCAATAGCTAGAATGATCTTGTTAAGTCGAGTCCGTGCTGTTGAGCTCATGCATAGCCTCCACTTCTGCCACCATGGTCCCTCTATTCACGCACCTATACTGTTGCTTCTGGGTGGCCAATGATGAAGTGTGGTTAATGTCAACTAGCCAAGTCATTTGTCTACCTTGTTTTCCAGTTCTTTATCTACAATACATGTTTCCGGTGGGCATTAATATGCGATTCAAAAATCTTCAGCACTCTGCCCGCTCACACTTGTCCACACCAGCCTTCCTTGTCTCTTATTTTTCTGTCTTTTTTCTTCCAGTCCCAACGAGTTGCCAAGGTCATTGACCAGTGTGTAGAAATCCATGTATCTATTCTCACTTGTGCCATTTCTCCTTCCACATACAGCAGATGACACTATCCACCACAAAAATGGTCCTTGGTCTGGCACCCACGCAGCAATTAAAAAGAGGAGTCAAGATGAGAGGAGTTGTCTCAGGATTGGTGGGCTGTGGGAATCTGCTTGGGATTTTTCCCAGGAAGGGGAGTCAGATTTTTCTAATGGCCCCTTTAGGGATCAATACAAGACACATTTGCACCAAAGCCAACTGAATCTCTTTTCTTACAGCTGCCCTTGGGCCTACTGTACTCATAATACAAAAGGATGTGTTAAGAGTAGGCACAATAATGAATGTAACCCACCAACATGACCTACACCATACCATGCGTTACATACTGATTGTCACTACCATTCATTGAGGCTCTTCTATGAGCCAGGCTACAGGACAAGTACTGTGTCCTGTACATTCCCTGTGTTATTACACTTAATCCTAATGGCAACCCTATGAGGTTGGCAGTTTTACTATTATTTTCATTTCACAGGTGAGAAAATGGAAGCTCCAAGAAGTGAAGTAACTTTAACACCCAAGTCAGTCCAACTCCATGCTCAAGCATTCAGCTCCTCAGGCCTCCAATAGAGTCTTTTGAGAACAACTATGCTGCTTAGTAACACAGTATGTATGTAGCTATAGTATTAACATACTGATATACATTTAAATTGGTATAATGGACTGAGTATTTGATAAGAAAGAGAAATAAAAATGCCCCTGTCTGTGCCTCTCATTGGCTGGACCCAGTGGGAAAACGTTGGGGGCATGATGTTGGAGGATGGACCCAATGGGAAGATGCTATCCATATGGGCCACAAGGGGCATGAGCATCTCTGAAGCAGGGTGGAGAAGGATGGAGAATAGACGCATAGCAGGTTATCATCACATAGGCCTGTCCATCCCCCCAACTAAAATGTAAGCTACAAGAGTGCAGAGCTGTAGGGACCTTCATCTGTGTTGTTCTCTGATGTATCCCAAACACCTAGAAATGTGTCTGGTAATGAGCAGATGAATAGTAAACATCTGTTAAATAAATGGAGGATTTATTGCCTGACCCAGTTGACCAACCAACATCACCTGGACCAGAAGTCAGCAAACTACTGCCCTCTGTCCACTCGTTCATGTATTGTCTGTGGCCACTTTCACACAATAACAGCAGATTTGAGTAGGTGCTACTGACATTGGCCCGCAAAGCTGAAAATATTTGCTATCTGGCCCTTTCCAGAAGAAGATTGCCAACTCTTGCTGTAGAGAGACAGTGCAGTCCTCCAGAGCTCCAGTAGCAGGCCTGGGAGCCAGGGAGTTGGAAGGAGCCAGCCATCAGGAGCTAGCAAACCTCAAGATTTAAGCATTTCATGGGAGGGAAACCATTCCTGAGCCCAGAATTCTGTTTAGTGGATTACCTCTGCACAAACCCCAAATGACCCTAAAAGAAGGATGTCTTCTTATCCAGAAGAAATTCCCTCACCCAGACACCTCATCCATAGATGAGAATAACAATGCCATCAGCAGATAGAAGCTTCATCTGAGGAGCACAGAGGTTTCTTGCCTCATTCGTCTTGGTGACTTACGTGGTAAAGAGGATGAAGAGAACCCAGGATGGTTCTAC
Organism: Homo sapiens; assembly: GCF_000001405.40. Lineage (NCBI taxonomy): Eukaryota > Metazoa > Chordata > Mammalia > Primates > Hominidae > Homo > Homo sapiens. The sequence goes on along the minus strand of NC_000010.11, from coordinate 125,334,393 downwards.
CCAAAGAGCCTCCATTTTCCAGGCTTCCTGGGGTTATGCAGAGTGGAGAGGTGGCAGTCCTCTTCCCCTGCATGCCCTCTGCACACCAGAACCCTCTCCTTCTAGAGCCCTTCAGGTTTTAAACTCAACCCTCACCTTCTCCCCCACCCACCCCCACGGTTTCTGCCTCTGTTTTAAACCTGAACCACAAACTTCAGCTTATGTACTTACCTTTTGGATGTGACAAGCTGGGGGCATGGGGTTCAGGGCAGCTTAAATTTCCTAAAGGTTACTATTGTGGCAGGGTGAGGTGGGAGGACCTTCTTATGGCTCTAGGCCACCAAAGCCCATTGGGCAGGGGCTGCTCCCACACTGCTCCTCTCTCTGCCAGTCTTTAATCAGTCTTCCTCTTGGTCTCCCTCCAAGAAAGGCCACTACAATCATCACTTTCCCATCTTTCTGTCTGTCAGCACTTACTGCAACAGACAACCAACTAGACAACCCCCACAGTGCCAGAAATACCTTTGCATGGACCTCATTATCAAAAATAGAATGCAATCAAGACCAGCGGAGGTTACAGTAAAGTCACCAAAAATTACCCAAATGTCCCTCTGAGCTAGCTCATAGGTTTTAAAAGTGTGTGGTGGGTGGAATGAGCCTTCTATGTTCCTAATTTTGGCTCCTCCAAATGAAATATTAATAATACTACTACTATTGCATTTGACAACATGAAGAAGCTTCCAGTGATCAGGAAGTTATTGAAACCCTTGGGGAGTGTAAGCTCCAATACCACAAGGCAACCCACTTCACAAAGCCCACCAGAAAACCATAGGCATTCATCAGACTAAAACTGCATGTACTCAGAGACATATTCTTTGCACCTACGAAATGTCATATTTCTATCCATTGACCTCGTGGATACCCACAGTAAGTCATTTGCATCTGAGATCATCCAGCCAGAAAGAGTAACTGAGTCCTGATTCACAGGACAACGTTTTGCTGACATTCACTTTATTCACTTTCCCCAGTGATTCTTCCTTTGAGTCAGTGAGTTATCCTCAAGGGTTTCAGTAACTCCCTGATCAACTTTTGTGCCCGGGGACTCACATCTACATTACCACATAAATTGTGGTTCTGAAAACCTGCCATGAATACAGATGTCTTTGTCTGTTCAGCTTATTACTGGAAGCTTCTTCATATTGCCAAATGCAACAGTAGTAATAATATTAATATTTCACTTGGAGGAGCCAAATCTGGGAACATAAAAGACTCGTTCCACCCACCACATATTTTCAGAACATAGGAGCTAGCCTAGAGGGACATTTGAGTCATTTTTGGTGACTTTACTGTAACCTCCACCGGTCTTGATTGCATTCTATTTTTGATAATAAGGTTCACGCAAAGGTATTTCTGGCAGTGTGGGGGTTGTCTAGTTGGTTGTCTGTTGTAGTAAGTGCTGACAAACAGTTGGAATGAAAACTTAAATACTTATATAATCTGCAGAAAAATGGACTCACATCTGTGGGTAAAATAAGCAGATAAAATGGTGCTCAAATTAGATTTGATTTTCCCCCCTAGAATTGGCAATGTGTAAATGAGGCTGGCAAGTGACGGCAGGCATCAGATGACACTGAATAAGAATGGCAAAACTGCAATGCCAGCTTGGTTCCAGGCAGCTACGGTCAGGTGATTTGCCCATCCATAAAGAAGCACATGGAAAAGATTGCAAGAGTTGGGATGCTGAGATGGCAGAACTGTGATTTGAGGAATGCCAGCAAATCAGTGTTCAATCAGCATAGATGTTTGTCTGAAGTCCAATAGAACTGCAAGTCCAACTTTTAATTCACTTACGCCAATTACCCCCACCATCCCCCATAGGCACAAGATTGCTTTACTCAAACGTATCTCTCATAGAAGAAAATGATCGGTCTTATTTGTTCCATTTCACCAGTTACTGAGGAAATGGATAAGACATTTCTGGTGCCATTTTGAAAAAATGAATCCAATGTAGGTCACATTGGAATGAAAACAAAGATGCCCTTCTGAAGCTACCATTGTGGGGGTAATAATGTGTAATAATATTACAGTAGTAATATTATTAATATTTCACTTGGAGCTCCTGTTGGGGGGAATAAAAGCATAACGCAAAAGCAGGGAATAAATATCTGCAATTATGCATTAGCTAATGCATGTAGCTGTCCTTGCCCAGGCTTGGAGTTATGGGTTTGCATTTTCTTTTCTAAAACAGTTTTTTAACACTGACATCTTGGCCTTGAAGACAAATGTTTCTTCACTTGCTTAGAATAAGAAATGGGTTGTGCTGGCTTAGAAACACAGAATGCAGTGAGGTTTTCTGGCTTTTTGTTTTTTTAAGAAAAAAAATTCAGAATATATAACCTACCAATAGGATCTGAAGGGAGAGGGTCTGGTCTAAACCTTCTTGCCAGGCCATCTCAATGGCCTTCTTATGTACACGTGGAAAAATAAGAGAATTGAAAAGAAGTCTGTTTAGGTTTCCAACTGTTCAGAAAACAAAGCATGGTTTCCTCTTCAGTTTTCTATTTTGTAAATATTTCGGTACAATAACGTAGCCCCACATTTTAATTTGACTGACTCACCATGGGAGGGCAAATCGAATAGCTAAAAGGAAGTCTTTAGGTATGATGGCACTGGAAAATATTCAGAACTCAAGATGGGGGTGGGTAGCATCTGGGGAAGAGGAGCTGTGGGGTGAACAGGAAGTTTGCTGACTGCGGACTTGAGCATCATGCCTCATAGGCCTTGAATAAGCAGAGGCAGGGGTCCCTGGTGCTCAAGCTTCTCACTGAAAAAGAAATGGGATTGTTTGCCTGCAGTGGTTACTGAGGGAAGACCCACCCTGACCGAGTAGGTGCTGCTGAAGGCATCCATCAGGTGCTCTGCCCACCTGCCCAAGCAATTTTGAAGGGAGACCAATAGAAAACCAAGAGCTGAATGCCTGAGAAACATCTCCCCCGCTAAAGCCATTTCTGGGGCAGCCCCTCCACACTGCTGATACCTGTGTCCAGATGGCCACTTTGACCTTGGCTGCAGTCGCTCAGGTCCTCTTCTGTCCATGCCTGGCCTGGCCTTGGCTGGAACACTATGGAGGGGCAGGAGGGGGTGGCCATCTGGTGTGGGAGGCGTTGGCTGTAGGTCCTCTCGGGAGACAGGTGGTTCAGCGGCAGGAAGGACTTACCAGGCTGAAACTAATCAGAAGATGGGCTGGCTGCTGGTGTGTGCTGGAAGCTCACAGAAATGTTACAGAGCAAGGCAGACGGTGGAGGGTGGAGAGGCCGGCAATGAGGAACTGGGTCACCCTCATCATTCCTCCCTTGGGGTGGCCCTGAGTGAAGTCCCTGGGCCACAGGTCTAACCAGCAAAGGAAAAGCCAGCACCCCAAGGTAAGAAGAGAGGCCCAGGGGCCATGAGGAGGGGAAGGCCCTAAGACTGGAGGCCTTTACCCCTGGACCACTGCCCCAAGCTTGTGTGTCCCAAGCCTTTGATGGCCACCCCAGTGGCTCCTTCTGGAAGGTGGCTGTGGCTTGGTCTGATCCAAAGGGACTCCTGGAGCTCTGGATGCCATGAAGAGGGAGCAGTGGCATGAAGGTCTCCATCCCTGGTCCATTGGATCTGCCTCCACCAGCCTGGTGTCATCCAGAGCTAGAGGCATCACCAAAGAACTCTAGGAGGCCACCCTCTGGCATGGAAAACACATGGACCAGAGCAGCCCCAGCCATGGCATTCACTCACTCTTGACCTTGGTGAAGCCATTGAGCTCTGCAGGCCACATTTGTTCACCTAGCAAGTAAAGAAAATGAACCTGGTAGATAGACTGTCTCTAGATTCCTCTCAGGGAATGGTGACTTGAAGCCAGAAGATTGTGAGTTTGAGTCCTAGCTCTCCAACTTCCATGTTATATGATCTTGGGGAATTTACCTTCATCACCTGAACCTTCATTCTCTCATTGGAAACATGAAATAATAATGCTTCATTTAATCTGAAGTTAAGTGAAATAAAGTGCTCAGGGGGGTAGGTGGTACAGGATAGGTGACTCCTTTTTCCCAGTTGTCCTTCTTCCTGAGGTCCCTTCAGTTTAAAAATTCTGCAATTCCATGGATGCCAGGGAAAACCCAGCTTAATCTATAACATCTTTAGAATCCTACCCCATCAGGGCTGACTTCCTTTGCACAGGTTGGGGATTCTGTAAGAAGGTACAGGTGCCATGTGATCTCCTGGACTGGATGCCCCTGAGCAAGTCACCTGTCCTTCTGGCTTTGGTTTCTACATCCACAAAACAATGAACAGGGCCCTGGGCTAATGCCATCCCCAGAAACTCTGTGTCCTTCTTGGCTCTGGATTTCTGCTTCAGTGGAGTCCTGCTCTCATGGAGATTCATGCTCAGCGGATGTGGAAGGGTGCAGGTCTTCAGGTGGGTGACCTTTGACCATGGGAGTGCATCAGGACCACCACAGAAGCTTTGGCAAAGAAAGTTGCATCCAGCCCAACCTGGGGCAGCATTCCGGAGCTCCGCTGTGGAGTCTGAGAGTCTGCTTTTCCAAAATCTGGGGTTTAATGGAAATAAAGAAGCCAAAGTCTAGGGAGCAAAGAGCACCAAAGGAAAATTTAGAAAACAGTAAAGAATTTGCTCAGAAAAAGGAAGGGCTTATCTGAGACTTTCTTCCCATGTTAATTTTGCAAAGAAGTCCAGATGAATAATTCCTTCTTTCATTAATTCAACATCAATTTTTGACCTCCTAGTAGAGTATATGTCACACTGCATACTGGGGTTCAGAGTCCTGAAATGAAACAACATCTTAGAGATGGAATCTTCCAGAGTCATGACTCTCCAGATAAGGAGAATAAGCCCAGGAAAGGACGTGACTTGGCCAACATCCCACAGCCAGAGGCTTGAGAGGACTCGAATCCAGACCCCAGCTCCCTCCCCCAACCTGGCAGCCCAGCAGCGACCACAGGCACGTTTTGTTTCATCTGTCAGTGTTTTTCTGCTGATTTCAAGGAAAAATCCATCTTGTGTTACTAAAATCACAAGATCTGGCCACCAGTACACTGGGCCTGTTTCCCACGGGCAAGGATCTGCAAGTCACGTTTCCCTTGTCTGGGAGCTGAGGGCCTCAGTTGGCCACAGGCCCACCCTCCACTGAGCTCATTTATTTGGGACACCTGCCTGGGCCCCGAAGGCAGTGAGTTTGCAATCCCTGACCAAGGGAAGAGAGGCTGGAAGGATGAGAATGCCATGGAACCTTCTCCCAGTTCCACAAATGAGGAGGGCTAGTGAGTCCACTGAGCCTTCAATGAATTCTTCATGGCGAAATTCAGTTAGACATTTAAGTATAAAAGAACAGTCATGTAAATCTAAAAATTAAAAAGCGTAATTTATATATTCATATTGACATTTATTGTCCATGGGATTTTCAGTGAGCCTGAAACCATGTGCCCCAGAATATGGGGATTCTTTCCTGGGGGACCTTGATATCCCCATTGGGCTCTAAAGGTTTGAAAGGGCTTTACTCACCTGTTTTCCTGGTGCCATGCAGGCGACCACAGAGATGAGCTGGGCTACAGGTTCTGCCTGTTTCCCATCGCCTTTGCTGGCTGGGATCAATTGTCCCCTCCACCAGATTCTAACCCAACTTCTCACCCTCACCCTCCAGCACTTGGACTGCACTCACTAGAAATTCAGAGAGGAATTTACCTCCACACTCTGCATGAGGGAAGGGAGTTCAACCAGCAAATTAACTGTGTTTGCAAAGCAGAAGGTAAATGTTTAACCTACAGAGAAGATCATTCCATTTGAAAACCCCTAGTCATCCTTTTCTGCAGACAACCCATCTACCAATTATAGAGAATTAAGTTAAAATAGGTCCAGCCTGAACGTCTGCCGATCCTCCCTTCCTGAGAATGGGGAAACCTGGTTGTGCAAGGAACTTCGAACATGGTTCTCAACACAGGCATTTCACCAACTGTGTTAGTCTGTTCTTACGCAGCTACTAAAGACATACCAGAGACTGGTTATTTATAAAGGGATTTATGGGGGAAGAGATTTAATGGACTTACAGTTTCACATGGCTGGGGAGGCCTCACTATCATGGCAGAAGATGAAGGAAGAGCAAAGAGACATCTTACATGGCGGCAGGCAAGAGGGCTTGTGCAGGGGATCTCTCATTTTTAGAACCATCAGAACTCATGAGACTTATTTACTACCATGACAACAGTATGGGGGAAACCGCCCTCATGATTCAATTTTCTCCACCTGAACCTGCCCTTGACACGCAGAGATTATTACAATGCAAGGTGAGATTTGGGTGGGGACACAGCCAAAACATATCATCAACTCAGGTGAGCTTTCCCCAAATTTACTTTGAATGAGTCAGGCTTTAGAGAATATCTACAGATCAGGAGCAATGGATCAAGTCTCCAATGGCGGTGGAGAGATCTACATAGACACCCTTTTCACTTGATTCTTCCAAAAGATTGGGGGAAGAGGATGAAAGGGGGAGAACACAAAACTGAAAGGTCGAAGTGAGCAGAGCAATTGTGCCTGAGCTGTTGTCCTCTCCGTTCTGCCCTCTCATAGTGTTTTGTGGGGGTTTTTTGTTGTTGTTTTTTGTAGAGACAGGGTCTCACTGTGTTGCCCAGGCTGGTCTCAAACTCCTGGGCTCAAACATCCTCCTGCCTCCGCCTCCCAAAGTATTGGGATTACAGGTGTGATCCATGGTGCCCAGCCTTGCCCTGTCATGGTTGCTGGTCAAAACTCCCTTCATCTCTACACTCAGCACAAGTGTCCTCCCTCCACAGATTCCTCCAGTCCCCCCAGTTCCAGTACAATAACCTCCAGCTCTTTCTGCCACCCAGATCTCCCACGGTGCTTGGCTCCCACCTCTGCTATTTCAGCTGTCCACAGCAGGCTGCGTCTGTCAGTGGTCAGTTCCTTGGAGGTGCAGGATCCACATCCTACTCATTTTGTGTCTCCCCTGACCCTGTATAAATCCCAGAGCACCTAGGACAGTGCTGAGCCCAAAGTAAATGCTCAGTAAATGTTTGCTGAAGTAGAGAAAATGACAAGAGTTCAGAATTATAAGGAAAGATGTGGGACATCTATAGGATAATGTATTGAAGAAAGTTTGGATACAAAATATTGCAGGGTCAGGTATTCTGGTGAAAAGAACGTCACTTGGGAGCTGTGATCATTCATCTTAACTGCTCAGTGTGGGTCACTGAGTATCTACTCTGTGCCAGGCACCATGAGTGTTTCCATTATCTATCATAGCTGAGCAAAAAAAATCCCAAAACATAGCAGCTGAAAACAAGGTCCCAGGACTAGGGTGAAGCAAGTGGGGGCCCTAGAGCAGTTTAAGGCAGCGCTCACTCCCAGGGTCAGCCCTGAGAGTGAGCACCTCATTGCATTTTTTGCCCCAGGGGCCTCTCCTGCCTCACCCTAGTTTTCACCATGCTTAAAACGACAATTAATTTAATGTAACTCATGGTTCTGTGAAATAAAAGGGCTCAGCTGGGTGATTCTTCTGCTAATCTCACTTGCAATCTCTCTTGTAGTTGCAGTTGATTGGCACCCAGGCCTGGAGTCATCTGGGGGTTCTACGGAAATGCCAGGACAGCTGGGCCTCTCTCCCTCTCCATGTGGTCTCAGAGCCTCTCTATGTGATATTGCCATGTGGTTTCTCCAGAAAGATAGTCTCACAAGGCAGTGCAGGATCCCAACAATACGTGTTCCAAGAGGGGGAAGCCAAAGCCCTCTTCAAGGCCAAGCCTGGGACTGGCACAACTTTGTTTCCGCAGCATCTTCTTGGTCAATTCAGTCTTAGGACCAGCCCAGATTTGATGAGTAGGAAAATAAGCATCACCTCTCAATAGAGGAAGTGTTAAAGAATGTGTAGCCATCTTTGATCCACCATCATGAATTAAGACAGAGAATAAGCCATTTCCCAATCCGAAGAGGAATTGCAGAAATAGAAAAGTTGAATGAACTGGGCTGGGATCTAAGCTCGCTACTTTCTCTGAGTCTCAGTTTTGTCATTTACAAACTGGAGGTACTAATTTATTGAATGTCCGCTACATGCCAAGCACTATGATAGGTACCGGAAATACAATAATGAACATGACCCTGCTCCTAGGGAAATTACATTATAATGAGAGAAGTAGATTGTTTAAAAGGGAACCACATGGATAAATTATATGCTGCAGTAAGTTCTATGAAGAAAAGAAGAGTGTGCTGAAAGAAAGAAGACCAGGTCTGGGAGGAGAGAAGCAGACTCCTCCAGGACCAGGATAGATCAAGAAAGGTCTATCTCCAAGGTGGCATTAAGCCAAGACCTGACTGCGAAGGAGGGCTTCATCCTGAAGGGAGCTGAGCACTAGGGGAGACAGGGCGTAAGTGGGGCGGGAGGGATGTTGTAATTATTTGAATGGGAAGTGAAGAGAAGGCTTTGTGGAGGGAACACGTTTGCTCGTTGGCTTACCACTAACCCTGAAAAGTTAAGTAAAAGAAAACTCTATACAAGCAATTTGCAAACACATTATGAGCACAGAATGCCAAGCAGCAACAGCTCTAGAAGTGAATAGGATTTGCTGTTGACTAATTTTATTGAAGGCTTGAATGAGAGCAGAAATCATCCCCCTGGTGTTTTTAACAGTAATAAAGCTGCTGCTTTCTCCCAAAGCCCTAATCTCTCGAGAATGTTTGTTCCCCATGTCAGCACTGCAGGCACGGGGATGGTTAGGGTAACACCTCAAAACCATCACTCCTTTACCTCCATGGAACCCCCCTTTCTCATGAGGCTTTTATCATCCAGTCATATCATGTCTATCTCATCTCCACACTGACATCTTCCCATCTCCCAATCGCTTCCACATATTCATCAAGAGCTGACAGCTAGATCCTGTGATCCCATCTTTCTCTCCACTGCAGACCTTCCCAGCACACTGCATGGTTTAACTGTCAGCATGCATGCTCATCTAACTCAAGCCTCCTAGCTCCTTCACTGCCACCCACTCCCATGGCTCATCCTGGGCCTCATCATCACACAGAACTGCTCCACTGTGGAAATACATCAAGGCACCACTCTCCAGAGGTAGTCGCCTTACCTCCTCCTGTCCTTCTCACTTCCTCATCCCACCACACAGGCTGTGCCACATTTCAAGATCCTTACAGCCTGGTGAGTTTTCCCTGGGAGTCTTTCTAGCTTCCCTTCCATCCTTCATGATTCTAAACATCATGTTCTTCCGAGCCCTGCCTTCATAATGTCCTCATCCTTATCCTTACACCACATTTGCTGATGAATCACTTCTAAATAAACCCTGCAGTACACCAATCCTAACTCCCCATTCTCTCCTAAACCCACTGCAGTCAGGTTTTCACCCCCATCACTCCATTAAAACTGCTCTCGGCCGGACATGGTGGCTCATGCCTGTAATCGCAGCACTTTGGGAGGCCAAGGCTGGCAGATCACTTGAGGTTAGGAGTTCAAGACCAGCCTGGCCAACATGGTGAGACCCTGTCTCTACTAAAAATATACAAATTAGCTGGGCGTGGTGGCTGGTGCCTGTAATCCCAGCTACTCGGGAAGCTGAGGCAGAAGAATCTCTTGGACCCAGGTGGCGGAGATTGCAGTGAGCTGAGATTGTGCCACTGCACTCCAACCTAGGCAACAGAATGAAATCTGTCTCAAAAACAAAAACAAAAACAAAACAAAACAAAAAACTGCTCTCATCAAGATTACCAAAGACCTCCATGCTGCTAAATCAGTTCCCGGATCACATCATAATTCACCTATTGGCAGCATTTCCTTCTCCTTGATACATTTTCTTCACATTCTCTCTGGGTTTCTTTCATTTTTTTCTTTGATAAAATTTTTTTCTTTTTAATTTTTGAAAAAAATTTTGTAGAGACAGGATCTCACTGTGTTGCCCAGGCTGGTCTCAAACTCCTGGCCTCAAGAGATCCTCCTACCTTAGCCTCCCAAAGTGCTTACAGGTGTGAGCCACTGCATCCAGCCTCTCCCTCCATGCTAATTGCTGCTTCTTGGACTTTTGCTGGTTTTTCTTCTTCGCCCAACTTAATTTTGAAGTGCCCCAGTGGTCAGTCGTTGGTCTTCAACTCTGTGTCCACACTCACTATCTCAATAATCTCACTCAGCCTCATGACCTTAAATGAAATGTATATGCTGACAATTCCAAAAATATGCATGTCTCTAGCCTATATGTATCCCCTAAACTCAATACTTAAATATCCAATAGCCTACTCAGCAAACCTCTCAAACTCAACATGTCCACAACTGAACTTCTGATTTTTTTCCCCAAAAAACATTTGTACCACACCCAGTCTTCTCCAACTCAATTGGTACTAACTCTATCTTTACAAATTTCCAGGTCAAATTTCTTGGAGTAAAATTGCATTTCTCTCAAACCCCACATTCTAACTTCAAAATATGTCAAATTCTGATCATTTCTGAGTAACTCCATTCAAACAGACTCTTATGCAGAGACAAAATATAAAAATATGACTACCTAAAGGCACTGGAAAGCAACCCAGAGAAGGCCCATTCTGGAGAGGAGTGAACACTTGGGAGAAGGGAATGATAGTCGATGAGTTTCTCCATCTTTTGTGAATGTTATCCAGGTGAAGGCTCAAATATATACTATGTTGAGCAGTTAAAAGTCCAATAGAAAACGCTTGGCCTTTCTGATTTAAAGGATCAGAGGAGAGAATTCAAGGCAGTCATATCTGATAAGAAATGAGGGGAGAAATGTTGGAAAAGAGAGAACTACAAAAGTGAAGCCCCAAATGCTGGGTATAAACACAACCCAAATCCCTGGCTGACACTACACCATGCATGAGAAGGACAGATTCCAAGAGGCCCAGCTAAGGCTGAAAGGCTGAACTGATATTTGAGTTGCCCCCTACCACAGGGAAAACAGAGTTTGTTCTTTGTCTCCAGCCAAGTTAAGTGCCTGTTTAAACAAAAAAAGAAAGAAAGAAAATCACCCTTCAAAGGAATATAACAAAACCCAGTGTCTTCACAAGATAACATTCTCAATGTCAAGATACAATCCAGCTGAGAGTGGTGGCTCACGCCTGTAATCCTAGCACTTTGGGAGGCTGAAGTGGGTGGATCACCTGAGGTCAGGAGTTCGAGACCAGCCTGGCCAACATGGTGAAACGCTGTCTCTACTAAAAATACAAAAATTAGCCAGATGTGGTGGTGTGCACCTGTAATCCCAGCTACTTGGGAGGCTAAGGCAGGAGAATCGCTTGAACCCGGGAGGCAGATGTTGCAGTGAGCCGAGATCGTGCCACTGCACTCCAGCCTGTGCAACAGAGCCAGACTCTGTCTTAATTAAAAAAAAAAATACAATCCAAGATTACTCAACAAACAAAACAGTCAGAAAAATACAACCTATTTTCAAGAGAAAAGAAAATTTTTTAAAGACTACCTCCTCTGTATTTCAAAAGGTTCATAAACATTTTGTAAGATATTAAAAATATACATGTCCAGAATCTAATGCCATCTGACCACCTCCACCATCGTCGCCCTGTTTAAAGTCACCATCATCTATTGCTAGGAACACTGCCCCAGCCTCCAAACAGATCTCCCTGTTTCCACCTTTGCCCCCCATAGTCTACTTCCAACATAGAACCCAGAGAAATACTCTCACAAAATAAGTCAGATCATATCAGCCCTCTGCTCAAAACTCTCTAATGGCTATCATCTCACTCATTGTCAGCTGAAGCCCCTACAATGGCAAATACAGCCCTAGGTGAGCTATCCCCCTCTACCTCTTTAACCTTTTCTCTTCTGTTTCTTTCCCTCACTCCCTCTGTGCCGGCCACATCAGCCTTCTTGCTGTTCCTCAAACACCCAAGCCATGCTCCCACCTTAGACTTTAGTATTCCCTTTGCCTGGACACTCTTCCCCCAGACACCGGCTTGGTTAGCTCTCTCTCCTGCTCCAAGTCTTTGCTCAAATTTCACTTTCCCTGACCCCAGCCCCCACTGAACACTACAACCTGCTTCCACGCCACCTCCAAACCTCTTCAGCTGCTCTAATTTTCCTTTTTTCCATATGACCTATCCCCTTCTGACATATGATGTAATTTCGCTCATGGTTATGTTGTGTCTTCCCAGCTAGATTATAAGCTCCAAGGATAAGAATCATTGTCTGTTTTGTTCACCAATTTGTCCCAAGTGCCTAGTCCTGTGCCTGGTTCAGAGCAGACACTCAATAACTGGGGAAATTAATTAATACATAAAATATTGCTAAAGAAAAATCATACAATTGTGAGGACTGATGCCATCTAAATCAATGTCATGCTAAGCACATGCTCCTGTCTCTCCTCCCTTACAAGGTCCCATTGAAATGACAAAAAAATGAGATATTTTTAAAGAAAAACAAAGAAACAAAAAACAAAACCAGTCCTGGAAACAAGAAATAGAGTCTGCAGCTGACCAGATAATTAGAGGAAACTCTAGAGGATCAGCTACAGATGAGACTGGATTGATGATTAAACAAAGCAGGTAGTCAACAAACACGTATCCAGCATCTTCTATGATTATATACTGTCCTAAGTGCTGGGGTATGGCTGTCAGTGAATGTTCAACTCTCAAAGAGTATGGGGAATGTGGGAAAAAATAAGCGAGGAAAAAGTAAATATTGTTTTATGTGCATAACTCTATAAAGAAAATAATACCTGATAATCTGACAGAGTACTTAAGTGGTTGAATCCTAGTAATAATAGGAAAAGGCGTAGGAAATGACATTCATAAGGTAGACAAGGGCCAGATCATATTTGCAACCCTGCAAGTTGAAATAGGAAGCCAGTGGATGGATAAAAGCAGAGAAGTGACATTGTTAGATATAGAGTTTTAAAAGATCTCTCCAGTTTCTGAGTATAGGATGAATTACAGGGGAAGAAGACAAGAGTAGAAGTAGGGAGATGGTTTAGGAGACAATGACAGTAATCCAGGCAGATGAAGACCATAGTGGGGCAAAGGAAAAGCAGTGAAGATGCAAGAAATGGTTTGAGTTGTGAATATGTGTGCAGCTACTGCCAAAAGGAATTGCTAATACATTGGATGCAAGGTGTGAGGGAAAGAGAGGAATTTATGGTGAACACTAAGTTTTTGGCCTGATCAACCAATGGATGGTGATACCATTTACCGAAATGCAAAAGACATGGGTAGGCTCAAACACACATGCCAGCTGGTTTGCCAAAGTTGTGTAGGGGGCTTTCCCCAAAAAGCATATCCAGATTCTAATACTTGGGGTTTATAAACTAGCAGTTTTCTCTCTGTAAGAAATATTGGCATAAAATAGGCTACGTTAGAATCTGCAGTTAGTAAGAAAGGAAAATTACAGTTTAATCTCCTTCATGAACATAGGCACAAAAGGCCTAAACAAATATAAGCAAATAAAATTCAATGATAGATAACAAGGATAAGACATCATTATTAAGTAGGCTTTATTCTAAGAATGCAAAGTTGGTTTAACATTTTAAATTCAATCAAAATAATGCACTACATTATTAAATTATATAATCATCTCAATAGATGCAGAAAAAGCATTTAATAAAATTCACTACCCATTCATAATAGAAATAATAGAGAACTTTAAACCAAGAGCATCAAACAAAAAGCAGAAAAATACAATTTAGTGAACATCATAATTTATTGGAAACATTCTTCCAGGACATTGGGAATGAGACAAGATTGCCTACTATAACTTTGATTCAACATTGTACCGAAGGTCTTAATCACTACAATAAGGCAAAAAATAAAAGTTTAAGGATAAAGGAAGAAAAAACAAAACTACCATTAGTCAAACACGTGTTCAAATATTAGAAAATTGGAAAGAATATTCAGCAAAGTGAATTTAAGGTCATTGGATATATGCTTAATATGCAGAAATTGATTGTGCGAGCAACACACACATAGAAATTAAGTTTTTAAATGCTATCATTTATGATAGCATCCATAAACAAATTATCTAGGAATAAAGCTAACAAAAGATGTTGCAAAATCTATATACACAAAAACTGGCAAAACTTTCATGGAAATTAAAGACTTAAAGGAACAAAGGAAAGAAGAAAGGAAAGAACAAAAGAAGGGAGAGAGGAAATGAGGAAGACCTAAACAAATGATGGTATATAGCAAATTTATGAATTTGAAGAGTCAATATTATGAAGATATAAATTGTTCCAAAATTGAGTTTTAAGTTCAATGCAATTCCAATCAAAATTCAGAAGTCTTTTTAAATGTGTGTGCAAACTGACAAGTTGATTCTAAAATTTATAAGGAAATGATAAATGCCAAAAGTCACCAAGACAATCTTGAAGAATAAGACTGGAGGACTTACGTTACCAGATATCAACATTCATTACAAAGCTACAGCAATCAAGGCATGTGATATCGGTGCAATGATAGGCAGATAGAGCAATGGAACAGAACACCAAATCCAGAAACAGATCCACACACATACAGTCACTAAATTTGTGACCAAGGAGACACATCAGTACAATGGAAAAAGACGATCCTTTCAAAGAATAAAACTGAGTCAATTGAATATCCATGTGGGAAAACTGCATCATAACCACGACCTCACTCCATTAACAAAAATCAATCCTAGGTGAATTCAAGGTCAACTTGTGAAAGGGCAAACAATAAAGCTTTTAGAACACAAACAAAGGATAATATCTTCATAGCTTTGAAGTAGGCAGAGATGTCTTATGCATAACATAAAAAGCACTAACCATTAAGGGAAAAAGTTGATAAGTTAAACCACTAAAAATTAATAACTTCTAGTCATCACAAAACATCATTAAGAGTATAAAAAAGGCAAGCCACGAGGATTGACAAGGGACTCACTTCCAAAATATATAAAGAATTCCTATACCCATAAGAGAAAGATACAGAATCCAATAGAAAACTGGGCAAGAGACTTGAGCAGGCACTTCACAAAATAAGCTATCTAACTGGCCTAAAAATATGTGGAAAATTTCTAAACTCCTTGGGCATTAGGGGAATGCAAATTAAAACCACCATGAAATACTAATACATAGCCACCAGAATGACTCAAATTAAAAAGACTGATACTACCAAGTGCTAGTGAAGATATGGAGCAACCGAATCTCTCATACATTGTTGGTGGGAATTTGACAGTATCTACTCTGTCTGAATATATGCACATTCTATAGCTCAACAATCTACTACTTAATGGAAATGTGTACAATATGTTCCTTAAAATATGTACAAGAATGTTTATAGCCATGCTACTTTTAAAAGCCAAAACCTGAAAACAACTTTGGTAGTAGAACTATTAAATAAATACATATACTTTTGGCCTGATCAACCAATGGACAGCAGATGAACAAATGATTGCTACACACAACAACATGGGTGAAATTCACAAACATAATGTTGAGTGAAAGAAACCACTCTATGGATATGTTCACTTTGTGAAAATTTATTGAGTTTTATAATTATAATTTATGTCCTTTTTAGTATTTGTGCAGAAAGCTTACTTTAAATAAAAACATATATTAAACTCATAACAAAATGATCCATTTGATAAAATAATAGCCAAAAAACAAAAACTTTCAGAAATTAAAAATATTATGGGCTAGGTGTGGTGGCTTACACCTGTAATCCCAGCACTTTGGGAGGCTGAGGCCCAGCCTGGGCAACATTGGAAAACCCCATCTCTACAAAAAATACAAAAATTAGCCAGGCGTAGTGGTTCACACCTGTAGTCACAGCTACTAGGGAGACTGGGGTGGGAGGATCACTTGAGCCCAGAAGGTCAAGTCTACAGTGCAACATGAGCATGCCACTGCACTCCAGCCTGGGCATCAGAGTGAGACCCTGTCTCAAAAAAAGTTATTATGCAAAAAAAATTCAGTGGACCACCGGAATAATACAATGAGCATGGCTAAACCTCAGACTGATAGGCTGGAATAGGGATCAGCAAACTTTTTCTGTAAAGGACCAGATAGTTAATACTTTAGGCATTGTGGGTCATACAGTCTCTGGACAGCTACTCAACTTTGCCTTTGGAGCGAACATAGACAATATGTAAATAAATGGGCATGGCTTGTGTTTCAACAAAACTTTATAGATTAATTATGAAATTTGAATTTCATGTAATTTTCACCTGCCATGAAGCATTATTATTTCTTTTATTTTTTTCAACTTTTCTTTTAAGTTTATAAAGAAAATAGGTTTAATTGACTCACAGTTCTGCAGGCTGTACAGGAGGCATGGCTGGAGAGGCCTCAGGAAACTTACAATCGTGGCAGAAGGCAAAGGGGAAGCAAGCACTTCTTCATGTGGCCAGCAGAGAAACATGGATGGCAGGAGAGAGTCAACCATTTAAAATCCATTATTAACTCAAGGGTCATACAAAAATAGGCAGTGGGCCAGATGTGCCCCATTGGCTGTAGTTTACAGACCCTTGGTCTACAAGATCTAGCCAAGGAAAACTTACACAATTTATGGCTGAGACAAACAGAAAATCAGAAAAAAAGAAATAAGTATGATAGACCCAAAAGGTAAAATATTCATTTAGTTAGCATTCCAGAAGCAGAGGAAAGAGAGTAAATAAAAGTGAAAGCAGTGCCCAGGGGACAAGTGAAAGAAGGTCCACACCTAGATATTTTTGGTGACATTTCAGAACTCTAGAGATAAAGAGGAAATTCCACACTGTTCCAGAGAGAAAAAAGCATTTTACCTGGTTAACCTTGAGAGTCAGACTGAACTCAGACACAGTAAATCGTGGAAGATGGTGGGAAAAGGTCTTAAAGTTCTTAGAAATTGTTTTGGAGCCGAGAAGTCCATGCATAGCCAAACTGTCAGTGAAATGTGAGGGCGAATAAAGATACCTTTGGAAATGTAAGGAATCAACAGTATCTCTGGTGTAACACGAAGATCTTGAGACAGCTTAATTCTTGATTCCCTGGGAATCAGTATGGGCATGTTTCTTTTTTTTTTTTTTATGGTTTCCTTTTTATTTTTTTATTATACTTTAAGTTCTAGGGTACATGTGCACAACGTGCAGGTTTGTTACATATGTATACATGTGCCATGTTGGTGTGCTGCACCCATTAACTCATCATTTACATTAGGTATATCTCCTAATGCTATCCCTCCCACCTCCCCCCACCCCACAACAGGCCCCGGTGTGTGATGTTCCCCTTCCTGTGTCCATGTGTTCTCATTATTCAATTCAGTATGGGCATGTTTCTTAAGTGCACTGCTGTGATGGAGACGTTTAGAATTGCAGACACGGTTCGCTGCTTGCACTACAACTATGACTTCCCACTCACTTTGCTAACAAACCCCAATTTTCTTGAAAATAAGATGGCAATGTACTTCAGGCAGACAGTTCAGAAGGTTAACTATTAATTAGTCTAAACTATTCATCCATTCTCCTTGCTATTGGATCAGTCGGGGGTAGGCATGTGATGAAATTCTGCCTCTGAGATATTAGGGGAAACTTCTGGAAAGCTCCTGAGCAAGATTTTCCTTGCAGATAAAAAGAAACACACAGGAGAAAAGGGCTCTTCCTCTCCTGCTCACGCTGCTGTGTCTGCCCAAGAAGCAGGGAGCTGGGACACCTATCTGTACCATCAGGTGACAAGCCTGCGAACAATAGGCAACATGAGGCTATGACACAGTGGAAAAATAGAAAGCACCTGGGTCTTTGATAATATCTGAGCTGCTTAATTAATCCACCCTTGAACCAGTCTACCTCCAGAATTCCTGGTACATGAGATAATAACATTTCCTTTGTTTAAGTCACTTTTAGTTGGATTTTCTGTTATTTCCAACCAAAAGCATTCAATTGATAGAAGTGATGAAGTAAGACTGGACAGCATTTATCCACCCACATATTTGTAAAACTATGCCTGTCTGACCAGACGTGGTGGCTCATGCCTGTAATCCCAGCACTTTGGGAGGCTGCTGCAGGAGGATTGCTTGAGGCCAGGAGTTCAAGACCAGCCTGGGAAACATAGCAAGACCTTATCTCTAGAATAAATAAATAACAATAAAAATTTTAAAACTATGCCTCTCAGACCTAAACTAGGCCCATAGAAGGGCAACAAAATGATGAAGGGATGCTGGGGCTACTGAGGAGGACAGGCTGCTAGTTTGGGGCCTCTCTGGTCTAGAAAGAAAAAAAATCTGAGAGTAAAATGGTCAAAATCCATTAAGGCAAAGTATCATTGGTAAGATCAGGATGGACTTGAATGTCAGATGCTGAAAAGTTGGAGCAGCAAAAGCCTCACTGCAAAACCCAAGCCCTGCATGAGGGTAGGACATGAATATTGGTTGCCTGAGCTCTAGAGAAACAGTAGCTAAATTACAAAGACCTCTCAGGACTTACAACCACTTCCATCCAGACAGGACTTAGGTAGAACAACAGGAAGATTCTCTGCACACTGCCTGTAAGCACCTGGTTGGCATTCATTCACCTTACAGAAGCTGCTCATTCTAGGATCTGCATGGCTAGAATAAGGATATCAAGCACCAGCCCATTGTCATGGGGCCACTCGCCTAGGCTATTCAGTATCCAGTATACACACAAACAACTCAACTCAAAGCCATTTCCTCAAGGATCTTCTAGTCACGACTGAAGCCATCAGAAGACAGGCAGATGGGCTTTGATTTTTCAGTAATACTCCTTGAGAACTCACCAGATTTGTCAAGAAAAGGGCATGACTTCATGGTCATCATGACCATCAAAGTGAAATCATTTTGTGCTTATATACCAACCAGTGCAGTGATTCTCAACCCTGGAGGCATCCTACAATCACCTGGAAATTCTGATTTAATTTGTCCAGAGTAGAGCCTGGGCAAAGGTTTTTGTTAATAGCTCACCCAGTGATATTAATGTGTTTCACAAGAGAAAACCCTTTTTGCTAGGAGATAGGCCATGCGAGTTAAATGTGTGGGCAGGGGTAGGCTGTGGTTAGGCATTACTGAGAGGGCTGAGTCCTTTCTAATTCCCATAGTTGTTTGAGGGTTAGTGGAGATCAGATCTAGATTTGTTTGATTGCAAAGCCCATGGGCGTAACAAGTAAGATCTACTTCTTTGCATCCTCCTCAAACTATCTCTAGTTTGTTATTGTTGTTATTGTTGCTGTCATTAATTTTATTTGGATTTGGAAATAAGAAAGTCAGACACAGCTAAGAAATATACGCAATCCTCAGATTAGAAACAAGCTGTTTTCCAAGATTTTGGTTGTTAAGTCGGCCATTTGTTGTATATAAAGGGTTAATAAATGGAGGACTGCACACAGTTAGCTGCTGTGAGCTGGTAAAAGCCGGATCCAGCACATCCCTGTGTGAACTGGACAATAAGTAATGAAGGACAAAGTAAGCACGGGAGATGCGCTCTATGGTCAAGTTGTGAATAGCAGAAAAAGTAAGACAAAACAAAAACAAAATCAAAAGAGCAGTTTTTGTTTATTTTCCCACCAAACCATCAATTTTTGCCATATTAAATTCTCTCTCCTGGATCTAATTTCAGACTCTTGTGTTCCACTAAACTGTTTACCTAGTCTTATACAAACATCTTATTGGTTTTACTGCAGTGCCTTAACAGTATGGTCTGAGACCAGGACAGTTTCCTCTCAGCAGGCTTGGTCTCTCATATATTTGTGGCTATTCTCTAGAATTTAGTCCTCCATAGAAACTTTTAGATTATTTTATCCACTCAAAAAAAACTGCTTACTTTTCCATTATATTTATATAGTAATTTATCATTTATATAGCATTGATATATTCATAATGTAAAATATTTGCATCCAAAATCATAGTAGTGATTTTCTTTTTGTTCAGATAGGAAATAGTCCCAAAAAACACAATGAAAAATTGCAATACAATTTTTAAAAACAAATTTTAAAAACAGACATTTTATGTCTTTCAGTAAGATTTTATAGTTCATTTAGATCGAGAGTGTTTTTTATTAAATTTATTTGTGGTTTACAGGTTTTGCCATTATTGTCAATTAACTATTCTTCATATTTAATTTCAAGGTGTTTATTGCTAGAATGGACAAAAGTTATTTTTTGTATATTTATCTTATAACCATCCACCTTCTGAATTTTTCTTTAAAATATAGTACACTTGGCTCTTCTCATCCCCAGATTCCACTAACCTTGACTAGAAAATATTTTTTTAAAAATAAATAAAAACTATCAATACAACAATAAGAAATACAAATTTTGGTATATTTTTTTCTAGGTGGATTTTTTTCTAGGTTTCTTTTTTTTTCAACTTTTATTTTATTTTTAATTTTATTTTATTTATTTATTTTTTTGAGATGGAGTTTCGCTCTTGTTGCCCAGGCTGGAGTGTAAATGGCGCAATCTCGGCTTACTGCAACCTCCACCTCCTGGGTTCAAGCAATTCTCCTGCCTCAGCCTCCCAAGCAGCTGGGATTGCAGGCGCCCGCCACCACACCCAGCTATTTTTTGTATTTTTAGTAGAGACAGGGTTTCACCATGTTGGCCAGGCTGGTCTCAAACTCCTGACTTCAGGTGATCCACCTGCCTCGGACTCCCAAAGTACTGGGATTACAGGCATGAGCCACTGCACCTGGCCTTCAACTTTTATGTTAGATTCAAGGGGTTCATATGCAGGGTTGTTACCTGGGTATATTGCGTGATGCTGAAGTTTGAGGTACAAATGATCCTGTCTCCAAGATACTGAACATAGTACCCAGTAGTTAGTTTTTCAATCCTTGTCCCTCATCTCTTCCCCATCTAGTAGTCCCCAATGTCTACTGTTGCCATCTTTATATCCATGAGTACCAAATGTTTAGTTCCTACTTATAAGTGAGAACGTGCAGTATTTGGTTTTCTGTTTCTGGGTTAATTTGCTTGGAATAATGGCCTCCAGCTGCATCCATGTTGCTGCAAAGGACATGATTTCATTATTTTTTATGACTGCATAGTATTCCATGGAGTTTATATACCACATTGTCTTCATCCAGTCCACCATTGATGGGCACCTAAGTTGATTCCATGTCTTCATTATTGTGAATGGTGCTGTGATGAACGTGCAAATGTTGTGTCTTTTGATAGAATGATTTGTTTTCTTTTGAATATATACCCAGGAATGAGATTGCTGGGTCAAATGGTAGTTCTAAGTTATTTGAGAAATTTCCAAACTGCTTTCCACAGTGGCTGAACTAATTTACATTCTCACCAACAGTGTGTAAGTATTCCCTTTTCTCTGCAGCCTCACTAGCATCTGACTTTTAATAATAGCCATTCTGACTGGTGTAAGATGGTATCTTATTGTGGTTTTGAATTGTATTTCTCTGATGATTAGTGATGTAGAACATTTTTTCATGTTTATTGGCCATTTGCGTGTCTTCTTTTGAGAAGTGACTGTTGATGTCTTTTGTCCATTTTTTAATGGGGTTGTTTTTTGCTTGTTCAGTTATTGGAGTTCTTTATAGATTCTCAATATTAGACCTTTGTCAGATGCATAGTTTGCAACTATTTTCTACCATTATGTAGGTCGTCTGTCTACTCTGTTGATAATTTCATTGACTGTGCAGAAACTCTTTAGTTTAATTAGGTCCCAATTGTGAATTTTTGTTTTTGTTGTAATTGTTTTTGAGGGTTTAGTCATAAAGTATTTCCCAAGGCCAATGTCCAAAATGGCGTTTCCTAGGTTTTCTTCTAGGATTCTTACAGTTTGAGGTCTTATATTTAAGTTTTTAATACATCTTGAGTTAATTTTTATCTATGGTGAAATGTAGGGATCCAGTTTCATTATTGTACCTATGGCTAGCCAGTTATCCCAGCTCCATTTATTGAATAGGGAGTCCTTTCATCGTTGCTTATTTTTGTTAACATTGTCAATGTTCAGTTGGCTGTAGGTTGACAGCTTTATTTCTGGGTTCTCTATTCTGTTCCATTGGTCTATGTGTCTGTTTTTGTACCAGTATCATAGTGTTTTAGTTACTGTAGCCTTGTAGTATAGTTCGAAGTCAGGTAGTGTGATGCCCCAGCTTTGTTTTTTGCTTATGATTGCCTTGGCTATTCGGGCTCTTCTTTGGTTCCATATGAATTTAAATTTTTTTTTCTAATTCTGTGAATCATGTCATTGGTAGTTTAATTGAAACAGCATTGAGTCTGTAGATTACTTTCAGCAGTATAGCCATTTTAATGATATTGATTCTTTCAATCCATTAGCATGGAACATTTTTCCATTTGTTTGTGTCATCTATGATTTCTTTGAGCAGTGTTTTGTAATTCTGCTTGTAGAGATCTTTAACCTCCTTAGTTAAATGTATTCCTAGGTGTGTGTGTGTGTATATATGTGTGTGTGTGTATATTGTAAATGGGATTGTAGGGCTCTCAGTTTGAACGTTATTTGCATATGGATGTACAAAATGATTTTTGTACACTGATTTTGTATCATGAAACTTTACTGAAGTAATTTATTAGTTCTGGGAGCCTTATGGTGGGGTCTTTAGGGTTTTCTAGGTATAGAATCACACTATCCATGAAGAGAAATAGTTTGACTTCCTCTTTTCCTAGTTAGATGCCTTTTATTTCTTTCTCTTACCTGATTACTCTGGCTAGCACTATGCTGAAGAGGCATAGTGAGAGTGGACAACCTTGTCTTGTTCCAGTTCTCAAGGGAAATGCTTCCAGTTTTTGCTTTTTCAGCATGATATTGGCTGTGGGTTTGTCATAGATGGCTCTTATTGTTTTGAGGTATGTTCCTTCGATGCCTAGTTTCTTGAGGGTTTTTTTCATGAAGGGATGTTGGATTTTATCAAAAGCTTTTCTCATGTCTATTGAGATGACCATATGGCTTTTATTTTTAATTATGTTTATGTTGTGAGTCACATTTATTGATTTGTATATGTTGACCCAGCCTTCCATCCCAGGAATGAAGCCTTGATTATGATGAATTAACTTTTTGATGTGCTGTTGAATTCAGTTTGCTAGTATTTTGTTGAAGATTTTTATGTCTATGTTCATCAGGGATATCGGCCTATAGTTTTCTCTTTTTGTTGTATCTTTGCTATGAAGGTTATGCTGGCCTCATAGAATGAGTTGGGGATGAGTCTCTCCTCCTCGATTTTTTTAGAATAGTTTCAGTAAAATTGGTACCAGCTCTTCCTTTTATGTCTGGTAGAATTTGGCTGTGAATATATTCAGTCTGGGGATTCTTTAGTTGGTTTTTTTTTTTTTAACTACTGATTCAATTTTGCAACTTGATGTTGGTCTGTTCAGGGTTTTAATTTCTTCCTGATTCATTCTTGGAAGATTGTGTGGTTCCAGGAGTTTATCCATTTCCTCTAGATTTTCTAGTTCATTTGCATAGAAGTCTTCATAATAGTCTCTGAGGACCTTTTGTATTTCTTCAGGCTTGGTTGTAATGCTGTTACCTTTGTCATTTCCAATTGTACCTATTTGGATCTTCTCTTTTTTTTTTCTTTGTTAATCTACCTAGTGCTCTATTGATCTTTATCCTTTTAAAGAACGAACATTTGGTTTTGTTGATTCATTGTATGGATTTTTGGGTCTCAGTTTCATTTAGTTCTGCTCTGGTTTTCATTGTTTCTTTTCTCCTACTAGCTTTGGGTTAGTTTGTTTTTGTTTTTCTGGTTCCTCTAGGTGCAATATTAGATCATAAATTTGAGATCCTTCTAATTTTTTGAGGTAGACATTTATTTAGCACTATGAACTTTCCTATTAACACTGCTTTTGCTGCATCCCAGAGATTTTGGTATGCTGTGTCTCTATTTTCATTTATGTTGAAGAATTTTTTGACATCTTCCCTAACTTCATTGTTTACCCAAAAGCCATTCAGGAGCAAGTTGATTATCCATGTAATTGTGTGGTTTTGAGAGATCTTCTTGATATTGATTTCTATTTTTATTCCACTGTAGTCCAAGAGTATGTTTGGTATATTTCTATTTTTTTAATTTATTGAGGCTTGCTTTATGGCCAGGCATGGGGTCAATCTTGAAGTATGTTCCATGCACAGGTGAGAAGAATGTATCTTCTGTGGTTGATGAGTGGAGCATTCTGTAGATGTCTGTTAGGTCCAATAGGTCAAGTGTTGAGTTTAAGTTTAGAATTTCTTTGTTAGTTTTGTGCCTCGATAATCTGTCTAATGCTGACAGTGGGGTGTTGAAGTCCTCCACTATTATGTGTGGTTGTCTACGTCTTTTCATAGGTCTAGAAGTTTGTTTTATGAATCTGGGTGCTCGAACATTGTATATATTTAGGATAGTTAATCACTCTTGTTGAATTGAACCCTTTATCATTATGCAATGCCCTTCATTATCCTTTTCTTACCATTGTTGATTTAGAGTCTGATATAAGAATAGTGACACCCTCTCTTTTTGTTTTCCGTGTATGTGGTAGATCTTTCTTCAACTCTTTACTTTGAACCTAAGGGTGTTGTTACTTGTGAGATGCATCTCTTGAAGACAGCAGATGGATGGGTCTTGTTTTTTATTCAACTTGCCACTCTATGCCTTTTA
The DNA here is from genome assembly GCF_000001405.40 of Homo sapiens. Classification (NCBI taxonomy): domain Eukaryota; kingdom Metazoa; phylum Chordata; class Mammalia; order Primates; family Hominidae; genus Homo; species Homo sapiens. The sequence continues at coordinate 125,309,842 of NC_000010.11, read as the reverse complement.
AGTGGGGCATTTAGACTATTTATGTTCAAGGTTAATATTGATATGTGAGGTTTTAATCCTATCATGAAGTTGTTAGCTTGTTGTTTTGTAGTTTCTTTTGTGTGGTTGCTTTATAGGGTCTGTGGGCAATTGTACTGTGTTTTGTGGTAGAAAAAAATACAAATTTTGAAAAAATACAGTACAATAGCTATTTACATAGCATTTACATTATATTAGGTATTATAAGTAATCTAGAAATTATTTAAAGTATATGGAAGGATGAGCACAGGTTATATGCAAATACTACCCCATTTTATATAAGGAGGTTGAGTAGCCACAGATTTTGGTATCCACACAGGGTCTAGAAAAGGATTCCCCATGAATGCTAAGGGATAACTGTATTTTCTTAACTACAGACTTTTTTGTTTTTAGGTATATTATAGTATCATCCACAAAGACTAAGAGTTTTTACCATTTTTCTGGTATTTATGCAACTTATTTTTTGTTGTATTACATTTGTTAAAATCTCTGACAAAATCAAGCAATAATAGTGACAGTAGTCATTCTCATAGTTTCTGATTTTCATTAAAATAATTTTAGAATTTTACCTTTTAGAACAATATGTACTCTTGGGTATTGGTAAACAGTCTTTATTTTATTTAATCAGCATCCTTCTATTTCTATTTTACTTAGAATTTGCCATGCAAATGTCTGCTGGCTTTTATCAAATGATTTTTAAGCATCCATTGATATGGTCATGTGGTTTTCTCTTTTAACTTTTCATATAATGAATTAGTATAAAAATATCCCTGAAACTGAACCATCATTATTCCTAGAATAAACCTTCCATGGACATACAGTACAAATTTTTGTTACATATATATATATTCTATTTACTGATCTTTTATTTAACATTTTTGCAACTGTATTTATAAGTAAAAAAGGTTCCTAGTTTTGTTGTTATCTTTCTTGTGGTACATCAGACTTAGGAAACAAACTTATTTTGCCTTATTCTTAGGCTTGCATTAAATAACATTGGAATTATTTGTTTTATAACAACTAGATATGACTCTGTTTGAATCTTCTGGTCCTACTGCTTTTTCAATGACAGATCTTTAAAATTTTTTCAAACTCTTTTGTGGTAAATAGTCCTTTCAATTTTTCATTTCTTCTTCAATAAGTTTTAGTAAGTTGTATTTTACTAGGAAACCCATTTCCTTTTGTGTTTGTATCTGTTGCCATAGAGTTGCATGTGCTGTTCTATTATAATATTTGTAACACTTAAAATTTATTTATCTGAAGTTATGCTCCATTGTCATTCCTATAGATACACATTTTGTTTCATTTTATCTTAGGGTAACATAAGATTTGTTTATTTCATTGGTATTTTCAGTGAATAGTTGGATTTATCCAGTCTTTGTACCAGTTTTTGCTATTTTATTAATTTTCGCTTTTTATCTTTATTAATTTCTTCTTCTTCATTTCTTTTTGTTTAGTTTGTTGTCTTTTCTTCTAGTTTCTTAAGATGAATATTTAATACTCTTATCATTTTATTATTTTTAATATAGAAGGCATTTAAGGCTCTAAAATATTTTATAAATACAGAATTCTCTGTGCCCCACAGGTTTTGGTATAAATATTCTCCTTTTCATGGTTATTTAGTGGCGTATAATTTCTCTTTGATTTCTTTGCTCCAACAGCTAATTGGGAGTGGTATTGCTTAATTTCTGATAAGTTAAAACTCTTTTATTGCTCATTTATTTTGTTATTTTGTTGTTTCTAATGTGGTTTTTTTGTGACCAACTTAAATGCAATCAAGTTCTGTAAATATTCTATAGATATAGAAAGAAATGTGTATCATCTCTTTTGAGTTGTGTAAGTTTCTATACACATTTATTAAATCAAGTTTCTTATCATGGTTTTATTCTTCTATAGCCTGACTTATTTTTTTCTACTAGATCAGTTCAACTCTGAGAGAAAAAGAGAAATGTACCCAAATCTTTCACCATAATTGTATTTTTATTAGGCTCTACTTGCAATTCAAATATTTTTTAGATATAAGTTACTATATTACTTGGTGCATATAGATTTTGGATGGTTATAATTACTCATAAATTATGATCTTTCATTGCATACTTTCTCTATTAATTTTTTTAGTGTTTCTACTTCAAATTTCACTATGTCTGATTTTGACATTCCAGCTTTCCTTTGGTTGCTTTTGTTTAGTATCACTACTAATCCATTACTTTCAAGTTTTTTCTATCACTTACCTTCAAATATGCATAAATTGTATTTAACCGACTTGGTTTTTAATGCCAAATATGACAACATCCGTTGTTTTTTGTTTTTTTGTTGTTTGTTTGTTTTTGTCTTTTTGAGACAGAGTCTAGCTTTGTCACCCAGGCTGGAGTGCAATGGTGCAATCTCGGCTCACTGCAACCTCCTCCTCCCAGGTTCAAGCGATTCTCCTACCTCAGCCTCCCGAGTAACTGGGATTACAGGCACCCACCACCATGCCTGGCTAATTTCTGTATTTTTAGTAGAGACAGGGTTTCACCATATTGGTCAGGCTGGCCTTGAACTCCTGGCCTCAAATCCGCCCACCTTGGCCTCCCAAAGTGCTGGAATTGCAGGCATGAGTCACCACGCCTGGCTGACAATGTCTGTTTTTAATGGTAAAGTTTAGTCCCCTCGTATTTAATATAATGACTGATATACTTGATTTTATTTCTTCTGTCTTACTTTGTATATTATTTAAAGTATTGTATCCTCTTTAACATCAGGAATAACAAAATAGCAACATGAGTTCATGAGATCGTTTATCTTCATATAAGTGTGTGTGTTTGTTTGCTTATGTATTTCCTAGCTCAGTCTGCTGAAAAGACCTACAAACAATGACCAACTATTTATCTGCTCTGACTGTCATAACAAAGCACCATAGACTAGGGGGCTTAAACAGAATAAATTTATTTACTCACAGTTCTGGAGTCTGGAAGTCTGAGATCCACGTGTCAGCAGGGGTGGTTTCCTCTAAGGCCTCTCTCCTTGGCTTGTACCTGACTGTCCTCTCCCCATGTCTTCATACGGGCTTCACTCTGTGTGTCTATCTGAATTTCCTCCTCTTCTAAAGACACCAGTCATATTGGATAAGGGCTCATTGATATTAACTCATTTTAACTTAATTCCCTCTTTTAAGACCCGCTCTCCAATTATAGTCATATTCCGATGTACTGAGGGTTATGACTTCAACATAGAAATTTTTAGAGGACACAATTAAGCTCATAACATCACCCTCGTCCAGTGGCAATAGGCATCTCTACTACCCAGTCTCTGGTCTTTTAGACTAAAACAAATAAGGTCTATTGGAGAGGCTTCTGTGGTGCGACAAAGTTCTATTTCTTGACCTGGGAGGTGGTTACAAGGGTGTTCACGTTATAAAAATTAATTAGGTCGGCCAGGCGCAGTGGCTCATGCCTGTAATCCCAGCACTTTGGGAGGCCAAGGTGGCCGGATAATCTGAGATCAGGAGTTTGAGAACAGCCTGGCCAACCTGGAGAAACCCCATCTCTACTAAAAATACAAAAATTAGCTGGGCATAGTGACGCATGCCTGTAATCCCACCTACTCGGGAGGCTGAGGCAGGAGAATAGCTTTAACCTGGGAGGCGGAGGTTGCAGTGAGCCGAGATCACGCCACTGCACTCCAGCCTGGGCGACAGGGTGAGACTCCTTGTCAAAAAAGAAAATAATAATTAATTAATTAGGTCATATATTTAGTTTGTGTTTTTTGGTATATGTGCTTCATTTTACAGCAAAAAAGATTAAAAAGCATCAGGCAAATTCCAATAGAGAAGTGCCCTGCAACAAACCTGACCAGCTCACCTCAAAACTGTCCTGGTAATCAAAACAAAGAAAGCCTGAGAAACTGTCACGGCCAAGAGGAGGCTCAGGAGTCATGACAGCTTCAATGTAATGTGGCTTCCAAAATGGAATCAGAAAAAGGATGCTACATTAAAACAGAAAAAACTCAATAAAGTAGGGAGTTTAGCTAATAATTTATCAACATCAGTTCATAAATGGTGACAAATGTACTATATTCATGTCAAATGTTAATATTAGTAGAAACTGAGTGTGAGGCATATGGGAACTCTCTGTACTATCTTCACAGCTTTTCTGTAAATCTAAAACTCTTCTAAAATGGAAAGGTTATTATTTTTTTTAATCCAGGAGCAGAGAAGCGTACAACTGCATAAGAAAGCCATTGTTCAAATATGAAGAAAAATAAAATGTGACATGATTTTAAGTGATTGACAGAATGCAAAAATGGATAATCCATTTGAACGTCCTCTTTTGAGCAGTCCAGGAAAAGTGACATTGGAACCATCGGAAAGAAAACAGAGTCGCAGCACAAGACTTGGTTCTTCCATGAAAAAATATTTGCAAAATCACATTTGTGTAAATGCTGCTTATTGCTTTTAAGTCCATAGAATTTATTTGTAGATAAAACAGAATAAAATGTTAGCATTCTTTGCAAAGTAAAAGTAAATATAGCAGGTCCTTGAATGTCATTTCATTTGATGATGTTTCGCTATAACGTTGACAAAGAAAAAACAATTGATTCCCGGCAGGGGCCACCATCCAGGTGAAGTTTGCACCTTCTCCCTTTGTCCACCTGCGTTTCCTTGAGGTACTCCAGTTTCTTCCCACAAAGCTGTGCAATTAGGTGGATTAGTGGGTCTCCATTGTCCCGTGTGAGCGGGTGTGGCTGTGTGTGTGAGTGAGTCTTGTGTTAGATGGCATCTTGTCCAGGGTAGGTTCCCGCCTTGCGCCTTGAGCTGCTGGGAGAGTCTCCGATACCTGCGACCCTGAACTGGAATAAGCAGCTTGTGAAATGAATGAATGTATAAATACAAATGATTATAAAATAAAAATTCATCAAGCAGACGATAATAATACAAATGTCTGACCTTAGATGATGCAGTAGGATGGTAGGAAAGCACTCGACGAGCCTGCCACATTTAGTAGGGGTTGTTTTTGAACTGTGTGGTGGTAGACCGTGTTCCTTACCATTTTCACTTTGTAAACATTTATTCCTTGATTTAACCCACCACCACTATGACAGCTGTCACTCACTGATTCACCAAAAATTGGGTACATAATTATCTTGTTTTTATCAATCTTTCTTAATTAATGTACGTTAATGATTATATGTAGAGCTGACATTTATTTCAATGTTTATTAGAATTGTTTTGATCATTGTTTAGAAGTTTGGTGATGTTTTTGTGACCAGAAATATGCCATAGGAACTTAACTCTTGTTTATATCAATTAGCCTATGGTAAAATTGGTTTGTTATATGTTGTTTCACTCACAGTTACAGTTTCTAAGAACTTATCAACCATGTTGAGGACCGACTGTATACAACTTAAAGAAATTGAAAAGGGGCCGGGCGTGGTGGCTCATGCCTGTAATTGCAGCACTTTGGGAGGCCGACACGGGTGGATCATCTGAGGTCAGGAGTTCGAGATCAGCCTGAACAATATGGTGAAACCCGGTCTCTACTAAAAATATAAAAATTAGCGGGGCGTGGTGGCGTGCGCCTGTTGTCCTAGCTACTCAGGAGCTTGAGACAGGAGAATTGCTTGAACCCAGGAGGCAGAGGTTGCAGTGAGCTAAGATCGCGCCACTGCACTCCAGACTGGGTGACAGAGCAAGACTCCGTTGAAAAGTGAACAGAGATAACAGAGGGGTCAGGAAGGCTGGGCACATTAACCTTAGAAAGGAGGAAGTAAAGAGTACTGTCTCTAGTTGATAGAAGAGAAGATAGGGAACAATGTGATTTTTAAAAAATATTTTAAAGCCTTATCAAGGTATAATTTACACACCATGAAATTCACTCTTTAAATATTCAATTCAATGATTATGAGTAAATTTACAAGGCTTTGCAATCATCACTACGATCCAGTTTTAGAACTTTTCCATCACCTCAGAAAGATCCTTCCTGCCTGTTTGCAGTTACTCCCTGTTCCCAGTCCCAGTTTTTGGCAACCTTGATTTCTGTCTTTACAGAGTTGCCTTTTCTGGACATTTCACATACATGGAATTATACAATATGTGGTCTTTTGTGTCTGGCTTCTTTCACTGAACATAATGTCTCCAGCGCTCATCCATGTTATAGCATGTGTCAGTACTTCATGCCTTTTAACTGGTGAATAATATCTTTGTACGGATATGCCACATCTTATCTATTCATCAGCTGATGGGCACTTGGGTTGTTTCCACGTTTTAGTTATTATGAATAAATGCTGCCGTGAACATTCCCACACAAGTCCTTGTGCGAATGTATGTTTTTGTTTGTCTTGGGTAGATATATGTGGTAGTAGAATTACTGGGTCACATGGTAAATTTGTTTAACTTTTTAAGAAACTGCCAAACTATAGATAATTAAGTATATTTGTATTGGCACAAACTATTTAAAAATCTAAAGATAATGATTAGGGATATAATTATATATGGGGAGAGGACGGTGAGAGCATATATATTTAATGGTTAAAATGATTACCTGTGTGAGGAGGGACTGGTGAGCCAAGGGACCCATTGTAAGCCCCTCTGCACAACTTTCTTGTCAAGTCATGCATATGTGTTACTTTGATTTGAAATTTTTTTAAGTAGTATCAAAACATCTCATGTACCCCATAAATATATACACCTACTATATACCCAAGAAAATTTAAAATAAAAAAATTTTGAATAAAAAATACTAAAAAAAATTTTTTTTAAAGAAAAGAAACTTTTTAAAGTAAAAGATAAACAAGCGAGTATGCCTAGACTGCGAGGAACGCAATGGGGACTGGCCAGAAGCAAGACGATGGATTGGGATGCTCATAGTGGAGATGAAGAAGAGGGGGGAATTCTGCTGATTTTTAGAAGAAATATTTGAACAATTGGACAGTCTTATCAATCCATGCACTTATAGCAGAATTGCACACAGTCATAATTGCTCACACTCAAAAGATTGTGTCAACGTGGAAAAACCTCTATGCTCAACTTTCTAATGGCCTGGGTTAACTAGAATTCTCTAGAACGTGATACTTGTCTGTCTGGCATGGTATCATGTGGAATGACAGATTTCCAAAAGACTTCCTTTAAAAAACAAAAACAAAACATTGGATCATTTAATACATTTTCAGCCCAAGCAATGCATATTCAAGTAAAAGTGGCTCAAACATGGGGTTTTATTTTTCTCACATACCAAGGAGTGTAGGGGTAAGCAGTTTCCAGGGTTGGTTCAGCAGCTGCACTGCATTGAGGCTCTAAGACCCCTCCCTTGCGCTGCTCTTGGCCTCCCAAAGGGTCTTAAGACAACTGTGGCAGCTCCAGCTTCACTTCCTCATGTGATAAAATTCATACGCATCAAGAGGGTGAGTGGTTCTTCTCAGACATCCATCTCTCTCATCTTTTCCAGAAGCCCCAGGAGACTTCCATTTATGTCTCATTGGCTGGGACTGGATCACATGCCCAGTCTGGGTGGCAAGGGAGGCTGGGACAGCAAGTCACCAGTGTTTTCCATCTGGGATAGGATGCAGATTCTGCCAGCAGAGGAAAGGAACTAGGGCTGGCTAACGAGTAGATGTACTCATCAGGTAGGGCTGCCATCGGAAAATGCCAGACTCGGGGGCTTAAACAACAGAAATGTAATTTCCCATGGTTTCAGAGGCTGGAAGTCCAAGATCAAGGTGCTGGCAGGTTAGTTTCACCTGGGGCCTCTATCCTTGGCTTGCAGATGGCGCCTTATCACTATGTCTTCATGGCCTTTTCTCTGTGTGTGCACTCCTGGTGTGGCTTCTTTTTATAAGGACACTGATGGCCTCCTTTAACCTTAATTCCTTCCTACAGGCCCTAGCTCCAAATACAGTCACGTTGTGGGTTAGGGCTTCAACCTATAAGTTTGGGAGGAGACAAATCAGTCCATAACAGTAGATAGCCGGATCATCCACCCTAATCACTAGATTGTAAAATGATTTTGGCAACTATTTCTCTCTGAATTATATTAATAATATAATGGCTATAGCACAGAAGTGTGTATGTATATATATATGTACACACATGTATATGTGTGTATATATATATATATACACACACATATACATACACACACACACACACACACACACACACTCTTGCAGACCCTTCTCCAAATACAGTTATGTAGGGCCTGTGAGGAGGTAATTAAGGTTAAATGAATATAACACAGAAATATATATATATACACACACACACATATCTATGTGTATATATATGCACATACACAAGCCATACACACACACACTTGTGTTTTCTTCATTTTCAGTTTCTAAGTGTCAAGATCTTGGGACAATGGATTTTCCCTGCGTTCACCATCAGAGCTGTGAACTCTTCCCCTGTCTTCTCTATCCCAGAAAACACTCTCTGCCTATCACTTAATATTGCTTACAAGGGTCTTGACTTTTAAGCAATGCGACATTCAGTGTGTATTTAAATGCCATCCATTACCATCAAATGGTGACATTTACTTCATTTGTAATTCAGAAAAAGAAAACAGATCTTCAAATACAGAAGAGACACTCATATCAAAGATAATGGACCCAAACAATTGCCACCCCTTGTATTTCAAGTTTGGAGAACAGAGCTAATAAAAGATTAAAGAGAAGGCCCAGGAGCCCGGGGAACAAGTTTGAGCAATCACTTGTCACTTGAGGTTAGCACAGAACTTATTCTAACAAGATATTACTTGCAGAATTTCCACCATAAATCTTTTATTAAGTCCAAGAATCTCAGTCAAGACATTTCCCATGCAGGATTGTCAGAAATAATGCTCCTTCATAGCTTCCTTTAAAACCTGAGGATAAGAGATGCTAAGTGCCGAACCCACTGACCTTCACATAAACCCAATATTGTTATTGATTTTCCTCTCCTCAAAGACGCAAAATACATTTTTTGGAAGCAACCATTAACGAGCCTGTTTAGATAAGCCTGGACAAAGACAATGAGTATTTACTTTGCCCTCTTATTTGCTTGGAGCAGAAGCCCCTGGTTGGGTGTAATTGATTCCTTTTGATTGTTTTGCAGCCCCCCAGGGCACAATAAGGAGGAGGCAGCAGAGGTAGCCTAGTCGGAGGGCAAAAAATACTGTAGAATTCCAGCGTCTCAGGAACCTTTGCAGGCAGTGCTGACCTTCCCAGTTAGGCAGGATTTCTTATCCTTGGATTTCAGGAAAGAAGTCCTCGCTCCCCTCAGTAGCCCTGCTCTGGCGTCTCCTCCAAAGTCTCCCCCCCTGACATCTAATAGCTGGTTGCATCCATTACACGTGTCTAGATTTTGTTTGTTTGTTTCTTTTGAGACGGCGGAGTCTTGCTGTGTCGCCCAGGCTGGAGTACAGTGGTGCAATCTCCGCTCATTGCAACTTCCGCCTCCCGGGTTCAAGCGATTCTCCTGCCTCAGCCTCCCGAGTAGCTGGGACTACAGGCACACGTCACCACACCTGGCTAATTTTTGTATTTTTAGTAGAGACGGGGTTTCACCACATTGGCCAGGCTGGTCTCGAACTCCTGACCTCAGGTGATCCACCCGCCTCGACCGCCCAAAGTGCTGGGATTACAGGCGTGAGCCACCGCGTCTGGCCTAGATTCCTCTTTTTTTCTATTTTTGCCCGTGGATGTCCAGTTGTTCCAGCACCATTTGTTGAAAAGACTCTCTTTCAACCATCTCATTGCCTTTGCTCCTTCGTCAAAGACCAGCTGGCTATATTCATGTGGGTCTATTTCTGGGCTCTCTATTCTGTTCCGTTGATCTATTTGTCTCTTTTGTCATCAATACCACACTGTCTTGATTACTTGTAGCTCTAGAATAAGTCTTGAAGTCGGGTAGTGTCAGTCCTCTCATTTTGTTCTCCTTCAACCTGGTGTTGGCTATTCTGAGTCTTTTGCCTCTCCATAAACACTTCATAATCAGTTTGTCAATATCCACAAAATAACTGGCTGGGATTTTGACATCCATTCCAAGTGAAGAGTTCTCTCTGCCACAGTTGTTTTCTCCTTTTACTTACATCCTTTTCCATTGTAAATGAAAAAGAAAAGGAAAAAAGTACTTTTGAAGAAAATGCCAGCAGGAAGTTTTATTGGCTGGGTTGGGTACATCAAAGTTCGCTGGAGCTGAGTCCCCAGAGGCCATTGTGTGGCTGTCAGACTCACTCGGAGAAAAGCTGGGCTCATTGTTTATTGCTGGTCAACTGCCAAGGTCATCTTATACATTAAGATGACTCTCCTGGAATCTAAGACTAATTAAAATTAAAATCCATCAGTTTAGATGATGGGAATGTTTGAAATGGAGCAGAAACACACACTTTGAGGAAATCATATGTGTAATACCTATTTGATAAATGTATCCTCTAGGCTTTTGGTTAAAAAAAATACTGCTAAATAGGTTGTTAATGTTCTGATGCATGCTGATATTTTAGGTCTTCCCAAACGCTGTAAATTGGATAGTTAAAATATATAGTATATTAAGCAAGGCAATCATAAGAGGGGGAATGATTTTTGAAGTAAACAGAGATCGGGTGGGTTATAGGATTTTTATGTTATGCCGCATAAAGTGATTTTAAAATATTTTAAATTTCAGCAGTGCAGGTACTTATTGTGGACTGAAGCCCAACAAAAGCAAAATTTATTATCAGCTGTAATACTTACTGAAACTATGTTTTCTCTTTTGCTTGTTGATGCTTGCCAATTCTAAACACAGATATCCAAACTTCTTACAGGTTTCTGCAATTCCTGAGACTCAAAACTAATGGTTGACTTGAAGATTTATTATATATAAACTTATAGAAAATTTTGTTCTTATGTTTTAATTTTTTAAATGGGAGGTCTTTTGCACCTAATGCACCTGTGTTCTTTAATAATGAACATAGTTTTCTTACATTGAGGGTGGGGTATAGCTTGGAATAGTCTCTATGGAAAATAATTTGGTGACATCAACCCAAAATGTAAATGTACATAACCCTTGACTTAGCAGTTTTGTCCATAATAATTTATCCTACAGATTTATTCACAAACATGCAAAAAGATGTATCAACAATGGTATTTGTTGAAACACTGTAATAGCCAACAATTTGAAGTAAACTCAATGTCCATCTATAGAGAACCAGCTAAAAAATTATATCATAAAGAATTTATATTCATAAAATGGAATACTGTCCAACCTTTTTTTGAAGTGAAGAGTCTAGAGAGAGAGAGATAGAACTGACTTCAAGATGTTCTGTCAAGTTTAAAAGAATAAGTTACTGAAAAGTGTTTATAGAATGCTACCATTTGTACAAAAAATACACATGTATAAACCTACTCTCTATCTCTGAAAAAATTCTTCAGACACTTGTAACAGTTGTTGACTGTAGGGAGAGGATCTGGGTGGCCAGGGTGGGATGGCAAAAGGATCAGATCCTCCCATGTCTAATCATTTGTACCTTGAATTTGTATAATGTGCCTCTTTTATCTGTGCAAAAACTACTTATTTGGCTAAAAAGATATAATTTATTTTAATTAAATTTTTAATAAATTTAATAATAGAAAAACTAAATATAAATGTTAAAAAAGGAAAAATAATTACAACCCATATTTCCAGCACCCAGAATTAACCACTACTAACATTTTGCTATATTTGCACCCAGTTTTTTACCCATATGTATTATCTTTCAACATGATACAACCCATATGAACCCATGGTCCTTTAAAAAAATATGCGAACAATCCAGATAAAGCTAAACTTCCTTGACCTTCAAGCCTTCCACATGCCCCTCCCACCTACCCAAAGGAGGCTTTCTCATGGATTGTGCTCATCTTTGCATCTTAGGTAATAATTTTATAGTCCTATTCATCTACAGAAAGCATTTCGTGCCTTTAAAAATTTACATAAATGATATCATGGAATATTCCTCATTCTCTGACTTTATTTTTTCACTGCAATTACATTTTTGGAGGTTTATCCATTTAGTACATTTAAATCTTGCTCATGGTTTACTAGTTTTTATTTTTCTTTTTTTGAGACAGGGTCTCACTCTTTTGCCCAGGTGGGAGTGCAGTGGTGCAATCACAGCTCACTGCAGCCTTGACCTCCCAGGCTAAAGCAGTTCTCCCTCCTCAGTCTCTCTAGTAGCTGGGACTACAGGCATATGCTACTATACCTAGCTAGTTGGGTCTTTTTGTTTTTTTGTTTGTTTGTTGCTTTTTTTTTTTTTTTTTATGTAGAGACAGAGTCTCACTTTGTTGCTCAGGCTGGCCTTGAACTCCTGGGCTCAAGTGATCCTCCCACCTCGGACTCTCAAAATGCTGGGATTACAGGTGTGAGCCACCACACCCAGCATGCTTTACTTTTTCAGGATGAAAAATTTCCATCACTAATTCATCACTAGATCTTAAAGGCTCTTCACGAGAATAAGTTTCCATTTGTTCATTCTTCAGCTCACATTTGCAGGGCACTTGCTGCATGCAAAGCACCATGTGGGTAGGAAGCTGTGGTCTCTGAGAGCCTGGCATGGAAGGTCAGACATGGACCTCTCCCATGAGGTGGAAAGGTAACTGCCAGAGGAGAGGCTGAAGGTGCTGGGGGCTTCACAAGCGGGCGTGATCATTTCTGGATGGAAATAGTAATAATCACCGCCAGCACCAGGTATTGTGTGCACACGGTGTCCCGAGCATCATTCCCTGTGGTTTACATGGCTTTTCTCGCTTAACCTTTACAACAATCCTGTCAGGTGGTTCCTATTCTGTAGATTCAGAAGATGAGCTTCAGAGAAGTTTGGGTAACTTGTGCACAGTCATATGGCTAAAATGTGGTAAATGACCTCTAATCGTTTCGAGAACACTGCAAGGTAGACGTGTTAGCTCTCATTCTACAGGTGAAGAATCAGAGCTGCAGAGAGGTTGCTGGGTCACATGGCTGGAGTTCTGCACTTCCTTTCCCTCTGTCCCTGTGGCTTCCGGAGTCACATCAGACTCATCCTGCACCCAGGGCCTGCATTGATAAGATCAGGCAAGCCAAGACCTGCCCAGCACTGATCTGTCGGGACATGGGGACGGATGCAGTGCCCTGCCCGGTCTGATGGGGCTTCTGTTCCACCTCCTGCCTCCACGTCCCTGAATCGCAGGCCCCTCACCTTGTCCTTCAACTTCTTTCCCTTCTGTGTCTCTATTCACATGGCTTCTTCCCAGTGCCTTGAATTTTCCTTCCTCTCTGCCTGTGAGTTCCCACTTCCGAATGTCTTTTATTTGAATGAAATTTACAGACTGTGCAGTGTGAAGCCTTTGTCTGCCCATTGCCACTCGCTATGCAGGGCCACCTTTCTGTCATTCCATAGCTAGCCTGCACAATCTATGTGATTCCAGGGCTGGTATCCAGACCTGAATGGGTGCACTCCAACCAATTAAGAGAACCCTGTACCCCAGCCATACTGGTTGGTTCTAAGATGGACGCTTGATCTAAGTCAGGCCAATTAGGGTCTTTCCCAAACTTTCTCCCTCTCTTTGGGATTAGAAGCCATAAGGATAATGTAAGCATGATGATATGGTTTGGATCTGGGTCCCCACCCAAATCTCATGTCGAGTGGTAATCCCTAGTGTTGGAGATGGGGCCTGGTGGGAAGTGATTGGATCATGAAGGTGGTTCCTCATGGTTTAATACCATCCCCCTTGGTGCTGTCGTTGTGATAGTGAGTTCTCATAAGATCTGGTTGCTTGTAAGTGTGCAGCTCCTCCCACCTCCTCTTGTTCCTGCTCCTGCCATGTAAGACGTGCCTGCTTCCCCTTCACCTTCTGCCTGATTGTAAGTTTCTTGAGACCTCCCCAGAAGCTGAGCAGATGCTAGCATCATGCTTCCTCTATGGCCTGTGGAACACTGAGCTAATTAAAGCCCTTTCCTTTATAAATTACTCAGTCTCAGGTATTTCTTTATAGCAATGTGAGAAAGGACTAATACACATGGCTACTGCTTGCCACTCACCACATGTAAAGAACTTGCTTGGAATACAAACAGCTAGAGGCAAACAGGCTGAGAGATTTAAAGAGTGATAGAACTCTGACATTATTTGAACCCCTGGATCCAGCCATTCCTGGTCTCCTCTCAGAAATTCCAAATTACACATCAAAACATATTCCCTTTTGTAAAAGTTATGTTTTATGTCATAGAGTGTCGAGTACTTCATACCTCAATATAGGAAATAGATATTTTATAAATGTAATGTTTATAGCATTTCTTTATAAAATGAAAATGGCAAAGCTTTATAATAATCACATAAAAAATAAAGCCAGGAGTTATGGATGAAAATTGCAATATCAGCATCAGTAATCCATTTATTTCTATATTTTTGGTTCTTTAATATTAAGAGAATCTTGATTCAAACAGGTAAGTAGTTTTAAGCAGCTTACATGACTACCTTAAGGTGTCCTCTCACCTAACTGGTTTCAAAAACTTAAAAAAGGAGTAGGTCAGTTTTAGATCTAATCTGAGCTATCACAAGCATAATCAGTTCTTTTTTTTTTTTTTTTTTTGAGACGGAGTCTCGCTCTGTCACCCAGGCTGGAGTGCAGGGGCGCCATCTTGGCTCACTGCAAGCTCCGCCTCCCGGGTTCACGCCATTCTCCTGCCTCAGCCTCCCGAGTAGCTGGGACTATAGGCACCCACCACCGCACCCGGCTAATTTTTTGTATCACCAGTGGTGTTCTATGAACCAGTGTGAAACACTTCATGAAAGCTGAATGTTAAATTTTCAGGAACTTTGCACGCCTTTTCTTAATCAACTATAACTTGAAATTGGCCATGGTGAGAGTACGTATGCCATAGAAATTAGAAATAGCAGAAAACGGGGTGGAGGTTTTTCCCTAGAGAGTTAGTTGTTAACTATTTGGCAGCACACTACTGGCTCTCATTCTTTCTCCATTTTTATTACACTCTTACATTCATATAATGATGTGTACAAATCTTAAGTGTTCGTTTAATAGATTTTGACGTATATATGCCCTCTTTGCAAATAACCATCACGCTGATCAAGAAATAGA
Source organism: Homo sapiens (assembly GCF_000001405.40). NCBI lineage: Eukaryota > Metazoa > Chordata > Mammalia > Primates > Hominidae > Homo > Homo sapiens. The sequence goes on along the minus strand of NC_000010.11, from coordinate 125,294,782 downwards.
ATGTTCACAATGAGAACATTCTCACATGCTCCCTCACTAGTCACAGCTCACACACAGAGAGACAAGCATGATCACTATTGTGACCTCTTTTTTATAGATGAGTTTTGCCTATTCTCAAGCATGTTATAAATTAACACACGGCGTATTCTCTTTTGTGTCTGGCTTTTTTCATTCTTCCTTGTGTCTGTGAGAGTCATCCATGTTGTTGAGTGTAGTAGTAGTTTATTCTTTTTTTTTCCTGTGGGGTTCCATTCCATGAATACACCACAATGGATTTCTCCATTCTACTCTTGATGACACTTGGATTGTTGCTAGTTTTTAATTAAAGCCAGTATGAATATTTTTGTACATTCACCTGGGGGTATATGCACTTTTTTCTCTTGGATATATACCAAGTAATCCAACTGCTGGGTTCTAAGGGATATGTTTGCTCAGCTTCAGTCAATACTGCCAAACAGGTTTCCAAAGAAGTTATACAATGGACTCTCTCACCAGCAATCCATGAGAGTTCTTGTTGCCCCACTTCCTCCCCACCACTTAGTTTTAAGTCTTTGTTTTTAGCCATCCTAGAGAGTGTGCAGTGGTGTCTTATTATAATTATAATTTACATTTCCTGATAGTAATGAAGCTGACCGTATCTCCACATGGTTATTTGCCACTCGAATATCTTTTTTGTGTGTGAAGTGCCTGCTCAAGTCTTTTGCCTATGTGTTTGTTGAGTTTTCTCTTCCTTATTGGCTTGTACAAGCTCCTCATATGTTCTGGATACAAGTCCTTTGTCAGATGCATGTGTTGTAAATATCTTCTCCAGTCTTTGGTTTGTCTTTTCACTCTCTCAGTGTATTTTGATGAGCAGAAGTGCTTAATTTTAACAAAGTGAAATTCGGCAACATTTTCTTCTGTGAATAGTATGTATGAGTGTGTATCCATGTGTGTTAGTCTTTACCTGTTTGTATCCTCACACTCATACCTCCTTTAAGATAGCTTGGCTTCACCCATGACTATGAAGATATACTTCTCTGTTTATCTTTAGATGACATATGGTTTTATTTTTTCAACTGCCTTCGTGTTTTATCAAATGTAAGTCAGACAATAAACACTTAAAATTCACAAGCTCTAAAATAATCACAAGACAGCATTATCATTGGACTAATAATATATTGTGGGAATGGGTGCCAGGCAGATGCACTTGAACTTGCCTAGGCTTTAATTGGGCACAGTGTGTGGGTTGTGTGATTTGGTTTACACACCTAAATTCAGGGAAAAAGGCCATTGTAGAGCCACTGTCTTTCTCCCAGTGACACACTTACTGGAAATTCACACCTATGCACAGGGAAGACACTGGAAGCTTTATTTCATAGTCAGGCCAGGTGACAGAGCTGGTTGCCCCAGCTGGCTAAAATTGAACTGTCACACATTAGAATGAACATGATTTTTTTTTAATTATGGGTCCTAAAACACTTGTCACAAATATATTCTAAAGATAAATTTTAAGGCAAACATGTGATGTACATTGGTGACTCTGGCATGAATATCACTGTCATGGGATTTAAATAATAGTAGAAAATTGAGAAGAAATTTTCTGTGGTCATTCATCCCTGAAAGATCCCCAAAAGCCCCCAGCCCAGCCTGGAAACTCCACTGATGGAAGGCAGATGACTCCGCTCCAGTGACCAGTGGAAACTGTACCTGCCTTCAAATCACGGGGAGTGCTGTCCTTCATTGTGATAATCTACAGAAATTTCGAACGTTCTGTAAAACGTGCAGTAACAATCAATACAGATTTACAGCTGCATTCTCAACAAGTCTTTAAATATTTATGTCACTGCTTTACTTAAGTTACTCACGGAATTATATTGTATGTGATCCTTACACACTCAACAAAACGTTGATTAAATATCCACTACTCTCTTTCGTGTTCTGCGTTAGGAAATTACATTCTTTGAGTCAGCAAACAGGCAGCAAGCAAGCCAACCCATCAAGCAGGATGAACTGATACCGCACTGGCTCTAACGTGCTTCTCAGCACCCACTCGTATGCTGCGGAGCACAGAGCCATAGCTGGAAAAGGAAATGAAAGAAAGATCTACAGACCTACTATGTGCCGTGTCATTTACTAGTCACCCAATCTCATAAGAAAGGTATTGTAACTAATGAGGAAATTGAGGTTTGGGAGAGTTTGCATAACCTGTGCAAGATCACACACAGCTTCCCTGTGTGTGGAGGCAGAAGGTGGGAATCAGGATTCGAACCTAAAGTCTCTCACTCCTAAGTCTTCCTCATGGTGGCTGCAGTCTGGAGCAAGGAGAAGAGCCAGGGCTGCGCGAGAAAGTTTATTTTATGTCAGGTGTTTCTAAGTAGGTTGGAAGTGGGTTTAAGTCTGAATATATCGGAGTAGCTTTCCTTTGTTTGTAGGAGTCTGTAGATTTCTCACTTGCTGAATTTTACAGTTGAGGCTGGTGTTTTTGCTGATAAATGCCCGTGGACAGGCTTTTCAATTTCCTTTTCATTCCTGGAGATATTATTTAGTACATTTCTTTGATGCCTGGCGATGCACAAATCGGTTTTAATATCAATAATGTACCATTTGGAAAACATTCAATTTCTAGACCTGCCAAAAAAACATCCCTCCATGTCAGGATTTATTGAATTCAATCCTAGGAGGCTGGGGGAGAGTGGAGTTCCTTAAGCAGAAGAGTAAACAGATGGTCTTTGGAAAGTGCTCGCGTTCTTAAGCACCGAATTAGTTTTGGACAGAATGGAGTCACATATGCCAACGCTTGTTGGCCAGCAGAGTGGTAGCAGGGAGACATCAAAACTATCGTGACATTCTTCAAACCTTTGGGCTTAATTTGGGCCTCAGTGATCTGATAGGAATGGTTACAAATTGCCAGCTGCCCCTCGGTTGGATAATTTAGGGAAAGAAGGCGTGACTGGCAGTCAGGAATGGGATACCCAAAAGGGGGTTAGAGCAGTTTAAAGCATTTGATGTTCAACATCCTTCAGGGCCACCTCCCACAAGGACCAGAAACCAATAAAGCCATGATTGCCACCTTCGGACCTCATCTAAAATAGTAACCCCCTGCTATGGTTTGCATGTATGTCCCAAGGTTTATGTGTTAAAAACTTCATCCCCAGTGCAATACTGTTAGGAACTGGGGCCCAATGGGAGGTGTTTGGTTCATATTGAACAATGTCGTTATAGTGAGAGTAGGTTCATCATCAAAGCAAGTTCAGGCCCCTCTTGCTGTCTCTCTTACCCTCTCACGTTCTGCCATGGGATGATGCAGCAAGAATTCCCTTGCAATGCTGGCACCTTGACATTGGATTTCCTGGCCCCTACAACTATGAGAAATAAATTTCTCTTTGTTGTAAAACACTGTGTCTCTGGTATTCTGTTATGGCAGCACAAAATGCACGAAGACACCCCTGGGATAAGCCCACTGGCACGTCATCGGTGGGGTTCAGTGGCTGTTCAAGGTACACTTCTCAGAATTAACCCTTCCCCATCTAGTTTCTTCACACTCTTCCCCTTTTGGAAATATTTCCCCTCTGTGTTAAATGGTCCTCTGAACCCACCATCTTTTTTCCCCCCACTTTTTTTTTTTAAGGGATGAGGTCTCCCTATTTTGCCCAGGCTGGAGTACAGTGATACAGTCACAGCTCACTGCAGCTTCAAACTGATCCTCTCACCTCAGCCTCCAGAGTATCTGGGACTACAGTTGTCCACCAACATACCTGGCTAGTTTTTTATATATTTATCTTGTAGAGATGGATAAGGTCTTACTATGTGGCACACGTAGTAACTGTCTTGAACTCTTGGCTTCAAGCAGTCCTCCTGCCTCAGCCTCCCAAAGTGCTGGGATTACAGATGTGGGTCACCATGCCCAGCCCTGAGCCCACCATCTTAACATGAACATTCTCACTGGATCCTATGGCCCTGCTCAATGCCACCTCCCATCTCTTGTCCCTCTGCATCTGGCACTTCCATCTCCTCTCTGCAAGTCCCCACCTGAAGTTCCCAATGACCTGGCTTCACTCCCAGCACCCTGGCTTTCAGGAAGCCACTTGAAATTTCTTTTTTCATTTTTATTTTTCCCTTGTGTTTTAGGTTCAGGGATACATGTGCAGGTTTGTTATATAGGTAAATTGTGTCATAGGGATTAGTGTGCAGATTATTTCATCCCCCAGGTAATAAACATAGTACCTGATAGGTCATTTTTTGATCCTCACGCTCTTCCCACCCTCCCTGGTGTCTGTTGCTCCCCTCTTTGTGTCCATGTGTATGTACTCAATATTTCACTCCCACCTGTAAGTGAGAACATGAGGTGATGGTTTTCTGTTCTTGTATTCGTTCACTTGTGTAATGGCCTCCATCCATGTGGCTGCAAAGGACATGGCTTCGCTCTCCTTTATGGCTGTGTATATTCCAAGGTGTATATGTACCACATTTTCGTTATCCAGTGCACCACTGATGGGCATTTAGGTTGATTCCATGTCTTTGCTGTTGTGAATAGTGCTGACCTGAACATATACTTGCATGTGTCTTTATGGTAGAAGGGTTTACATTCCTTTGAATATATACCCAATAATGGGATTGCTGAATCAAATGGTAGTTCTATTTTCAGCTCTTTGAGGAATCGCCACCCTACTTTCCACAGTGGTTGAACTAATTTTCACTTCCACCAACAGTGTATAAATGTTCCCTTTTCTCTGCAACCTCATCAATATCTGTTATTTTTTGACTTTTTCATAACAGCCATTCTGACAAATGCGAGATGGTATCTCACCGTGGTTTTGATTTGCATTTCTCTAATGATCAGTGATACCGAGTTTTTTTTTCATATGCTTGTTGGCTGCGTGTGTGTCTTCTTTTGAAAAGTGTCTGTTCGTGTCCTTTGCCCACTTTTTAATGGGGTTGTTTTCTGCTTGTTAATTTGTTTAAGTTCCTTGTAGATTCTCGATATTAGACCTTTGTCAGATGCATAGTTACAAATATTTTCTACCATTCTGTAGGTTGTATGTTTACTTTGTTGATAGTTTCTTTTGCTGTGCAGAAGCTCTTTAGTTTAATTAGGTCCCATTTGTCAATATTTGTTTTGGTTGCAACTAGTTTTGGCATCTTTGTCATGAAAACTTTGCCAAGTCCTGTGTCCAGAATGGTACTTCCTAGGTTATCTTCCAGGGTTTTTATAGTTTTAGGCTTTACATTTAAGTCTTTAATCCATCTTGAGTTGCTTTTCACATATGGTGCAAGGAAGGCATCCAGTTTCACTCTTCTGTATATGCTACCCAGTTATCCCAGCACCATTTATTGAATAGGGAGTCCTTTCCTTATTGCTTGTTTTTATCGACTTTGTCAAAGATCAGATGGTTGTAGGTGTACAGTATTATTTCAGGCTCTGTATTCTGTTCCATTGGTATATATATGTATACACATATATATGTATCTGTTTTTGTAGCAGTACCATACTGTTTTCATTACTATAGCCTTGTAGTATAGTTTGAAGTCAAGTAATGTGATGCCTCCAGCTTTGTTCTTTTTGCTTAGGATTGCCTTGGCTATTCAAGCTCTTTTTTGATTCCATATGAATTTTAGAATAGTTTTTTTTCTAATTCTGTGAAGCATGTCATTGATAGTTTGATACAAATAGCACTGAATCTGTAAATTGCTTTGGACAGTATGGCCATTCTAACAGTATTGATTCTTCCTATCCATGACATGGAAAGTTTTTCCATTTGCTTGTCATCTTTGATTTCTTTGAGAATTGTTTTGTAATTCTCGTTGTAGGATACTTCACCTCCCTGGCTAGCTGTATTCCTAGGTATTTTATTCTTTTTGTGGCTATTGTGAATGAGATTGTGTACTTGATTGGCTGTCAACTTGGATGTTGTTGATGTATAGAAATGCCACTGATATTTGTGCATTATTATTTTGTTTGTTTGTTTTTGAGACAGAGTCTCGCTCTGTCACCCAGGCTGGAGTACAGTGGTGTGACTTGGCTCACTACAACCTCCACCTCCCAGGTTCAAGCAATTCTCCTGCCTCAGCCTCCCTAGTAGCTGGCATTACAGGCATGTGCTACCACACCTGGCTAATTTTTGTATTTTTAGTAGAGATTGGGTTTCACCATATTGGCCAGGCTGGTCTCAAACTCCTGACCTCAAATGATCCACCCACCTCAGCCTCCCAAAATGCTAGGATTACAGGTGTGAGCCACAACACCCAGCCTATACATTAATTTTGTATCCTGGAACTTTGCTGAAATCCCAGTCACCAGTAGAGAGCCTGGCATATAGCAGGTGCTCAGTAAAGAAGCATTAAATAATTAAGCCCAGTGACATTTCCTACAGCTCTTCATTCTCCAACTGCTCTCCCATGCCAAGCGCTGCTGGCCACATGCTCCCCACTTATACCTCCCTTCCCCACTGCTGGAGCCTCAGGTCCTCCTTCTACTTCTCAGATTGCTTCTGTCCTTCTCATTCGAACTCCCCTGCCACTTCCAGTTCCTTGGGCACTTCTCTTCCGATGGTTTCTTGATAGAGGCTATCATTTTCCCCAGGCTGGAGATTCCCAAATCCCCCCTTCTTTTTAAGTTTCTTTATTAAGATGAAATTCACATAACGTAAAAGGAATAATTTTAAAGTGTACAATTCAATGACATTTAGTTCATTCCCAATTTTGTGTGCTCACCACCTCTATCAAGTTCCAGAACATTTTCTTCTCCCCCAAAGGAGACCCTATAACCATCAGGCAGTCACTCTTCCCACTCCTTCTCCCCAGCCCCTGGTAACCATTAATCTCCTTACTGTCCCTATGGATTTACCTATTCTGGACAGTTCACAGTGGAGCATACAATGTATGATCTTTGTGTCTGGCTTCTTTCACTCATCATAATATCCTCAAGGTTCATCCACATTGTAGCGTGTGTCAGAACTTCATACTTTCATGGCTGAATGATATTCCATTGTATGGATAGACCATGATTTGTTTATCCATTTGTCACCTGATGGACATTTGGGTTGTTTCCACATTTTGCTGATTGTGAATAGTGCTGCTTTGAACATGAGTGTACAAGTTTTTGTTTGAACACCTGTTTTCAGTCCTTTGGGTATACACCTAGGAGTGGAATTGCAGAGTCAATTCTATGCTTAACTTTTCTGAGCAACCCCCAAATCTCCTTTTATAACCCTAATCTGGTCACCTGGGTCCTCACTGGTAGAGGCAATTCTCATCTTCACTTCTGGGAGTTGTCCATAGTCACTTCACACCAACAAGTCCAGAATTGGCTTTGTGCCCCTGCTCATGCCTGCTGGTGGTCTCGCTGTAAGGGCCAGCATTCCTTCAATTTCCTAAGCTAAACTCCTTGTCGGCGCCAAATCTTCATGAAACACTACTTTTGTGGTCATTCCAGGTTTTTCTTTCACCACACTCTCCAATCCCAGCTCTCAAGATCATCCAAAGACATTGCATGTTGTATCCACTCATTCCCTCATTCCTTCATTCATTCATTCACATACTCAACCACCATCTGTGAAGGCTGCACTCTGTGCCAAGAGCTACAGAATGCAAAGTTGTAAGAAACAGAGTCCCTGTCCTCAAAGAGCTTGAATACAAGAGTGACTAAAAACTCCCAGAAGCGACAGGTGTCTACAGAGGCATGATATAGATCCGCCTCTAGAACGGCAGAGGCTGAGGTGAACCAGTAAAGGATCTTGAGGGAAGGGACATTTGAAGAGGGCCTTAAAGGGCGAACTCTAACTAGAGGCAAGAGAGAAGGCCTGGGTGAGACAGAGCGAATGCTATGAACCATGGGCTTCTGAGCAACAGCACGTGCTCCCCACTAGAAAGACCCCAAGGCTCAGACAGTGGTTGTCAAGGTCGGAAAATGAGGACTCTGGAAGACAGGTGGAGACTTTCCTTGGGGAGCAGTGCGGAGCCAGGGAAAGTGTTGTGAGGAAAGAGGGCATTGCCATGGGAATGCTAATTTAGGAGGGCTGATTAGCAGTGGTGTGGAGGCTGCATATGGGACCAAGCCTGATGAGGGAGCCTGCTTAGCAGGCCAGCATTTCCCACTGTAGGCCCCTTACAATCTCAGTAAGAGTTAGGTAAAAAAAAAAAAAGGGGGTTGATTTTTTTTAATCTGTTATAATATGACCAGATGTTAAGACTGAACACAGCAGGTGATCAACCCCAGAATACTTACCATGCTGTCCTCTAGCCTTTCCTGAGTGCTCGAAATATGTCATAAGAATAACTTTTTAAAGAAAATAAAATATAACTCCAAAAAAGTGTGGTTATGTAAGTTTGGGACACACTGGAGTGAACAAAGTTAAATCAAACTATTTATTTACAGCAGGCCTTTTCAGAGACTCTGGGATTCAAATGTGCACTGTAAATGTGAATTTCCAAAAGCTGAGTGTTGGAGGCAGAGATTCTCCCACTGACTTCACTGCAGAGCCTTCATCCAGGTCCTAATACTCACCTGCTACCAGTGTGGTCTGGGAAATACCATTGCAGTGCTGCCGATGAGAACAGTGGGCGCCTCATCGATCTCGCCTACAGGATGAAGCTGGCAAAGAAAAGCCACAGATGACAGGTCACCACAAAGGCAGCACTCTTAGGGCTTCACATATAGCTCCCAGTATTTGGGGACGTTGAGACTGAAGGCACATTCTTGACCTCAAGGATCTTGGAGTTCACTCTGGGGAGAGGGAATTATTCACAAACAATGCAACGCCTGTGTCTAGCAAGAGACCCAGCAAAGACTGTGGTTGACCTGGGAGCAGGCTCTTAGTGATTGGCCACTCTCCTTCAAAACAACACCTTTTAAATATTTGTTTAACAGTCAGAGGAGTAGAAGAAATTCTTTTTTTTAATTCATAAGAATAGCATGGCTTTTCTTTTTGGTTGAAATAAGCAACTTATTGCATGTACTGAGCAGAATATTACAGCTTATTTGACACTGTCTTTCCTTCAGCAAATTTTTGACACCCCAAACTGGGGAGCATCAGCCCCTCATCTGCGCTAAGGAGTGTGGTGTTCTGTGTGGGTATGGTGACAAAGACTCATTCAAAATGCAGCTGAAAGTTCTTGTTCAGGTTTTGCTGCCAACAGGACATTTCTCATGCTGCTGTAGTGCATATTTTCATTTCTGCTCTGTTCTGTGATTCACCACACCAGTCAAGTGTCGTGTGGGGAGTGGAGTCATATTAGATTATATAAAATGTAGATAATGAAAGAAATTCCTCATTCACAGTAAATAGCACTGTGCCATGCACTATTTTAGTTTCAGAATTTGGTGTCCTGAGATGCCGACTCCAGGTAGCTGTTGCTAAGGGGCCCCAGGCTAGAGGGTGTGGCCTGAGGTTGCTTTGTACCTTGCCTGTGCCTGGTGCAGCATCTCTCACTGGGCTGGCACCGGCAGGGAATTTTCTGCTCCACTGGCTTTCTCCTTCGGTGAGAATGGAACTAAGTTATATTTTACCTGTTGAGTAAGGAGTCATATGTGGAAGCCTGCCTTAAGAAGCATCTGTGATTGATACCATTGATGTTTACAGAGACTGGTCCCCCTATATCTAATCCCTCCTCCTTCCACTGTAATCAAACTCTTCCTGGACACACAATGACTGACTATCAAGACTACATTTCCCAGACTCCTTTGCAGCTAGCCGAGGCTATTTTATTAACTTCTAGCCAATGGGATGAGAGCAGAAGTAAAGTTGTGTCTTTAAAGGGAAGGGGTGTGTCCTCCCTTTCCCCCCATGCTTCCTCCCCTACATGGTGGCCAGCCATGTTGCACCATGCACGAAAGAGCAATATGTTAGGGATTGTGGAGCCACAAGAGAGAAGGAGCTTGTGCTCTGATGGTTTTGTGGTGCAAACCCACATTCCTGCTCAGACTTTCAGGTAAGTGATAGATACCTCAGTTAAGCCATGGTATTAGGTCTTTTTCATACACAGCTGAAACCATATCCTAATACTGACCCCTTAGAAGCCTCCTGGTTGCTCCGCCATCCGTAATCAATGCCCAATGGAGGCATAAACGAGAGGTGAGCAATCCCCTTAGGAATCAGGAAGGCTCTTCAGGAAGGTAACATTTCAACTCGGTCTTGGAGGATGTGGAGCTCAGACAACCTGAGTAGGACACAGGAAGAAATTGGGAGGCTCAGGAAGGAGAAAGGACAATTCATTAACCAATTTATTTCAACAGTTCTGTGTGTGTGTGTGCGCACACATATACACATTCACAAGTCCCCAGAGGAGCAGGGTAGAGGTGGTGGAGGAATTCATGAGAAGCAGAAGAAAGCATGCCTATTCAAGTTAAACAAGGAGGAAAGAGTAAAAGTGGGTGTGGTATCAGTTAGGAGGCTGTGGCTACAAGAAGCAAAACCCCAGCATAAACTGGCTTCAGCAGAAGGAAGTCATTGACTCACAGGGCACCAAACTTCAGGTGGACTGGGTGTCAGGGATGGTTGACCAGGCAGCCCAATGATGCCACCAAACTCTCCAATTCCAGAGTCTGCCCGTCTCTCTGTTTCTACCATCTTCATCATTAGCTCCGTCCTACGACTGGTTCACTCCTGGTTATAAGACCACTGACTACAGCATTGAGAGCGACAGGCTGCTTCTTGCGCATTCAGAGGGAGAAAGAAATCCTGGCTCTCTTGAGTCAGGTGAATATTCTCAGAAGCTGCCAGAGAAAACCTCAAATCTCAGCAGCCAGTATTGCCCCGCCATTGGCAAGCAGGACACTGACCTCAGCCCCGCGTTGCCCACCCTTGATCTGAGTCAGCTCCTCCACAGCCTGGCTGCACCGCGGTGGGAGAAGGGTGCAGTGGGGATGAGGGCTTCACACCAATGTGCCCCTAATATTTGCCTAAATTAAATGGGGCCAGATTTGTGAAAAAACTCCAGTCAGGTAGCTCTGCTTCTTCTGAAACCAGAAGGAAGTCTTCAGCTCAGAATCAAGAAATAGAGAATCTTAACAATTTATCTACACTTTTTTCCCTTTTTCCAGTTTAGCTGAAAATGTCAGCTTGGGAAGGGAGGGGAGGATTGAGGATGAAATGAGTAAACAAGGTAGCCCTCTCCTGGGGCCCGGGGAAGAGCAGGCATTCGCCTGGAGGTAATATAGAAGGTTAAATACAGAAGAAGAAATAACACAGTACACAATTATAGGCGTTCATTCTTCTGCTTAAAATGGGGAGTAAAGGTCACAAATCAAATCAAATCACTGCATTAAGTCCAGAAGTCACCTGCCTCCAATCACCTAAGTCCCTTTGTTAGCGCACAGTAAAGCCATCCCTGTTCCATTAATTAGAAGGCCAGGGCTCTCCAGAGGGCAACAGCGCAGCTAACAGGCGAGCATCCTGCAGCCCTCAGGTTAATTGCTCCATTGAAGCTGCAGGCTCCAGGGCTCTGAGCGGAGGTGGCCACCCTGCTGGAGTGTCTGCCACACCAGAGGAAGTTTGCATTGGTTTGAACAAAAAAAGAAAATAAGGAAGTGCACTCCTACTGAACTAAACATATTCAGCCCTGTCCTCTGCTCTGAAAATCAGGGCTTCCAGCTTTCCTGGTGGTGGAAAGCCCCTGTTTCTTAAAATAATGGTGATAGTAGGTGAGTCTGAGTTTTTAAATGTCTTCTCAATTTGAGTAAATAAAAAGTTAGCAACTCTATGTCAGTGCCCAACATTGTGTGTTATGATCATACTAGACTGTGAAACCCACAGTTGGAGCCACAAATCAGGTCTGCCCTTGACTGCAGGAGAACTTCGTTTATGTCCCCGTCTCTCTTCCTTTAGGGGCAGGGATCCTGAAGTGTTTGCCTTTGTTTCCCCACATCTAAAATAGTCTTGGCCATAGACTTAATTTATTTGACAAACCTCCCACTCAGCTCTTCTCCAGACTGAGGAATTCCATGTCCAGCACTGCTTATCCAAGCTCCTATTTCCAGCCCTTCCTTCCTGTTCATCCCTGTTTTCCCTGTAAAAATTCTCCACGTTTCTTCCTCAGCACTGTGGGACCCAGAACGCCCACTGAGCTGAGCTCAGTGCAGGGACTTGCAGCAGTGGAGCCCTGGGTACCCGGGCTGGCCAGTTTTCCAGCTCCAGGAGAATGCTCCCTCCCTACAACCTTCCATGGCTCTCACTGTTACCTCAGGTCCTTTCCTTGTCTGGTTCTGAATCCTCTTCCCAGAGGCTTCCTTCTCAATGCTCCATGAGCAGTCCTGTCCCCACCGATTGGCTCCATTGCCACCTGCCCTCTTCCGCAGCCCAGTATCTGCAACCATCCTGACCAGAAGGCAAAACCATCTTAAATTAATTCTGTTTTCTGCTACAGTGTCATTAAAGTGCTAATGTAAATACAGTCTTTCTGTTTTTAAAACAGTCCTAATAACCCAAGAAAACTTCACAGTGAATGTGCTATCTGTCCCAGTCAGTGTCAGGATGATGGACACATGGATGCTGGACTTTCTGTTTCTCCATCTGACACCTGTTGCCTGTCAGGCTTCCTTTGTTCTGGTGCATCATAAACCACACTTCTTTCATTGATCTCAATTCTACATGTGGCACACAAAGGCCTTTCTTTGCTGCAGATCTGCAGAACTCAGAGTAAAGAGCCAAAACATTATTCAGTTAATTTGATTGACACAGACATCTACTGTGAGCCACTAACACCAGAAGCAGGGTGTGGCACAGATCTTCAGAGCTGGATCTTAAGTGTCTTACAGAATGATCCCCTGAGCTCAGCAGATTTCCCAGAACATGGCCAAGTGTTTACTCCTCTTTAAGCAGCAGCAACAGCCTTGTGGTTGAATTTGGTTTGGGATAAGTTGATACTGGGTTCAGAGTGTATGAGATGATACTAAAGAAGTGCCAGAATGCATTCTCAACTGTCTTTATCTACAAAACTCATGAAAGTTGACACAAAGAGAAGTTGCTGTAAGCCACCATTAATATCACGGATGCAATACTCTGGCAGGTGCTAAATCTTGTCCTCCAACCTGGGCCACTCCAGAAAAGGCACTTGATTTCAATATGACTTGAGAGCTCTCAATCCTCTTGCCCAACACGAGAAATTACATTTTGTTTTAGAAAATGCCAAACTTACTTTTTAAAAAGTGTGATAACCACTCATATTCCTTTCACTGACATTCATCAATTGTTAACATTTAACCACATTTGCTTCCTCTTCCCCTCACCACCTCGCTCTGTCTTTCTCATATGTCTATAATGGATTTTTTTTTTGACTGAACTAATTGAGAATAAGTTGCAGAATCATGACCTATCACCCCTAAATACTTCAGCATTAATTTCCTAAGAACAAAGACATTCTCTTATGTAACCACAGTATAATGATCAAATTCTGGAAATTTAACCTTGACACCGTACTATTATCATGCAGTCGTTACACAAACTCCCAGTTGTCCCAGGAACATCCTGTAAAGCAATGTTTTTCTGACTGGATCCACCCAGCAAGCACATATTGCATCAACGGTCACGGCTCTAGTTTCTGTTTTATGGGGACCAGATCTGAAGCTTGTCTGCCTTGCCTGACGCTGGCAGCTTTGAAGAGCATAGGCCAGTTGCTTTGTAGCATGTTCTTCAATTGAGTTTGTTGGATTAGTCATTGGATTGAGGACATGCATTTTGGGCAGAACCATAGCAACCCAAGTGACACCGGGTCCTCAGTTACATTAGCGCATCTGCCTATTGGTGACTTTAGCTCCAGCCACGTGGTTAAGGTTCTATCTGCCAAATTTCTCCACTGTAAAGTACAAAAAAAAAAAAAAAAAACCTTAGGATTAATAAATAATGTGTGGGGGAACACTCTGAGACCTCAATTCAAAGTACTTGTGTAAATAGTGGAAGGATAAGCACAAAGTCAAAGGGGTCCTGATCCCAGCCATCATGAAGTTCAGTCTGGTGGAAGACGCAGATAAGCACCTCCTCATGACGCAGCACCTTCCCATCTTTGGGGAAGGAAGCAGGGAATGAACATACTCTTGAACATCCCATAATACAAAGCCAAACAAAATCAGTTTGCAAGAGGGATCCTAGCTAATTAGAGGCACCAAGGTACCAAACACCTACTTCCAAATGGAATGATTGAGAAAGGCGTCCCAGGAACGCAAAGGCAAATCACCTGCAATTATAACAAGCAAAAAAGCCACAGGAAAAAGGTGCATGTGAACTATAAACACATGAAAAGACGCTCGAGCTCATCAGTAGCCAGGCAAATGCACATTAACATAATGAGTGTTTAACCCAGCATAGAGTCAAAAAAACAAAAATGTTAATAACACACAGTGCTGGTTGGCATACAGGAAAGCTGCTGGAAGTGTGAACTGTTCCCTCTTTGGAAATGAATCTTGCAAAGCTACTAACATTTTAAACACCAATGCATTTTGACCCAGGTCTCTATTTGAATTACTTCCTTAGATCAAGAAAGACATCTGAAAACCAAGTGTAAGTGGTAGAATTTTAATCTACAGCAACAAAATCTCGAGAAATGTCACAAGCTTTTTTCTCTCTGTGTGAAATTTAACCTTGTCAGAGACCTTCATGCACTGGGCTGGCAGGTGATGCAATCTCAGTTGTTTGGGGAGTTCTGACCCCTTCCTAGATTCTCCAAGGGCCCTAGAGGCCCAGCGTTATCTAGAACATTCCTAGAAAGGGCATTTGGCCTCCAGACCAAGTCGGCCTCCATAGTACATCTTGTGGGCCCAGGAAAGAGAGCAGCTCCTCTGTTTCTGTGCTTGGGGCTTAATCTGGTCTCCTCAGGTACACCACGTCCCCCACTACCCAGAGGGCCTGCCACCCCCCAGGAAGTCTGGGGGGTCTGGGTTTCAGGTTCCAACACGCAGCCTTTTCCCCTTTCTCAATGTTAGATACAGCTCCTCACTGCTTCCACTTCCCTAGAATTTGCTTTCTCTAGACTATTTTTCTAAGTGAAGTAACTTAGGAATTGAAAATCAAACATCATATGTTCTCACTCATAAGTGGGAGCAAAGCTATGAGGATGCAAAGGCATAAGAATGACACAATGGACTTTGGAGACTCAGGGGGAACAGATGAGAATGGGGTGAGGGATAAAAGACTACAAGTTGGGTTCAGTGTATTCTGCTCGGGAGATGGGTATACCAAAATCACCATGAGTAAAGAACCTACTCATGTAAGCAAATACCACCTGTTCCCCCAAAATTTTTGGAAATAAAAAACTTTCCTCTGTTCCCAGAAACTCTCCCAACCGAGGCTCCCCCATTGCCCCTCAAAAGCCTACGTAGGGGGTCCCTTTGCCAGGCCACACCAAAGCTGCCAACCACACTTCTTTGCTTGTGTGATGAAGCCAACCCACCCTGACCCCCCGAGGGTGGGGGATGTGTTATTTATCTTGGCACCAGCCACGTAGGGGTTCTGGCAAATTGTAGATCCTCGGTCAGTGTTTGGAGAATAAATGTGTATAATTTTCCATCATTTTTAATTAGCAAGTATATACTTTCAATACAGAATGGTTCATGCTATTATGTTCCACGTGATAGCCAGCTTTTTTCATACAACAATATATTTTGACTAGCTTCTTTTTTATTGCATCTTCTCCAAAATATAAGATGCCATTACATAAATGTATCATAATTTATGGAA
This sequence comes from Homo sapiens, assembly GCF_000001405.40. Classification (NCBI taxonomy): domain Eukaryota; kingdom Metazoa; phylum Chordata; class Mammalia; order Primates; family Hominidae; genus Homo; species Homo sapiens. The sequence continues at coordinate 125,279,135 of NC_000010.11, read as the reverse complement.
CCAACCTCTTACTATTGTTTCCGACTGTTCATTATTATAAGCTCTGCTATGATGGACTTTACAACTCTATTTTTACAAACATCCAGAATTATATCCTTAGAACAAATCCCTATTTGTAGAATTGCTCCCTCAAAGGATGTACAGAACCATAAGGCTTTTCTTGAGCGTTGCCAGATTGTCCTCTAGAAAGGCTGTGCGAATTCACACTCCTACCGGCAGAGAGAGAATCCGTGCGCCTGGCACACTAACCTGGTCTGGTTTTTAAACAAACACATAAGCAAGTTGCAATTTGAGGTTTGGTTCTTTCTTACAGGATGCAAGAATCTTCAGGCTGCCCAGTTCCCACCACCCAATTCACTTGCTGCACTTCTCAAGAGTATTTTTTAGATCTCAAAAGAAAAAAAACACTCCCAGTGCTCAGAGTCCCATCACATAGGGCCTGTTGCCTCATTAAGAACAATAACGTGCTCCACACAATGCTGATTGTTTGATGTCTGAGTAGGGAAGAGAAGCGAAAGAAGGAGCCAACGTCTGCTCCCAAATATGTCTGCACAACTGGTATCCGAAGGCAGAACTGGGCCGGGGAATCGAGGCAGCTCTGGAGAAGCCTGTCAGCAGTCCAAGCAGTTTTACGGAACACGGGATAATTAACATACACTAATTTCTTACTGCTAATATTGATCTCTATCATAAAAGCAGTCATTTTCTCATTTTAAAAAATTGGGGAAGCAGAAAGAATGGGGGCAGGGAGCTCATCTATAGTCCACCCCGAAACAGCTGGTGAATGTTCACTGCTTCTTCAAAGAAGTTTCTCGTCCTCTACATAGATTACTTCTTTCATGTGATTGCTGTCACACAGTAATGCAGCAGTGTGCCCTGTCATTTTTTTATTCACCAACACACTGTAAGCATTTTTTAAATCTTGATACAAACTCGCAGTAAACCTATTTTTAACAAGTGCGTAATATCCCTTCACGTGGATGGGACATAGCACAACCATTTCCCCAACTGGACCCGTAATGTTGCTGGGAGTGGTGGCTCACACCTGTAATTTCAGGACTTTGGGAGCCTGAGGTGGGAGGATCACTTGAGCCCGGAAGCTCAAGACTGCAGTGAGTGGTGATTGTGACACTGCACTCCAGGCTGGGCAACAGAGTGAGACTCTGTCTCAAAAAAAAAAAAAAAAAAAGCAACTTTCTACATAAAACATTGGTGTATTATTTTGTCACTTATCACATAGGACCATAAGTGAAGAATTCATTTACAAGAGAAAAAAAAGGCACATTTAGAGATGCTGACCCCCTTGACAATCAAATGAAGGCTATAGAGTGGTCATCTGTCACTCTTCTCACCACATCAGATATTGCAAAAATCACAGACCCAATGCAGGTTGAAGTATTTCTCTGCAGACTCCAACCTGGGATCGCATTTCTATCTCCATACCCAGAGTGCAGCCACCAGAGCAGTGGGAACTTGGCTTGTGAGCCTTGTAGGGATGCAATTACAAGGAAAAGAAAATGGTCTGTTTTTGTTTTGCAGCAATTCCTCATTCCTGCTTATTAGCTTCTCTGGTAATTTTGACTTTCCAGATTTTACCAGCATTATACTTTTGGTCACAGTCATCAGTTTGTGTCTCTCTGTTGCTTCTCCAGATTCTTGTTACCCATACCTTTCTCTGTGTTTACTTGGTTATTCTGGTAAAATATAAACTACAGAAGCTTCCTGAGAAGTGAGTACATGGGATATAAATTTTTTGAGACTTCCTTTTTTCTCTTTGAGACAGAGTTTCCCTCTTTCGCCCAGGCTGGAGTGCAATGGTGTGATCTCAGCTCACTGCAACCTCCACCTCCCTGGCTCAAGAGATTCTCATGCCTCGGCCTCCGAAGTAGCTGGAATTACAGGCATACACCACCATGCCTAGCTAATTTTTGTATTTTTAGTAGAGATGGGGTTTTGCCATGTTGCCCAGGCTGGCCTCAAACTCCTGGCCTCAAGTGATCCACCTGTCTCTGCCTCCCAAAGTGCTGGGATTTCAGGTGTGAGCCACTGCACCTGGGCTTTTTGAGACTTTTTGAAGTCTGGAAATGTTTATTCTACCCTCAGGTTTGATTGATAGACTGGGTAGAATTCAAGATTGAAAATCATTTTCCTTCCAGGCCAGGCGTGGTGGCTCAAGCCTGTAATCCCAGCACTTTGGGAGGTCAAGGCAGGTGGATCACGAGGTCAGGAGATCGAGACCATCCTGGCCAACATGGTGAAACCCTGTCTCTACTAAAATACAAAAACTTAGCCAGGCGTGGTGATATGCACCTGTAGCCCAAGCTACGTGGGAGGCTGAGGCAGGGGAATAGCTTGAACCCAGGAGGCAGAGGTTACAGTGAGCCGAGATTGCGCCACTGCACTCCAGCCTGGTGGCAGAGCAAGACTCTGTCTTGAAAAAAAAAAAAAAAGAAAATAATTTTCCTTCCATATTTTGAAAACATTGTTCGTTGTCTTTTAGCTTCCAGGGTTGCCTCCAGGCTGAGAATTCCAAAGCCAGTGTGACACCTGATCCTTTGATATGACAGTTCTCTTGTATTATGTTGTGTTTTATTTCTTTTCTGGAAGTTTATAACATTGCTTGTTTGTCCTCAGGGCCTTGAAATTTCATTATATGGCTCTATTTTGATTCATTGTGAATTCATGAACCTCTTCAACCTGAAACTGTAACTTTTCATTTGGAAAATTTTTCTTGAATTATTTCACTTATTATTTTCTCCTTTCTATTTTCTCTCTTCCTACTTTCTGAACTGGTCCACTAATTTCGCAATCGTTTTGTTTTCCATCCCTTGGTCTTTTTGTTCAATTTTTGAGTGATTCCTCAACTTTATCCTCCAATCCTTATTTTGGGTCTGTCATTTCTAGCAGATGTTTCATTTTCAAGCAGTCTTTTCTTATTGGCTGGTTTGTATTGATTTATAGGAGTTCTTTGTATAATCTGGATAGAAGCCCTTTGTCTAATGTATAAATTGAAAATATCTAGTTTCCACTCTGTGGCTTACTTTTTCATTCTCTAAATGGTGTCTTTTGAGGAACAGAAATTCTAAATTTTAATGAATTTTAATTAATTTTTAATTTTATAATTAGTGCTTTTTTTGTCCAGTTTAAGAAATATTTGCCTACCTCCATGTCATGACAATATTCTCCTATGTTTCCTGCTGGGAGTTTTATTATTATACCTTTCACATTTATACCTATTAGTCCTCTCAAATTGACTTTAATGTGTAGTGTCTGGTAGGTAGTGCTCAAGGTCCTCTCATAGTTTGCTTTGGTATCTTTCTTTCATGTTAGATGCTTTCTTTAGATGTCTGGCAATCCTTGGTCATTTTCTCATGTTTAAATGTGAGGAACTCAGAATCTGTTTAGAAACTCCAAGTATGTGAGTAGGGAATGACTACTATGAACTTCCCTATACATGTCCATCTAAACACCTGCGCATTCATCTCTTCACAGTCTTTGCTCTTGTGCAGGACAACCTCCATAAGGAAGATTTCTTAAGTCCCCAGCCTGGAGGCCCAGCCTGGGTATGAGCATTCCAAGGGTCTAGGGGGAGAGAACTGGGGGTACCAGCATCCACTCTACATAGGCTCCCTTAGCCCATTGGGGTTCCCAAGTCCTTATCCGATCCTCTGCTGCACCTGATGTCCCACGGCAGCATTGCCCAACTTCACCTTCTCCAGAGAATAATGTGCAAACTTATGCAAGGCACGGGGTGAGGGGAACCACCCCTGGCCCAGCCAACAGAGCGAAGAAGCAGAACTAGGGACCTGACTGTTTCTGAAACAACTCTCAGCATCCCCGAGACTCACCTGGTGCCACCCACTCCTGCGTGTTTTGAGGATTCAGCTGCGTACATGGAGTTGATTTTCCATTTTCTCAACCACCAGCTGGGGATTCAGCCTTCCCAAATCTGCTAAAGCAGTTACCACTCGTCCATCTGTTGCTCAGACTCCCAGACTGTGCTGCTGTTCTCCTCTCATGTTCTTGAAAGTTTATGAGTTTCAAAAAAATCTCCCTACTGAAGCAGGGGGTAGAGGAACAAAATTAGTGTGTTCAATCTGCCATCTTTACCTGGAAGATAAAGAGATGGGCTTCTCTTTTTTCTAAGTATAAGCTATTTTTTTAAAAGAAATCAACTGACAACATGTATCAAGAAACTTAGGAATATTCATACCCTTTAATTTCACTTCTAGACTTCTAGGGATTTATCTCAAGGAAATCATCAGAAATGGGGGCAGAAATTTTTATTTTAGTGTTCACCACAGTGTTATTTATAAGGCACAAAACTGAAAACAAATGAAATGCACAACAATATAGAAATAGTTTAGAAAATTCTGGCATATCCATAAGGTGAAATATTAAAAATCATTAAAAATAATACATATGGGCCTGGTGGGGTGGCTCATGCCTCTCATCCCAGCACTTTGGGAGGCCAAGGAGAGTGGATCACTTGAGATTAGGAGTTCAAGACCAGCCTGGGCAGCATGGCGGAACCCTGTCTCTACTAAAAACACAAAAATTAGCTGGGCATGGTGGCACAAGCCTGTAGTCCCAGCTACTTAGGAGGCTGAGGCAGGAAGATTGCTTGGGCCTGAGAGGTAGAGGTTGCAGTGAGCCAAGATCACGCCATTGAACTCCAGCCTGGGCGACAGAGTGAGACCCTGTCTCGAAGAAAAAAAAAAAAAAAAGAGAGAGAGAGAGAGAAAAGAGTATATATAGGAAATGGGAAATGTTCATAATGCAATTAGTGATGCAAGGATATAAACTATACATTCAACTTCATCCTGCTTCTGGAGAAAGAGGAAAGGAGAGAGAAACAAATAGAAAGAAGTACATCCAAAGAAGGAGGTAGGGGAGAGGAGAGGCATGAAGAGAAAATATAGGCCAACCAAGATTTTTACCCTAATTGTCTTTAAACATTATTGCTATAATCAGAAAAACAATTGTTTTAGAATTAAAAATAGGGTCTTGCCTTCTTTCAGCCATCTTGTCCCTCTAATCCCTCCCTAAACATGCAATTTGCTTATGTGCCTCCACGTTGTGACTCATAAAACCCTCTTGCCTGGAACAGACTTCATGTCTAACTCCTACATAGCCTTCAGGTCCCAGCTCCTGCGTCCTCTGCCTTTAAACAAATCCCTGTCACTCCAGGTTGACGTGGCAATCCACCCTCCTGTGCCTAAGCCCAGTGTGCGTGTCTTTATTATCATGCCTTCCACAGTATTACACTCAGTGATTTTCTTTTACATGAACTTCCAGAGGGGGAACGTATGTCCGATTCGCCACTCCATCCTGGCACAGAGCAGAGTTTAACTCATGGTAAAATCATAAGCATTTGAATGGAGTGAAGTTGATGGGTTGAAGGAGTGAATAACATTTTCACAGGTCACACCACTGGGGGCTGGGTTGTGTATTAATCTATGCGCACCTACCTTTCCATAACTATGAAATGTTGGACCTACAAAGCCAAACTCAAGATATCTGTGTTCATCTCGTGACTCCTACTCAAATGATCCTTAGAAAATTTAAGAAGAAATAATCTGCAAACATCTTAGATCAGCCTCACAAACCAGTCTCGGAGGGAAGTAGCAAACCCTGCAGGACGCAGCTGCAGTTGACAAGAGTGGCTCAAAGCACAGGGCTCTGTAATAATTATCATTATTTAACAGCATTCCACAAGGAACCATTACAGGAACAAGGCTTGAAATTAGAGTCAAACGATTCCCCCTTCCCTTCGATCTACACACACAAGCCCCCAGTGGCGCGGCGAGAGGGGTAGGAACGCTGTAATTATTTCTAACTCTCTCCCCAACCCCAAAATACCATCTTGTCACATGGCTTGTCATTTTTGTATGGCTCTGTCTATCATAACTTGTCATATTTTCCCAGCTTTTATTGCAGTTCTCATGAAGCACATGTATTCCTGGTGGAATCGTGGCTGATGCTGGGAGATTCTTGTTAAAACCCGCTGAAACTTTGTCCTGTCTCTGCTGCTGCCTCAGAGGGCTTGGGAACAGTTCCCTCCTGAGCATTATGGGCCTGGTGCTACTAGGATGTAAGCTTCCTGTAGTGTAGGGGGTGCCTGGCAGCCCCGCCCAGAGCCCTAAACCAACAGCCAGTGGGGGCATGTGGACTCTGAGGGTCACCCTTAAAGGTGGAGGAAAACCTGTCCCTGCTGGTCATATTCTTGGTAACTGGAATGTTACCAAAACAAAAAACAAAAAAGGAACTTTCTGCATAAAACATTGGTGTATTATTTTGTCACTTATCACATATGACCGTAAGTGAAGAATTCATTTAGAAGAGAAAAAAAGGCACATTTAGAGATGCTCACCCCCTTGACAATGAAATTAAGGCCATAGAATGGTCATCTATGACTCTTCTCACCACATCAGATATTGCCAAAATCACAGACTCAATGCAGGTTGAAGTATTTCCCTGCAGACTCTAACCCTGGATCTCGTTTCTATCTCCATACCCAGAGTGAATCTCCCTTGCAGAAATTCAATCTACACAGGAGTAAACACTTGGCCATGTTCTGGGAAATCTGCTGAGCTCAGGGGGTCATTCTGTAAGACACTTAAGATCCAGCTCTGAAGATCTGTGCCACACCCTGCTTCTGGTGTTAGTGGCTCACAGTAGATGTCTGTGTCAATCAAATTAACTGAATAATGTTTTGGCTGTTTACTCGGAGTTCTGTAGATCTGCAGCAAAGAAAGGCCTTTGCGTGCCACGTGTAGAATTGAGATCAATGAAAGAAGTGTGGATTATGATGCACCAGAACAAAGGAAGCCTGACAGGCAACAGGTGTCAGATGGGGAAGCAGAAAGTCCAGCATCCATGTGTCCATCATCCTGACACTGACTGGGACAGATAACACATTCACTGTAAAGTTTTCTTGGGTAATTAGGACTGTTTTAAAAACAGAAAGCCACGTTTTAAAAACAGAAATCTCCCTTGGGGAATCTAGGAAGGGGGCAGAACTCCCAAAATAACTGAGATTGCCTCACCTGCCAGCCCAGTTTTTTGGGTGTGGGCCTCAGGCTCTCCATCCAGGTAGGTGTATAATGAACTCTGGTGCTTTAAGGCCAACCAGCTCCCATTTGCCTTCCAAAGAGCATTCCAGTCTCCCTGAGGGAAATTACTTTACCTGTGGGATTGTAGGCAGGACCCTGCCTTCACCAAGCCAAGGGCTCTTAGGCTGAGCCCTCGCTGAGTGCAGAGCTTGAGCTGGGAGCCAGGCATCCAGGAATGGATGGAGATCCCAGCATTCCTGCCAAGAGGCTACTCCCACAGGTCTGCTTCCATCGCAGTGCGCTCCCTTCCCCTCAACCAGCTTCCATGATTTCCGCCTATTGCCAAGCCAGGTCTCCAGGCTTCCCACTGCGCCCAGATGCTTTTCCAATCACTCCCCTTGTGCTTAGGTCGGCAATGAGTTTCTGTTGCTTGCAGCCTGAGCCCCCTGGCCCACCCGCTTGCTCCTCCCTTTTCCCAGGGTCCTCAGAGGCCGCTGAGAAATCCTGACCTCAGGGTGGCTGTGATAAGAAGCCTTCTCTCCTGGATCACACCTGCATTCCCCTCCCCTAGACAAGCCCCCTTCCCCAGGAGCCTCCCAGCTCTCCCCCTTTACCAACCCTCTCCCTTCTCCCCTTTGGACACTTGTCTCATGGGGTCTATGTGCTCCACTGGCTGACGGCCACCCCATTTGGCCAATGAATCTTGCTCAAGCTGCTTCCATCTTCTAGAATGGTTGCCCCACCCTAAGAGGCAGCTCTGGGGCCACCTGCTCCATAGGGCCTTTCCCTCAGACCCCAGAGGGACAGGACATCCTCCCCCACAGCACTTCACAGGCACCCTTCAGGACACGAGGCATGTTTCATCTTCTGTTACAGCCACTTCTACACACGTCCCTTAAACTTCCCAGCAGGGGTGACATGTCAGCAAACTATGGGAGATGCCAGAATCTCCTCAGCACAGTCCCGTGCTGGTGTGCAGCAATGGGGCTGTCTCCACCGACAGGCTCAGCCGAGCCCTGACACCGTCCCTGAAACAGGCCAGCCCTGTCCACACAGCCACAGGACAGCCTCTGTGAGAACATGTGCCCGTCTCACTCACCGTCTCTCAGGCCTGGGCTCTGTTTTCCATTAAATGTCAAGTTCAGCGGTCCATCATGATCAGAAAGGGCACACGTTCACTGGCATTAAAACGTCTTATTAACAAGATGGACAGATCCAATAATGGAGAGTTAAAAAGCAGGTTAGGTTCAGAGCCTGCACCCGGGAGATATACCACTTTCCACAGAATAAAACTCAAAGGACTTGGCTCCGCTTTCAACCTCTTCCATCCCCCACAACAACAACAACACACACACACACACACACACACATATACATGCACGTATAAACACACATGCATACACAAACATTTGCACATACATACATATATACATACGCACACACAGATACTCATACACACACAAAAACATATATACATGCACACACAAACACACACACACAAACACGTATACACAGCCCGTACCCAGCTGCAGCTCAGCAGGATGGCCACTCCTTCCACACGCCCTCGTCCTCCTGCCGCCAGCCGTTGCTTATGCTCTGTCTGAAACACCCTCTTCAGCTCTCCACCCAGTAACATTCTTTTGGAACTTCAAGGCCCTGTGAAGACCCACCAGCACCAAGAAGCCTTCCTACCCATCCCTAATCTAAGTGAATCCCACCTCTCTTTCTCCCAGTGCCTTTCATAGCCTTTTGATGCCACTGACCATCCCCCCGCCGCCGTCCCCTGCCCATCCGCAGGGATTAGTATATGTATCAGTGCCTGCTACCAGATCGTAATTCACAAGGGGAAAGACAATTAACACCTCTCCTCTAGTTTCCTCATCTGCAAAATGGGTATAATCACAGCCATAGGATTATTGTGAGAATTAGATGAGTTAATACATGCAAAGCACTTAAAGCAGCACTTGCACAGAGCAGGTGCTCTGCATTAATTGAGTGGCTGCAATGAGCTATATGCCTACCTCAATGTGCTATTACCGTTAGAGATGTGGAAACTGAGACCCACAGAGGTCAAGCACTTGCCCCAAAGTTGTCAAGTCATGACGTAGAATCAGGGGACTCACACCCAGGTCTGGCTGGCTCTGAAAATCTACCTTCTTCCTGCCCCACCTCACTCCCTGGACTAAGATCATCCCTGGCTCATCCAGAGCCAGCCTGAGCATGTTGCTCTTTTGAATTTTGAGGAAGGAAATCACCATGCCAACCCACCTTTCTCTCTCTCTTCTCTTTTTATTTTATTTTTTATTTTTATTTTTTATTTTTTGAGACACAGTCTCACTCTGTCACCCAGGCTGGAGTGCAATGGCACTATCTGGGCTCATGGCAACCTCCACCTCAAGTGATTCTCCCGCCTCAGCCTCCCGAGTAACTGGGATTACAGGCATACACCACAATACCCGGCTAATTTTTGTACTTTTAGTAGAGACGAGCTTTCGCCATGTTGGCCAGGTTGGTCTCAAACTCCTGACCTCAGGTGATCTGCCGGCCTCAGCCTCCCAAAGTGCTGGGATTACAGGTGTGAGCCACTGTGCCCAGCCTCTCTCCCTCTTTTTAAAGAAAGGGTCTTGCTCTCTGTCACCCAGGCTGGAGTGCAGTGCCATGATCATAGTTCACTGCAGCCACCAACTCCTGGGTTCAAGTGATCTTCCTGCTTCAGCCTTCCTAGTAGCTGGGACTACAGGCACATGTCATCATGACCAGCTATTATAATTTTTTAAATTTTTTACAGAGACAAGGTCTTGCTGTGTGCATAGTCTGGTCTCAAACCCCTGGCTTCAAGCAACCCTTCCACCTTGGCCTCCCAAAGTGCTAGGATTACAGGCATGAGCTACCATGCCCAGCCCCACCTTTCTTTTAAAAGAAATCCCCCCCACCCCAAAACTGGATATCCATATGCAGAAGAATGGAACTGGACCACTATCTCTCGCCGTATATAAAAATCAACTCAAGATGGATTAAGCACTTAAACATAAGACCTGAAACTATAAAACTACTAGAAGAAAACACAGGGAAAACACTTCAGGACTTTAGTCTAGACAGAGATTTTATGGCTAATATCTCAAACGCATGGGCAACGAAAACAAAAAATAGACAAACGGACTATACTAAGGTAAGAAGCTTCTGCACAGGAAAGGAAACCATCAACAGAGTGAAGAGACAACCTGTGAGTGGGAGAAAGCATTTGCTGCATCTGGCAGGGAATAATTCCCAGAATACACAAGGAACTCAAACAACTCAACAGTAAAAAACCCAATGACCCTATTAAAAAGTGGGCAAAAGGACGGGTGCAGTGGCTCATGCCTGTAAGCCCAGCATTTTGGGAGGCTGAGGCAGGCGGATCACAAGGTCAGGAGATCGAGACCATCCTGGCTAACACGGTGAAACCCCGTCTCTACTAAAAATACAAAAAAATTAGCCAGGTGTGGTGGCGTGCACCTGTAGTCCCAGCCGCTGGGGAGGCTGAGGCAGGAGAATGGCGTGAACCTGGGAGGCGGAGCTTGCAGTGAGCCGAGATTGCACCACTGCACTCCAGCCTGGGTGACAGAGCAAGACTCCGACTCAAAAAAAAAAAAAAGAAAAAAAAGTGGGCAAAAGACATGAATAGGCATTTCTCAAAAGAAGACATACAAATGGCCGACAGCTATATGAAAAAATGCTCATCGGCACTAATCATCAGGGAAATGCAACTCAATACCACAATGAGATATCATCTCACCCCAGCCAGAATGGCTATTTAAAAGGACAAAAACTAACAGGGATGCTGGTAAGGATGCAGAGAAAAGGGAACTCTTAATACACTGTTAGAAAGAATGTCAATTAGTACAGTCACTATGGAAAACAGTATGGAGATGATGTCTCAAAAACTAAAAATAGGACTACCGTGTAAGCCAGCAATCCCACTACTGGGTATTTATTCAAATGGGAAAAAAAGCCAGTATATCAAAGGATACCTGTGCTCCCATACAGCACAATTCACCATAGCAAAAATATGGACTCAATCTAAGTGTCCATCAAGGGATAAATGGATAAAGAAATGTGGTCTAGATGCAGAATGGAATACATTCAGCCATGAAAATAATGAAATCTTGTCATTTGTAGCAACTGTGGATGGAGCTGGAGGCCATTATGTTAAGTAAAATAAGCCAGGCACAGAAAGACAAATACTGCACATTCTCACTTACATGTTGGAGGAAAAAAGAAAGAAAAAGAAAAAAAAAAACCACATGGATCGTATGGAGGTAGAGAGTAGAATAGTGGTTGCCAGAGGCTGAGAAGTGGGGAGAGGATGAAAAAAGGTTGGGCAATAGTTACAAAAATGCAGTTAGATAGAAGGAATCAGTTCTAATGTTCAATAGCATACCAGGGTTATATATTTCAAAACAGACAGAAGAGAGAACTTGAAATGTTCCCCGCATATAGAAATGATAAATACTTGAGGTGATGGACACCCTAAATACCCTGACTTATCATTCCACATTCAATGCATGTAAAAATAACACATGCACCCCTAAATATGTGCAAATATTATGTATCGATGAAAAAAGAAATCTCCCCGCTACATTGAGGAATTTACATCTCGGCTTAGTGGGGTTCCCAGTAAAAACTCAGCACTTGCTGGTCCGCTCCGATCCCACCCTTGTGCTCCCCACAACTGACTCCTGGCAAGTTTTGGAGCGAGATGGCGGCAGAGTTCAGGGTAGGAGGGGAAGGTCGATTTGGTTATCTGACAGCAGTATGGTGCTTTCTAGAGCAGGGCTCGATGTGCCTTATTTCTTCAGCAGGAAGGCCTCGAGGGAGCGGTGCCCATGAAGCTATCGCCCACCTCCCCAGAACTTCGGTGCGGAGTCCTCAAGGGCCAGGAGATGCCCACCGTCAGCACCCACTGCCAGGGGCTTCACACTCCACACAGCACCCCAGACCAAAGGGATCCATTGTGAAGTCCACCTTTTTATTCTTCTCGGTAGTGGCAGCAGGCCAGGGAGGCTTGCCTGGAAGCCTCAAGAAGCAGTTTTGCCCGCAGCGTCTCAGTGGAAGGATGAACCCAGGCAGGAGCCAAGGACATGTCAATGTCCCCCCAGGGCCAGCTCTGCCAGGTGTCTTGACACTCAGCTGACAGCCCAATGGGATCCTGCTTCCCTTCCGTACAAATTACAGCGTGACACAGGAGACCTCGCCTGAGCTCCTACACCATCGCCAGCACTTCATATTTCCAGGGCGGGCGTGGGGAAGCCAGACGTCCACCCCCATTCGGGGCTCTTGCTGGTTAGAAACTAGAACTCGGCAGTATCCTGAGACATTGTCAGACTCCACCCTGAGGCGGGGCTGCCACTGCCCATGGAAAGAAGGAGGTGTCAACGAGGGATCCGCAGTCACCATCCTCTAAGCAGATGCACCGTCCAAGGCATGGGGTCCCCCAAGCCAATCGGGCTTAACATGAGGAAAGCAGCTCAGTGTCCATTTGACAAGACAGCTTCAAAGCTGACTCATTCTGATTTTTTTGTTGTATCTATTCCAAAAGCTAGTAAAATTAGTTCTCTCTCCTATACACACACACATGCACACATGGACAGAAATACTATTTCTTGGGACATGGCTGGCATATAGGTTGTACCAAAGAGTAGAGTTACAGGCTGGGCCCAGTGGCTCATGCCTGTAATCCCAGCATTTTGGGAGGCCGAGGCAGGTGGATCATTTGAGGTCAGGAGTTCAAGACCAGCCTGGCCAACATGGTGAAACCCTTTCTCTACTAAAACTACAAAAATTAGCCAGGCCATAGTGGCACGTGCCTGTAATCCCAGCTACTCGGGAGGCTGAGGCAGGAGAATCGCTTGGGCCTGGGAGGCAGAGGTTGCAGTGAGCTGAGATCATGCCACTCACTGCACTCCAGTCTGGGCAAGAGAGTGAGACCGTGTCTCAAAAAAAAAAAAAAAAAAAAAGTAGAGTTACAATATGAAATACAGGACCTTCAGTTAAATTTTAATTTCAGATATTTTAATTTCAGATAAACAATGAATAATTTTTTTGTCTAAGCATATCCCAAATATTGCATGGGTCATACTTACACTATAAAATCTTTTGTTGTTTTTCTGAAGTTCAAATTTTACTGGGCATTCTGTATTTTTATTTGCTGAATCTGGCAACCCTACCAAAAACCCACTCATTCCAGGCATAGTGCAGATGTGGCCACAGAGGGGGCGGGTGCTGGGAAACCATGCCTCAGGGCCTGGCTCCCACAGCGGCCCATTGAGAAGTGTCTGCCTCCCATTCCTGGCCTGTCCATCCTGGGGTACCTGAGCCCGGGTAAGATCAGAATGGGAAAGATGCTGCCGAAGGGCGGCCACAGTCCTGTTGCTGAAATGCTCCATCCTTAGCTGTCTGCATCTCCCCACTCTGTTTCTGCATCTGTACCCTGACCCCCTTCTCACCTCCCGGACACTGCATCATTTGCCTGGTCCTTACCCCTCTGGAAGACCCCTGCCCTCCGCATTCAGATGACTCCACACACTCCCAGTGGTCACCCCCTCCTCACAGGACCCACCTGGGGTGTCTCTCCACCTCCAGCCTCACCCTACAACTGCTGCTCAGCTGTGCTTCCTAAGGCACAGCTGGTTCTCATCGTGCCACTCCCTCCCCTGCTCCGTAGCCTGCTCTGGTTCCCTGCTGCTCGCCAGGTGATTCCTTAGCCTGGCATCCAAGCTCACTCCAACCGTACTCACCCTCCCTGGATTCTCTCTCTTTCCCTCCCCTGCACCCCTCCCTGCCTGTTCCCTCATTACACTCTGCCGGGGGTGCCCCGGGCTCCTCTTCTCCAGGGACCGGGCTCTACACATTTGTCAAAGCCCAGGACACTTTCCTTCCCTGCACTTACTGCTCTCCGCACAGTGTCCCTTCCAGGTACTTGTTGGCTCGCTCATTGTCTGCCTCTGCACGTCACCTCTGCTATTTCACAAGCTCCATAAGAGCAGAGACCTGGTAGCCCCAGGCTTGCAGGAAGTAGGGAGCTGCAAGAGGTGTGCTCGGGAAATGCTGTTGCCAAATAAATAAAATGCCACTTCTTCCAAGAAGCCCTCTCAGATTTCCCCCAGCTGCCTGTGATCCCTCCATGTTCAGAACCCATGTGGCACTGGAGCAGTGCTGTGTAGTGCACTGATCATTTCTAACTTTTATTTCTTTTCTAGACAAAGTTTTGCTCTTGTCACCCAGGCTGGAGTGCAGTGGTGCACTATCTCAGCTCACTGCAACCTCTGCCTCCTAGGTTCAAGCGATTCTCCTGCCTCAGCCTCCCGAGTAGCTGGGATTACAGGCACCCGCCACCACGCCCAGCTAATTTTTGTATTTTTAGTAAAGACGGGGTTTCACCATGTTGGCCACAGTGGTCTCAAACTCCTGACCTCAGGTGATCTGCCCACCTCAGCCTCCCAAAAGTGCTGGGATCACAGGTATGAGCCACCACACCCGGCCCCATCATTTCTAACTTAGATTATAGAGTTTGTCTTATTCCTCCTGCTAGACTGCAAGTCCCTGGAGGGCAGAACTCAAGCCTTACTTGCTGCATTCTGTGCAGATTGTATGAACAAATGCATTTGTGAAAGCATGAACAAGTATAGGAAATTGGGCAATGGCCCAGGGGCCTGCAGAAGGCCTTGTGTAAGGCCATCAGGTTTCAAGCTCCCAGCACCAGCTCTCCCCAAACAAGCCCCTGCCTTTTTCCCCAGGGTGTCTGGGATCCAGACCCCTGGTTCATCCCCTAGAGCTTCCAGTGCTGCCCCAGCCTGCGTCCCAGCAGCTGCACCCTGGGAGTAGGGAATCCCAACTCCACCATGACCTACTCAGGGTAGAAGCAAGGCTGTGTTTGAGGAGGCACTGCCACCTGGCCCACAGCTAGAAGCCCACCCAATGCCAGGATGGGGCTCAGTGTGGCTATAAAGGGGAGCAACAGGCAGGGAAGACCCAGGAGCGGGAGGCACTAGGGTTTGGATGCAGAGAGGGTGCTCGGACTGAGCTTTCTCTGGGATCCATCTTGGAGTGTTTTGGGGGATGTATCCCCTCCCCACCCCTGCCACCAAGACCACCCAGCAGTTCCTGCAACAACACGACCCTAACAGTTATGGGAATTTAAGAGGAAGATGACCAAGATCTTCTCTCCATTCTTTCCCCAATTCATTCATTCAACAAATATTTACTGAGCGATGACCTGCCAGGAAGGAATGCCATCCACGCACCAGATACCTTAGGTATGTTGTCACTAATTCACACCTCCGCTCATTCTACAGGAAATGGAGGTTTGGAAAAATGATGCAACGTGGCTGAGGCCACCAGGTGAGTGTGTCCAGGCCAGTCCAATTCCTGCATACTTATTCAATGTCCCCCGTACCTCTTATTAGTTTTTTATTGTGTTTTGTTCAAGAAAACGCATGTCTTTGTATGCTCCCCAAGTACATCTAGCTATAGGTTTCAAACTAAGAGGAGAACGCTCTTTCAGTCATTCAGCAAACAGTTTCTGATGCCAACTGTGCATCAGGTCCTGAGGGTAACCCACCGGGATGCCTCTAAAGATAAACAAGACCTGTCACCTCTGACAGAGTTCACAGTCAGTGGAACAGTGGACGGAACAGCAACGCAAAGTGAGCCATCACTGCGCCGTCATCCTGGCTCTTGGACTTTTCTTCTCACTCATCTGCAAGGTCAGAATAAAAATAATAAGTGTGTAACCTTCAATCCAACATGCCACACGCAGACAGACTGCACACCCACTCACCCCCGCCGACACACACACACACACACACACAAAATGAAAAGAAACACTTTATGTTGCAATGAGCATCGTTTTGTTTTCATACCTGTTTCATTTTTTCCCGTCACAGCCTACGGTTTTCCTATTGTCTCTTTTCACCTCCCTTCCTTTCCATGTTTCCCTGACATGACAACCCTGTGAGAAGAACACTGGAATCATCAGCCTGCATGAGAGGTATCATTAGAAGTGCATTGATATTATTGAAGGCAGGGCTCATTAAAACAAAATAATAAAGATCCAGATGATAGCAGGGAAAGCAGGTTGTCTGGGTGCCACTGCACAAAATACTTCATTAGTGTTCCTAATTAAACTAACAACTGTCACGAAATAAAAATATCACACCCCCTAAGATCTGCCTGCTTATCCGGTGCTGTTCTAGTTGAAAAGCCCCCATGTCTACTTCACTGTGATCCCTTTCTGAAATAATTGGTGTGGTTTGATTGATAATGCAGATTCCTCTTTAAAGGAAAACACACTATTTTTCATAATCAGAGCTGGAATGCATAATGAGCAGGCTGGTGATGCCTTCAGCATCAGGTCTGTCAAAGCGCACAGTTATTTCCATATTGATGCAAACTAAGATATTACGCTCCCTCATTACGTTGACGTGGCACATCTTTCAACAGTCAGCTCCAAATCATACATTCCTTGCAAACAAAATTACCTTCATTTTCTCCTTTGGTTCAGCGGAGCTAGCAGTTAAAATGTGCCCTAACAAGCTAATCAACTAATTTTTAGAATATGTTGGAACCGTTTAATATTCTAAAAGAAAACAAGAAAAAGTTGCTAATGGGTCTGCAGGCATAAACAGAAATAAATAGACAACTGGTTCATTGAGCATTAGCATACTTAAGTTTGAGCCAGTCACGGTGGAATTCATTTTGCAAGTCAAAAAAGCAGTATCTATTTGTATCCATAAGCCAAACAACTTCATTTACTCGGTACATACTTGAGCAGATAACCTTGGAGTGAAGGTAACAAGGAGAAAGAATTCTTTTGAAGAGTGGTGTGTTCTCTCAGAGCGGGGAGTGAGGGGCTGAGAGAGGAGACATGGCTCAGAGAGGGGCTGAGCTTTGCATTCTAGGGTTGGCCTGCTCGCTCTGCAGGGAAGAAATGCTCAGCTGTGTCTAGGGGTGGTCCAAGAGCTCAGAGGGACCCAAAGCCAAGTGCATCCCAAGGGAGATGACAAACGACTGTTTCTATGGTGGCCATCAGTGAAGGAGCCTTGGAAAGCACCTGTTGAGGGCCTACACCTGGGGCTGTCCCGGACTGGTTGAGAGGAGCAAGCAGGCCCAGACAAACCTGGGTTTGCATCTGTATTAGTCCACTTTCATGCTGCTGATCAAGACATAACTGAGACTGCATAATTTATAAAGAAAAAGAGGTTTAATGAACTCACAGCTCCACGTGGCTGGGGAGGCCTCACAATCATGGCAGAAGGTGAAAGGCACGTCTTACATGGCATCAGGAAAGAGAGAATGAGAGACCAAGCAAAAGGGGAAACCCCTTAGAAAACCATCAGATCTCATGAGACTACATGAGAACAGTATGGGGGAAACCACCTCCATGATTCATTTATCTCCCACTCGCCCCTCCTACAACACATGGGGATTATTACAATTTAAGGTGAGATTTGGATGGGGACACAGAGCCAAACCATATGACCACCCCAGAGCCACTGGGATGGCACCAGCTGTTGGACCTTGGGTAGGTGTGCCTGAGTGTCCTCACTGTGAAGGCAAAGGAGGGGTAAATGGCTCCTCCTCATAGGGCTGGAGTGTGGGTTAAGCGTAGTAGTAGATACAAAAGGTTGGGCACGTGGCAAGCTCTACTTGGGGGTCAGCTATTATTCCCACTCTTCCTCCATGGGGAACCTAAGACCCTGCTCTCCAGGCAAGCCCAACTCCCCTCCAATCCCAAACTTCTCTATGGGGTCCCACCTTCCTGGCTTTGTTCACACACACCCTCCTCCCGGCCTGACCTGCCGTTCCTCCCTCACCATCTTCCACCACCTGGATCCTGCCCATCTTCACCTTTCGAGGCCCTTCTCAAAGAGACTGACACCCCAAAGCCTTCCTTGATCCCCACTTAACACACTTACCAGCAGGCACAGTTTCCTCTTTGAAGGCGATGTCAAATTTCATCAAGATCGCACAAACAACTGTCTCCATTGAGCCTCAGGGATGGGAATGGAGTCTTGTTTCTTTGGAGTCAACATTAGACATGGTGCCCAACACATAGTAGATACTCACTTCATGTTTGCCAGATGGACATATGAATGGACGAACAGACAGATGGGTGGATGGATGAATGGGCAGTAATTTACCATTTTTTTTTCTTTATGAGATGGAGTCTCTCTCTGTCGCCCAGGCTGGAGTGCAGTGGCACGATCTCAGCTCACTGCAACCTCCGCCTCCCGGATTCAAGCAATTCTCCTGCCTCAGCCTCCCAAGTAGCTGGGACTACAGGCACGTGCCACCATGCCCAGCTAATTTTTTGTATTTTTCGTAGAGACGGGGTTTCACCGCGTTAGCCAGGATGGTCTCAATCTCTTGACCTTGTGATCCACCCACCTCAGCCTCCCAAAGTGCTGGGACTACAGGCGTGAGCCACTGTGCCCGGCCAGTAATTTACATTTTTATTATGACCCTTCCCATGTTTCTCACTGGCTGACGGTCATTGATATATATATTTTCATCCCTCGCTATGCTGTGCTGTCCTCAGGAGGCTGCCCCACCCCATCCTATGTACACATTTTGGTCCCTGTGCCTAGCGTGCCTGCGCCATGCCACTGAGGACCTACCACTACTGGAATGCATGGTGTGCTGGTGCCATTACCTGTGTGCAGTGTGATATTCAACATTTTTAACAGCCTGTAGGGCACTGATATGGACAATGGGACAGATGTTAGCAAATACGACGAAGAGAGGTATGCTGGCTCCTTTCCAACCTACCGTGGTTTGAATGTGCCCCCTCCAAACCTCAGGTGCTGCCAATGTGGTCGTATTAAGAGGTGGGGCCTTTAAGAGTTGATTAGGTCATTGAGAGCTCCTCCCTTCATCTATAGGATGGAGGCTCCTATAAAACAGGCTTCACACAGCCTTCCGCTGTGAGGACACAGCATCTCTCCTCTCCTCACTAGATGCTGGTACCTTGATGATGGACTTTCAGCCTCCAGAACCATGAGTAAATAAAACCCTGGATAAATGATCCAGTCTCTGGCATTCTGTTATGGCAGCACAAAACAGACTAAGTACTTAGTACCAGGTGTGGGGTACCTGCTTCTGTGTCTCTCCCTCATTGAGACCCTGCCGAGGCCAGGGTTAGGCTTACCTCTCTGTGCCCAGCACAGTGCCCGGCACAAAGTAAGTGTCACTCAGTGGAGGCTGGATGGAGCTGACAAGTTGCCCGAGGCTGGCCAGGCCACACAGAGAAGCTGAGTGACTTCACCCCTGCCCCTACCCCTGCCCCTGCCCCTCCTGTGGGTGCAGTCTCCAAGGCCACTTCCTATAGCCATACGATAAGCACTTTCTGTCCTCAACCAGTCCAACTTCACTATACAGTGAAGATCAAGGAGTGGCATTTTTCATTCTGGCACTTTTTTTTTTTTTAGAAAAACTAAGATGAAACCAGGTGCAGTGGCTCACGCCTATAATCCCTGCACTTTGGGAGGCCGAGGTAGGCGGATCACCTGAGGTTGGGAGTTCAAAACCAGCCTGACCAACATGGAGAAACTCCATCTCTACTAAAAATAAAAAATTAGCCAGGCGTGGTGGCGCATGCCTGTAATCCCAGCTACTTGGGAGGCTGAGGCAGGAGAATCGCTTGAACCCGGGAGGTGGAGGTTGTGATGAGCTGAGATCGTGCCATTACACTCCAGCCTGGACAACAAAAGCGAAACTCTGTCTCAAAAAAAAGAAAAAGAAAGAAACTAAGATGAAACATAACCTGCTTGGCAAGCGCTTATAATTTTCCACAAAGATCTTCCTATGACTCTTGACATAGGACCCAATTATAGGAGAGTGACAATGCCTCCCTTCTGCACAGCATTTTGCCAATTCCTCAACACCCACACTGCCCCGTTGATTTCATCACTCTTCACATCAGACCTAGGAAGTAGATAACATCATCCCCGCTCTTCAGAGGGGGAGAGCTGGCACTCTCTGAGAAGGAGCAATTTGTCCAAGCACTTTACTAGGAAGAGCTGGGGCCAGGACTTGAACCCAGGTGTTGGACTCCTGAGCACATTTGCTTTTCTGTACCCCAAGACACTTCTCCAAAATCTGTGAAATTCACTTTTCACTTAGCAAATAGCTCCTGAATACCTACTTGATGCCAAGCCGTGTTCTGAGAACCAAGTGGGGGAAAAGAGCCCCGGAGGGAGGAACAAGCTTGACATGTTCAAAGAGAGAGGGGGGCCAGGGCTGCTCACTGGAGCAGGGATCATGGGGAGATAGGAGATGAGTAATGGGTAAGAACTCAAGTTGACTTTCAGATCAGAGGACTTTTAAGAGATTTGCATAATTTATATCCTTTTGAAAGCCATCATCTAAATGTATAAACACAGCCATGAATTTTCCCCTTTTGAAGAAAACCATACACAGAAATTGGTAAGCCCAAACCTACAGTCAAGGAGTAGAACATCACGCACTGATGTTAAAAAGAAATGTTTAAAGCTGAAGACGGCAACCTCAATTTAAGGACGTGTTTGTTTTATGTAAATACACTTCTAAAGGTATGCAGATACTCTTTGCAACAGTCAGATAGGCGAAGATGAAAAGGAATGAGAGCATGCCCTTGGTAAGTAGGTGAGAGGCTGGCAGAGGTGGGGACAGGACTGACGTGACGTAAAGGGGAAACTGAGGCTTCCTTCAGCAACAGTAGAGAGCCCTGTTCCATCACAGCTCCACATATTAGTAGGTGATCACTGAGAAAACCCAGAACCATTATTTAGAAGGTAGAATTCGATTCCATTTACTCACCTTGTAAGACAGGGAGGTGTCAACCTATGTTTACTTTTCTGATTCCTTAAAAACATTTTTAAAATAAAAGATATATTTAAAGGGCCACACTTTCACTTTCTAGAAAGGGAGGCACAATAAATTATTATAAAAAGACCCTCTAAAATTGCATTTAGAGGTCAGAAAACAGCAGAAGTGGCTTTAGCTGGGGCACCAGCAGATACACTTTGGGATGTTATAGCAATAATACTGGGCAATGTCACAGACACAGAAAGCATATATGTCAATGTTGCAGGCTTGCTCGGGCCTTTGTGCAGACGTGACCTCAAATACCCACGTGGGAAGGGGTTGTCATGGAAACGATAGCTCACCCTCTGGACCGGTGAGATAGAATGGCCCCAGGCATCTGAGCCACCAGCTGGGTGGGTGAGCACAAGCGGAGGCAGAAACTGGGCAGAGGACAGCGCGGTTCACAATGCCTGTGTCCCTCCTGGGCCTTCCTATGTGAGGGGCTGGGGCGTGAGGGAGACCAGCCTCGGCCCTCAAGAAGCTTCCACTCCAGAAAGAGCCAGCAAGTGAGTGTAAATTACCCCACTCTAGAGGGCAGTGGCAAGTGCCGGGATTGGTGGGGAGCAAATTTAGGGAGTCAGAGGATGCCACAGGGACATCTGACTGCAGAGATTGGGGAAGCTTTTCTCACGGATGTGGACTTTGGCTGGGTGCTGAGAGAGGGATGAGACCACAGAACAGTCCAGGCAGACAGACCCATGTTCATAACTGTGTTTTGCTGCAATGTGGTGTGTGCAAGAGCGAGACCTGAGAAAGGCAGATTTGCAATATCGGTGATAACCTCAGTATCAAAACTGCACAGATTTTTATCTAGCTCATATGTTTTTGCAGAGAAAATACTTTCTTTAAAATGCAGGTTGTAGCTCTTGGAGAGGCTACCACATACAGTCAGATTTGAAGGCCTCTGATGTTGAATGATGTTGAATGTTTCTAAATATTTTAATGGTTCTTTTCAGGTCTTGACTTGTGTATGGGAGCACAGCAAACGCCTAGAAATTAGCATCAGTAGGAGATCAGGGGCTTTTTACAACATTGGATTCTGGGTACGCTTTTTTAAATTTTGTAATAAAATTATTCTTAAAAGTCCAGGCTGGGCACGGTGGTTCGCACTTATAACCCGGCACTTTGGGAGGCTGAGGTGAGCAGATCACTTGAGCCCAGGCGTTCCAGACCAGCCTGGGCAACATGGAAAAACCCTATCTCTATTAAAAACAGAAAAATCAGCCGGGTGTGCTGGTGTGCCTGTAGTCCCAGCTACTCGGGAGGCTAAAGGTGGGAGGGATCACCTGAGCCTGGCGAGGTCAAGGCTGCAGTGAGCTATGATCATGCCACTGCACTCTAGCCTGGGCCACAGAGTGAGACCTAGCCTCAAAAGAAAAATAAAAAGTCCAGATTACAAGAATACTGAATTAGTTACAGAAGGAGAAGCTCAGTTGCCACAGTGAGGCTCAAGGCCCTCCCCTCACATCCTGGCCATGGGACCATCAGCCCTCCATCCCCACCCTGGCTGGAAAGAAGAGATGCTCATAGTGAGTCTTCATCGTAGGCTCCAAGGCCACACATCTGCCATTCTGTAATTGTCATTCAAGGCAACTGGAAGATATTTGAGCTCAATCCAGATGGCAAGTCAGCAAGATCATGACCATGGCAGGTAAATCAAGGTAAAAAGAAATAGGTCTCCTCCAGCTGGGCCCACCTGGGAGTGTGGTCAGGGGAGCTGCCTCTTGGGTGAGTTTCAAACTGGGTTGTATGGTTTGGTGGCAATCTGGAACCACTCACATTCGCTCCATTCCTTGGGTTCCATTTGGGACCTCCAAATTTTTGCTGCAGGGGATGAAAAAAATATCCTGCCTTGGCAATCAAAGCAGACAGTTATAGGGTTCCCATCTGGGGCGTGGTGGACAGAGTCACTGGATTTGCCCAGTGGCCATCAGGGCTTGCTCCCACAGACTCCCATGAACTCCCAGAGCCCATCAAGCAGCCACTGGGCCAGGCCAACTGAACAGCATCTGCAGACTCACCAAGGATTCCCACCCTGAAGCATCATGGCTGCTTTGCTTAAAATAGACTTATTGACTGTGACCTTCTGTCTTGTGCATTAATTAGTCCATATTTTCAAAGCGCTTTGATGACGAAAAGTGCTATTTAGGAGCCAAGTTTTGATGGTTATATCTGCTGTTCTTTATATAATGCCACATAGACATTGCTACATGGCCCTGGGATGACAGTGTGCTTCAAACAAAGAACAGTCCTGCCCCAGCAGAGTTGGAAGATTCCAGCACAATGGCAAAAACAAAACAAAACAAAACACAAGCAAAATGGAGCACAGATGAATCAGACCCTTTCTTTTTTTATTAATTTTTATTTATTTATTTATTTATTTGAGACAGAGTCTCGCTCTGTCACCCAGGCTGGAGTGCAGTGGCACGATCTCGGCTCACTGCAACCTGTGCCTCCTAGGTTCAAGCGATTCTCCTGTCTCAGCCTCCTTAGTAGTAGGGAATACAGGCTCACAGCAGCTAATTTTTGTATTTTTAGTTTAGTAGAGACAGGGTTTCACCATGTTGGCCGGGCTGGTCTCAAACTCCTGACTTCAGGTGATCTGCTCGCCTCGGCCTCCCAAAGTGCTGGGATTACAGGCATGAGCCATTGCGCCCAGCCTCTTTTTTTAATTCTATTTAACTTTTTTTTTTTTTTTGAGACAGTCTCACTCTGTCACCCAGGCTGGAGTGCAGTGGCGCTATGTAGGCTCTGCAATCTCTACCTCCCAGGTTCAAGCGACTCTCATGCCTCAGCCACCCAAGTAGCTGGGATTACAGATGTATGCCACCACACCCAGCTAATTTTTGTATTTTTAGTAGAGATAGGAATTTGCCATGTTGACCAGGCTGGTCTTGAACTCCTAGCCTCAAGTAATCCTCCCACCTCGGCCTCCCAGAGTGCTGGGATTACAGGTGTGAGCTCCTGGCCTGAATCAGACCCTTCTAAACATCCCGACTGGAAAAGAGCAGGCGATCGGAGAATTACAGTTTCAGGGAGGGCAGAAGATAAGCCTGAGAAGCGTCAGCTCGCTGGGCACTGAGATAAGAGAAGCATCAGAAATGAGGGGCCTTTTATTGCTTGTGAGGCTAACCTGCCGTGGACTCCCCAAGAGACCTCACATACCACAGGGTATTCATCTCACACTTTCACCTGTGTTGCTCCCTCACATGTTGAACACAGTTTCACCTGTGTTCTTATGGATGGGAAAGCTAAGATGTACCCAAAACAGAGCTCGTCTTTCTTGGCCAAGTCTCACCCTAGCAGAATGATCTTAATATTAACCCAGTGTAAAGAGATGGACAAAACATTCTTCTGCAGCTTGCGTGTGAATTTCAAAGGGACTCCCATCTTGATGAGGAAAAATTAATGGGCAGATCCACCTGGAACAGAAGCAAAGATCCCAGAGGCCTGAGGGACATGAAGCTGCCCTCTACAGGGAGAACTGAAGGAGCAGGAAAAGAAGAGGAGGAATTGGGGGAGGCGGGGAAGTGGCCAAAAGCTGCGTAAAGCACAATGTAGAGGTTTTAGAAGCTTCAGTAAGGTCACCATACTCATAAAGTGCTGGTGCAAATAGATCTTTGATGGAAACCAATGAAGGGGGTGAAACTATGTGTACAGGTGATGGGAAAAAAACTGAAACATCTTATGCAGATTTGGATGGGGGCATGAAGAAGGGGGCTTGAAGGGGAGACTCCAGATTCCCATAGGCTATGATCATTGGGAGTGTAATGATTAATATTGTGTCAACTTGATTGGATTGAAGGATGCAAATTATTGTTCCTGGGTGTATCTGCGTGGGTGTTGCCGAAAGAGATTAACATTTGAGTCAGTGGACTGGGAGAGGCAGACCCACCCTCAATTTGGGTGGGCACCATCTAATCAGCTGCCAGAGTGGCTAGAATAAGGCAGGCAGAAGAAAGTGGAATGAGGAGACTTGCTCTTGCTGAGTCTTCTGGCCTTCATCTTTCTCCTATGCTGGATGCTTCCTGCCCTTGAACATCAGACTCCAAGTTCTTCAGCTTTTGGACTCTTAGACTTAACCAGTGATTTGCCAGGGGCTCTTGGCCCTTTGGCCACAGACTGAAGGCTGCACTGTCAGCTCACCTACTTTTGAGGTTTAATTGACTCACAGTTCAGCATGGCTGGGAAGGCCTCAGAAAACTTACAATCATGGTGGAAAGGGAAGCCAACACATCTGTCTTCACATGGCAGCAGGAAGGAGAAGTGCTGATCAAAGGGGGGAAAGCCTCTTATAAAACCATCAGATCTTGTGAGAACTCACTCACTATCACGAGAACAGCATGGAGGGAACCACCCCTGTGATTCAATTATCTCCACCTGGTCCCACCCTTGACACGTGGGGATTATTACAATCCAAGGTGAGATTTGGATGGGGACATAGCCAAACCATATCAGGGAGTCAAACCAGTTTTACCCCAATTCCTGCCTGGCAGAGAGCCCCAGCTCTCATCAGTGGCATAAGAACATGAGCTCCGAGAGAGAAGGGGCCACACCTGAAAGGAAGATTTGCTAAGAAGTCAATGAAGTGTACGTTTCAGGGCTCCTCACTTACATAGGCCCACTCCAAGGCAGCAGGAAAGCCTCAGCAGTTTGTATTTGTGATTTTATTCTTTTAAAGAGGGTCCCCCCAAATTGCATAAGCTTTGGGTCACAAAAACCTGGGCCTGCCCCTGCTTGTCTGCTTTTTTTGCCACTGTATCCTCAGAGCCTCCTAGAACCATGCCTGACATACAGTAGGGGACTGTTAAATTTTTGTATTATATGAATGGATGAATGGATAGATTGATGGAAGGAAAGAAACGTGAATGAATGGATGGCTGGACAGAAGAAGGGAGTGAAGGAGAGAGGAAACATGGATGAATAGGTGATTGGATGAAGGGAGGGAGGAAGGAATGGATGGATAAAGGGATGGATGGAAGGGAGCAAACATGGATAGATGGAGAGTTGGATAAAGGGAGGGGAAAGGGAAAGTAGGGTGAAAGGGAAGAGAGAAGAGAAGGGAGGGATAGCAGGGAGCAAACATGGATACATGGACAGTTGGATGGATGGATAGATGATAGAAGGGAGGAGATATGATGGACAGTAGATGAAGGGAGGGAGGAGACACGATGGGAGGACAGTTGGATGGATGATGGACAGATGGATGGATGGATGAAAGCAGGAAGAAGGGATATGGGTGAAACAGTGATGTCCAGTTTATAACTGAAGATAAATTGAAAGCTTTTGGCTAAAAGGGAAGAGTTCCATTTTAATTTAATTTATACAATGCTAAAAATTATCTTACTTGGAAGGGGACCTCATGCAGAAAACAGAGAATTTCCAATAAAGAGCCACCCACAAAGACAGAAGTGCTTACGAGGAGGCCTCCACTGCCACAGATCAAACATTAAACATTCAAAGCAGTGGAAAACAAAACCGCAAGTTCTGTTTATATTTCTAGTTTCAAGGTTAACTGTTTATTTTTAAAGTTTCCATCTTGATTAGTTCATTAGCCACCATTAGTAAATTTAGAAGTGCTTGAATTTCAAGAAGAATGTTTTCTCTCTAGCCTACCTTGGCACAGCAGGGCCTGGGAGCAGCAGGGCATTCTGCTGACATTTCTAATGGAGCTGGAACCAACAGCTAAGGGTTCCTTGACAAACAGAGAGCCAAATCATGAGTGAACTCCCATTGACAATTGCTTTGAAGAGAATAAAATACCTAGGAATCCAACTTACAAGGGATGTGAAGGAACTCTTCAAGGAGAACTACAAACCACTGCTCAACAAAATAAAAGAGGATACAAACAAATGGAAGAACATTCCATGCTCATGGATAGGAAGAATCAATATAGTGAAAATGGCCATACTGCCCAAGGTAATTTATAGATTCAATGCCATCCCCATCAAGCTACCAATGACTTTCTTCACAGAATTGGAAAAAACTACTTTAAAGTTCATATGGAACCAAAAAAGAGCCTGCATTGCCAAGACAATCCTAAGCCAAAAGAACAAAGCTGGAGGCATCACACTACCTGACTTCAAACTATACTACAAAGCTACAGTAACCAAAACAGTATGGTCTGGTACCAAAATAGAGATATAGAACAATGGAACAGAACAGAGGCCTCAGAAATAACACCACACATCTACAACCATCCGATCTTTGACAAACCTGCCAGAACAAGAAATGGGGAAAGGATTCCCTATTTAATAATGGTGCTGGGAAAACTGGCTAACCAAATGTAGAAAGCTGAAACTGGATCCCTTCCTTACACCTTACACAAAAATTAATTCAAGATGGATTAGAGACTTAAATGTTAGACCTAAAACCATAAAAACCCTAGAAGAAAACCCAGGAAATACCATTCAGGACATAGGCATGGGCAAGGACTTCATGACTAAAACACCAAAAGCAATGGCAACAAAAGCCAAAATAGACAAATTGGATCTAATGAAACTAAAGAGCTTCTGCACAGCAAAAGAAACTACCATCAGAGTGAACAGGCAACCTACAGAATGGAAGAAAATTTTTGCAATCTACCCATCTGACAAAGGGCTAATATCTAGACTCTACAAAGAACATAAGCAAATTTACAAGAAAAAATCAAACAACCCCATCAAAAAGTGGACAAAGGATATAAACAGACACTTCTCAAAAGACGACATTTATGCAGCCAACAGACACATGGAAAAATGCTCATCATCACTGGCCATCAGAGAAATGCAAATAAAAACCACAATGAGATACCATCTCACCCCAGTTAGAATGGCAATCATTAAAAAGTCGGGAAACAACAGATGCTGGAGAAGATGTGGAGAAATAGGAACGCTTTTACACTGTTGCTAGGACTGCAAACTAGTTCAACCATTGTGGAAGCCAGTGTGGCGATTCCTCAAGGATCTAGAACTAGAAATACCATTTGACCCAGCCATCCCCTTACTGGGTAGATACCCAAAGGATTATAAATCATGCTGCCATAAAGGCACATGCACACGTATGTTTATTGCTGCACTATTCACAATAGCAAAGACTTGGAACCAACCCAAATGTCCATCAATGATAGACTGGATTAAGAAAATGTGGCACATATACACTGTGGAATACTATGCAGCCATAAAAAAGGATGAGTTCATGTCCTTTGCAGGGACATGGATGAAGCTGGAAACCATCATTCTGAGCAAACTATCGCAAGGACCAAAAACCAAACACCACATGTTCTCACTCATAGGTGGGAATTGAACAATGAGAACACTCAGACACAGGGTGGGGAACATCACACACCGGCGCCTGTTGTGGGGTTGGGGGAGAGGAGAGGGACAGCATTAGGAGAAATACCTAATGTAAATGATGAGTTAATGGGTGCAGCACACCAACATGACACATGTATACCTATGTAACAAACCTGCACATTGTGCACACGTACCCTAGAACTTAGTATAATACAAAAAAAAAAAGGGTTCCTTGTTCACGGTTAAAGGTGCATGAAGAGATTAACCAAAGGAAGGGTGTGAAGTGCTTGCCTATTCTTCATCTGTTTCACCTGCGGGCCCTCAGTTCTCAGGGGAAATCTGAAGGCTTGGAGAGGGGAGAAAGACCTCCTCCATTCGCTGAGAGTTACTGTTCAACGATTTGTTATTGGTGATCTGCCACCCAGCTTCATCTTCAAAAGCTTCACCTGGGAAAAGTTTGCTGTAGTGAATTGTAAATTGCAATGTGTCCCCCAAAAGATATGTCCACCTGGGATGTCAGAATGTGACCTTATTTGGAATAAAGGTCTTCACAGATGTAATTAAGGTAAGGACCTTGAGGTGAGATCATCCAAGATGAGGGTGGACCCTAAATCCGATGTAAGAGACAGGAAAAGGAGAAGACACAGAGACACAGGGAGAAGCTCATGAGAAGACTGAGGCACAGATTGGAGGGATGCAGCCATGAGCCTGGATGCCTGGAGCCACCAGAGGCTGGAAGAGGCAAGGAAGGATCCCCCGCTGGAGGCTTTGGAGGGAGTGCAGCCCCGCTGACAACTTGATTTCAAACTTCTGGCCACTAGACTGCGAGAAAATACATTTCTGCTGTTTTAAGCCAGCAAGTTTCTGGTCATTGGTTGGGGCATCCCTGGGAAACTCATCCAGATACTTTCTCTATGTTGGCCCAAACGGGGCTATGGTCAGCACGGACTGACTGTGATGAAACTGTTTCCTCCTCCCCTAACCTCTCCTTTGGTGATATAAAAGTCTTGTCTAAGTGGCTGGGCATAGTGGCTCACACCTGTAAACCTAGCATTTGGGAGGCCAAGCCGGGAGGATCACTTGAGTCCAGGAGTTTGATGAGAACTTGGCAACATAGTGAGACCCCCCTCTCTAAAAACAATTTGTTTTAATTAGCTGGGTGTGGTGGTGCACACCTCTTGTCCCAGCTACTTGGGAGGCTGAAGTGGGAACATCACTTGAGCCCAGGAGATCAAGGCTGCAATGATCTATGATTGCACCACTGCACTCCAGCCTGGACAACAGTGCAAGATCCTACAAAAAAAAAAAAAAAAAAAAACACTTGCCTAAGGGATATGGAAATTATCTAAGTGGAATGGTAATTGTTTTTAAATTCCTTTTTCCTCCAGGATATAGAATCCCAACTCGTTAAATAAATGTAAATATTTGGAGAAGTGGCTCTGTCCCTATCTTTGTAGGATGTACCTATATGGCCTTCATCACATTTTCATATCCATCTAATAGAGCTTATAGTTATTTGCAGTATGCATTCATATGATTGCACCTAATAAAATACATATCCTCATAGAACAGTGCCATACAACATGATGCCTTTTATGTGGTAATTGCTCTGTAAGTCTTTATCGTACTAGGTGTGGTGTGTGATGTTCACTTCTGAGATGATGCTTGCCCTGTCATTTTCTTCACTGGGAAAATATAGAATCCAAAATTTTAATTTAAAATTTAGGAAAAACATGTATTCCTTTGGAGGAAAAAAAATCTTATTTTACCAGAATCATAATTATCCAAGTTAGAAATTAATACTTTGACATGGTTTTAAAAAATGAAAGAAATCTGAAGATAATTCCTAAATCACTATGCATTGGGTACATTTAGCAACAACATTAGGATTAAAAGCAGCTGTTAGAAGATTCTGATGGCACTAACAAGAGTAAGAATCATAGCTCCTATTGATTGAGTGTGGACTCTGCTAAGTGCAAAGCCAGATGTTCTCACTATTCCAGTGATTCTCAACCAGGGATGATTTTTGTCCTAAGGGGATATTTGACAATTTTGAAGACATTTTGTGTTGTCACAACTGGGCAGGAGAAACAGGGGTGCGTGGGTAGACCAAGGATGCTGCTGAAACATTCTACTATGAACAGCCCAGAAGATCAATAGTGTGAGGGCAGGAAGCCCTGGTGTACATGATGTCATTTAGCCCTCTCTGCCCAAGCTCACCAATAATGCCTGTTAGGAGGTGACTGATCCAGCCTACAGATAAGGAGACTGTGTTTCAGGCACAATGGATAATGTGCTCATATTCCCATGGCTAGCTTGAAAATCATTCCTTTACTCTATAAGGATATATAACAAAATAGCAGTTATCTACCAAAATAGGAACTTGGGAGGAAAAACATGAAAGAAAAAGAAAGAAGTCACAAATACTCGGCGTTCAGCAGCTTGTGGAAATGCTGCTGCAACTTTTGTGACTGAGTATGTTTCCGGATGAATACATCATGAATACATCATACATCACAGAACCAAGGGGAACGTGTTCTTGTACAATCTGCCACCCCAAGTTTGCCTCTTCTCAGATTTTTTTCTCTGCTTATCATCCATAATTGGATAACTTTTCTCCAATTTTCTCCTTGCCACAGCGAAGATAAGGTTTCTGTTTAATCACCCTCCTCTAAGCACTTGCAATCAGGCAGGATATTGCTGCTTTTAAAATAAGACAATGACATTTAATGGCTTTCATTTTTTCCTATACAAAAGATTAATTTATATGCTGGAGTCATCGTTTCATTGGAAAACTCAGTCTATTCTTTTTTAAATGCTGTGATATGATTAACAACTCAATCCCACCCCCTTATGTTTTTAACTCGGTGGTTTTCTCTGTGTATATTTGCCTTCACAGTTTAATTTAGCCTTTGCTTTGGCTTTAGAATGAAATGAGTGAGAGGAGCAGAGGCATCATGCCCTGTCCTCAGAGAGGTGCCCTGGGCATCAACCTGTCCCATCCTGGGTATTGCTGGCTCGTTAGCAAGAGAGAACCATCCCGGTGAGTGAATGGAACATTTTGGACCTCACTTGAAATGCCTGCCTAGCTCAACAAACGGAAGATCCCTGTGATCTGCCTTTGACATTCCCACCTCCCGCTGCATCCTTCCACACCCAGCTCTGGGTGCTCCGGGCAGTTCCCGAATTCCGAAATAGCCAATGTGTCCTCACATTTCCACATCTCTTAGCAAGACTTTTCCTTCCGCCTGGGTTCCTTCTCTCTGTTTCTTCCATCAAAATCTGTCTGTCCTTCAAAATTCATATCAAATGTCTTGCCCTTTAAGTCTCTGCAGATTTCCCTACAGAAAGGACGCACTCCCTCCTGGGCTTACACAGCCCTTGCTATCAAGGCTCTTGTTCTATTCTGCCGTTTACCACAGGGCTCCAGTGAAGCCTCACACAGCTCTGTGCTGCCGGATCATCCCGGATCCTTTTTTTTTTTTTTTTTTTTTGAGACAGAGTTTCACTCTTGTTTCCCAGGCTGGAGTGCAATGGTGCGATCTCGGCTCACCGCAATCTCCGCCTCCCGGGTTAAAGCGATTCTCCTGTCTCAGCCTCCCAAGTAGCCGGGATTACAGGCATGTGCCGCCATGCCCAGCTAATTTTGTATTTTTAGTAGAGACGGTGTTTCTCCATGTTTCTCTTTCTTCTTCAGGCTGGTCTCCAACTCCCAACCTCAGGTGATCCACCTACCTCAGCCTCCCAAAGTGCAGGGATTACAGGCGTGAGCCACTGCGCCTGGCCCATCCTGGATCATTTTACAGATGAGGAAGTCGAGGTGGAGAGGACTTCACCAATCTGCTCAAGTTCACCCAGTTATTAAGGGGGCTTAGGGAGCGGTGGGCTCAAACCCTCCAAAACCTTTTTTCTCCTTATACAACTCAATGAAAAGCCCTTTGCAGTACTGAGGAGGAGAAGGGTCTGAAGGATTACCCAGCAGAGAGGGGTCACCGTGGCCACAGCCAGATGCCTTTGTGGACAGAGTGGGTCACCTCCCCCAGCTCACTCACTGCAAAAAGTGGGCTGCACCTCCCTGACACAGCCCTGTGAACCTGTTTCGTTTAGAAATTACCACATTAACCATGCAAAAATGAAACCTTCTAAAATGGTGCCATGAATCTGTATTAACAAAATGTATTTATCCATCATCTATGACAAGATTCTCACCACCAAAAAGTCACATCACTTCATGTCTCATGCAGAAGGAAAGGCTTCTGCCAATCCTCAGGCCAAGTCCTGGCCTCAGCAACTTGCTTCTCATTCTTCCTGATATTAATGGTTAGTGCGCCCTGTTTCTTAAGAGAAAAGATGCCCTTTTAGGATGCAGCCTTGCTGTCCCTATTGTCTCTATTGTTTATGGGTGACTTGATCCATTGTGACAACTTCATGGTGCCCCCAAAGCTGTACATGACAGAAACTGGAAATTCCTCTTGCAAGGGGAGGAGCGGGGAGATGGAGTCAGGAAAAAGAAATCCTAGTTGTAAAAATTTTGTGCCAGAACAGTTTGTCTCTCTTTGTGTTCCCTGATGCCATAACCTAGCAGTTGCAGACAGAGGAGCGGTCCCATTTTTCCTTCCTTCCAACACCCCACTTACCACCCTCACTGTCTGCCACAGACTATTTTAACTCCATGCTGACCTTCAACCCAGTGCTACCCAGTGTAAAATATGCCCTTCACCAGATTGCCTATGGCCCGGAAAACTGTGGCAGGCAGAGCTGTAGGCACCTTGGAGATCACCCGTTGAGTGGCTCTTAAACTCTTTCGGTTCCAGACACCTTAAATAATTTGGTAAAAAATTATGCACTGACAACACCAAATGCTAGCAGGGATGTGGAACAAGAACTCGCATTCGTTGCTGGTGGGAATGCAAAAGAATGCAGCCACTTTGGAAGACTTTCAGTTTCCCATAAAAGTAAACATACTCTTACCATAGGATCCAGCAATCACACTCCTTAGTATTTACCCAAATGAGCTGAAAACTTATGTCCACACAAAAACCTGCACATGGATGTTTATAGCAACTTTCTTCATCATCGCCAAAACCTGGACTCAATCATGATGACTTTCAGTAGGTAAATGGAAAAATAAACTGGGGTATATCCAGACAATGGCATATTATTCAGCACTAAAAAGAAATGAACGATCAAGCCACCAAAGACATGGAGATTCCTCAAAGGCAAATTGCTTAGTGCAAGAAGCCAATCTGAAAAGGTTACATGCGATATGATTCCAACAATATGAACCCGGAAAAGGCAAAACTATGAAGGCAGTGAAAAAAATCAGTGGTTGCCAGGGGTTACAGGGAGGGAGGGATGAATAGGTGGAGCTCAGAGGATTTTAGGGAGCCCTGAAACTACTCTGTCTACTGTAATGGTGGATACATGTCATTACACATGTCCAAACCCGTAGAATGGGCAACTCCAAGAGTGAGCCCTAACATGAACTATGGCCTTTGGGTGATAATCATGTCAGTGTAGCTTCATCATAACAGATGCTCCACTCTGGGGAAGGATGCTCATCAAGCGGGAGGCTATGCATGTGGGAAGCAGGGGTTACGTGAAAGATCTCTGTGCCTTCTGCCCAATTTTGCTGTGAACCTAAGACTGTTCTAAAAAAATAAAATCTACTTTAAAAAAAAAAAAAAAAGAGCTCTGGCCCTCTCCCCAGAAAAATGCACAGGCACACAGGCTTTTACCTACAGTTTCAGGAGGTCCACAGACCTATGACGCTCCATGGTATTGAGACCCATGATCCAGTCCAAGAGTCCAAGACAAGCAGAAATGGCCAAAATCATGCAGCCAGACAAAGATGTAGGGCAAATGTTCAGATCCTGTGCTACCCATGGTGTTCCCCACATCCTCCCCCTCCCCTCATGCTAAATCAACATGATTATACATGAGGTCATTCATTAATGAGGAATAACATACATATCAAAATACACAACTCAATCAATGTTCATAAACCAAACACACCAACCAGGTCAACAGACAGACCACTCTGAGCACTCTCCCCATCCTCCTTATGCCCCCAACTGTCACCCACACCCACAGAGATAAACGTTATTCTGATTTCTATCACCATAAGTGGGTTTTTTCCTTGTTTTTTTGGATGGAGTTTCGCTCTTGTTGCCCAGGCTGGAGTTCAATGGCGCGATCTCGGCTCACCACAACCTCTGCCTCCCAGGGTCAAGCAATTCTCCTGCCTCAGCCTCCTGAGTAGCTGGGATTACAGGCATGCACCACCATGCCCAGCTAATTTTGTATTTCTAGTAGAGACGGGGTTTCTCAATGTTGGTCAGGCTGGTCTTGAACTCCCAACCTCAAGTGATTGCCCCCCTCGGCCTCCCAAAGTGCAGGGATTACAGGCGTGAGCCACTGTGTCCGGCCAGGTTTTGCTTCTTTTTGGACTTTATATAAGTAGACTCAAAGAGTATGTACCCATTTGTGTCTGAATCCTTTCACTCAAAATTGTTTGGCATTGGTGCCATGTTTTTTGTTTTGTGAGCCTATCAGTGCTTTACCAACACCCGCAGCTGTGACTGTCTTGCCATTTCAGACTTGGGAATGGCTATTGTCATTGCTGATTCTGTGAGAATGTGAAACTGGATAATATATAAAATGCAAAATAAAACAAAATCAAAATGAAAATAAAAATAAAAAACCAAAATTGTGTTTGGAAGTTTCATCCATATTGTTGTGTATAATTGTAATTACAATGTTCCCTAGTATGACTATGACCCAATTTAATTATTTACTTATGTTAATGGACATATGGGTTGTTTCCAGTTTGGGGCTGTTGCAAATAGTGTTGCTGTGATGTGTCTTTTGTTGAATAAATGTACATAATTATTCTGAGTATATGCCTGGTCACAGGGTATGAGTTACTTTTAAATTTATATGCAATAACAAAATATGTTTTCAAAGTAGATGTAGCAATTTACACTCCCACCAACAACCATTTTAGATAGGTGTTTATGGCTTAATATGCATTTTCTTGGTGATCACCGAGGTCAAGCACCTTTTCAATGTTTTTTGGTAATTTGTGTATCCTCTTTCGTAAAACATTTTATTCACATTTCTTTCCCAGTTTTTCTGTTGGGTTGTCTTTCTTCTTATTGGTTTGTAAAGAGTTCTTTGCTTCTTATTGGTTTGTAAAGAGTTCTTTGCATATTCTGGTCAGGAGCCCTTCGTCAGATTTATATATTGCAAATATCTTACATCATTCTGAGGCTTGCCTTCTTATCCCCTAATAGTATATTTTGGTGAACAAACATTTCTTAATTTTAATGTAGTTCAACTTACTAAGCTGAATAAGCTTATTTATGATTAATGCTTTTTGTGTCCTACTTTAGAAATTTTTGCCTAATGTTGAGTCATGAAGGTATTCTCTACATTTTCTTCCAGAAGCTTTACTGATTTATTTTCACATTTAGATCTATGATCCATCTGGAATTGCTTTTTGCATATGTTATGAGATAGAAGTCAGGTTTCATTTTTTTTCCATATGAATATTCAGTTGTTTAGGTACCACTCATTTAAAAGGCTAGTCTATCCCCAATGCACTGCACTGCCAATCATCTTTGACATAAATCAACTAACCTTGTATGTGTGGGTCTGTTTCTGGACTTTATTCTCTTCTGTTGGACTATTTGTTTATTCTTGTGCCAAACTATGCTCTCTTGATTATTGTAGCTATATAATAACTCTTATTATTTAGTAGCGTTAAGTCTTCTAACTTTGTTCTTCTTTAAGATTGTCTTAGTTATTTTACTCTTTGCATTTTCATATAAATATAAGAATCAAATTGTGAATTTCCATAAAAATCCTCCTGGAATTTGGATTGGAATTGCATTGAATCTACAGATTAATTTGAGAGAGATTTGATCTCTTTACAGTATTAAATTTTCTAATCAATGAACATGGTATATATTTCTATTATTTAGGTATTCTTTAATTTTGCTCAATAATAGTTTATACTTCTCACGTTGCTACAGCCTTACACATTTTTCATTAGATTAATTCCTAGATATTTGTTGTTGGTTGTTGTTTTCTTTTATTGTTTGGTGCTACTGGAAATGGTTACTTCATTATACTTTGTGATTTTGTTGTTGTTGCTGCTCTGAAGAGAACAATTGATTTTTATATGTAGACTTTGTATCCAGATCTTGCTAAACTGATTTATTAATTCTGAAAATTCACATTTTTGCATTTTCTCCATGCACATCATGTCATCTGTGAATAGATACAGTTTTATTTCTCTCTTTAATTATGGTGTGTGTTTTTGTCTTTTTCTTGACTTACTGCACTAGCCAGGACCATCAGTAAAATGTAGAAGTTGTGACAGCAGCCATCCTTGTCTCACATGTAACTTCAGAGAGAAAACTTTGGATATTTCACCATTAAATATGATATTTTGCAATAGAATTTTTGTCCAATTTAGGAAATTCTTTTTTATTGCCACTCTTAGTTTCTACTTTTTATCAAGTGCTTTTATTGCATTTCTCTAGATGATCATTAGTTTTTCTCCTAAATTATTCTGTTAATGTGGTGAATTATAGTAATCAATTTTTTTTTTTTTTTTTTGAGATGGAGTCTCACTCTGTTGCCCAGGCTGGAGCGCAGTAGTGCGATCTCGGCTCATTGCAAGCTCCGCCTCCTGGGTTCACACCATTCTCCTGCCTCAGCCTCCCGAGTAGCTGGGACTACAGGCACCCACCACCACGCCCAGCTAATTTTTTGTATTTTTAGTAGAGATGGGGTTTCACCATGTTAGCCAGGATGGTCTCAATCTCCTGACCTCGTGATCCACCCGCCTCGGCCTCCCAAAGTGCTGGGATTACAGGCGTGAGCCACCGCGCCCAGCCAGTAATCAATTTTTGAATGTTACACTAAATTTACGTTTCTGAAAAAACCCAACATGCTATGATATATTTTCTTTGACATATAACTTGTATTCAATTTAAAGTATTTTATTTAAGATTTTTGTTATGTTTATAAGAGAAATTTGTCCACAATTTTCCTTTCTCATAATGTCTTTATCAAGTTTTTATAAGATTATGTTAGCCCCATAAAGCAAATTGGGAAGGGACCCTTCTTTTTCTACTTTTCGGTAGAATTAGTTGGTTGTTTATTTCTTAAATGTTTCAAATAATTAACCAGTGAAACCATCTGAATCTGACGCTTTCTTTGTGAGAAAGATTCAGTGACAGAATAAGATTTTTGGTAAGTTTTTTGATAGGCATAGAACTATTCAGATTTTCTATTTCTTGAGTCCATTGTAGTAAGTGTTGCTTTTCTAACATTTTGTCTGTCTATCCTGGTTTTCAAATGCATTAGAATAAAGTTGTAGTATCATCTTTTAATATCTGTAGAATCCATAATTATATCAGTTTTTCAATCCAGATTTTGGTTCTCTGTCTCTCTCTTTCTTTCTCTCTCCCTCCTTCTTACCATCTCTCAACTTCTAGAAGTTTGTTGGTTTTATTAGTCTTTTCAAAGAACCAGCATAAATTATTAATTTATTTATATTATGTGTTGATTCTAGCTTATTAACTTCTGCCTTTGTCTTTTTTATTTCTTCTTTCTACTTTCTTTAGATTTTGTTTGCTATTTTTTTTTAATTTATTGACATGGAGATTTAGACCATTATTTTCAGCCTTTCTTCCTTTCTTATTTATTTTAAAATTATAAATTTCCCTCTAAGCAGAGTTTTAGGTGCATCTTTTTTTATTTTTATTTTATTTTTTTGTTTGAGACAGGGACTCACTCTGTCACCCAGGATGGAGTGTGCAGTGACGCAATCATGGCTCACTGCAACCTCAGCCTCCCAGGGTCAAGCAAACCTCCCATCTCAGCCTCCCAAGTTGCTAGGACTACAGGTGTGCACCACTATGCCCAGCTAATTTTTAAAAATTTTTATAGAGCCACAGTCTCCCTGTGTTGCCCAGGCTGATCTTGAACTCCTGGACTCAAGCACTCCTCCCACCTCGGCCTCCCAAAGTGCTGGGATTACAGGCATAAGCCACCATGCCCAGCCACATCCCACTTTTTTGATATGTTATATTTTCATTTTCCTTGAGTTAAAAATATTTTATAATTTCTGCTGAGATTATTTTTTACCTATGAGTTAATGGGAAGCATATTGCTTAATTTCTAAATATTTGGAGAATTTCTAATTAAGTTTTTAAAAATTGGTTTCTAGGCCAGGCATGGTGGCTCATGACTGTAATCCC
This sequence comes from Homo sapiens, assembly GCF_000001405.40. Taxonomy (NCBI): domain Eukaryota; kingdom Metazoa; phylum Chordata; class Mammalia; order Primates; family Hominidae; genus Homo; species Homo sapiens. The sequence goes on along the minus strand of NC_000010.11, from coordinate 125,240,648 downwards.
AGCACTTTGGGGGGCTGAGGCAGGAAGATCACCTGAGGCCAGGAGTTCAAGACCAGCCTGGCCAACATGGCAAAACCCTGTCTCTACTAAATATACAAAAATTAGCCAGGTGTGGTGCCATCCTATAGTCCCAGCACTTTGGGAGGCTGAGGCAGGAAGATCACTTGAGGCCAAGAGTTCAAGACCAGCCTGACCAATATGGTGAAACCCTATCTCTACTAAAAAATACAGAAATTAGCCAGGTGTGGTGGCATGCCTGTAGTCCCAGCTACTTGGGAGGCTGAGGCAGGAAAATCACTTGAACCCAGGAGACAGAGGCTGCAGTGAGCCAAGATCATGCCACTGCACTTCAGCCTGGGTGTCAGAGTGAGACTCTGTATCAGAAAAAATAATTTAATTAATAAATATAAAAATTGGTTTCTAGTTTAATTCCACTGTGGTCAGAGATTATCCTCTGAATACTCTGAAACTTATTTAGACTTACCTTATGATCTATCACATGGTCAATGATAAATGTTGGTAAATATTCCATGTAGTCTTGAAAAGAGTGTTTAATCTGTCATTTTTGGGTAAAATGTTCTATGTCAATTAGGGTCAAGTTTGTTCATTGTGTTGTTCCAAAATTCATTTTTCTTACTGAAGTTCAGCTGTATGTTCTAACAATTACTGAGAGAGGTCTATTAAAGCCTGCCACTATAATTGTAGAACTGTCTATTTCTTATTTTATCAGTATTTGCTGTGAAGCTATATTATTATGTTTCTTGATGAATCGGCTTTTTTATCACTATGAAATGTCTCTGTTTATCTCTGGTAATGCTCTCATCGTAAAGTCTGTTTTGTCTTGTATTAGTAAACCTACAAAATCTTTAACTTGGTTGGTTTTTCAGGATATATTTTTTCCTGTTGCTTTACTTTAAACCTTTCTGCATGCTATATTGAATTTGTGTCTCTTATCGTATAGTTGAATCATATAGTTGGGCTTTATTCTGTAATCTATTCTGACAATATTTGTATTTTAATTGAATCCATCAATTTACACTTAATTTTATTTACATTTAATGTACTGACTAAGATATGTATTCAAATCTATTGTTTTCATATTGTTTTCTATTTAGTTTTTTTTCTTTGTCATGCCCATTTTGCCTTCTTATGGATTAATCAAGTGTTTTGTGTTACTCTTATTTTCTGTCTATTAACTTGTGAATTATACGTTATTTTAGTACTCTTTAAGTTGTCACTGGATTACAACATGTCTCCTTGACTTATTTGAGTATAATTTAAATTAGTGCTCTTATCATTTCCTAAACAATTTGAGGAATTCAGAGCCCTTTAAGTCCATTTGCATCATTTTCTCCTTTCTCTTGTGTTACTGTTGTCACACATCTTAATTCTATATATATTTCAAAGCCTGAAAGACAGTATCGTGTTGTTTTGTGCAGTCAATGTACTTTTACCCAGAGGCTTACACTTTTCTTTGCTCTTCATTTCTTTCCATATTTTTCTAATTCCATCTGGGATCATTTTCTTTCTATGGGAAGAAATTCCTTTAATATTTCTTTTAGTGCCAGTGTCTTGACAACTAACTTTCTGGTTTTATTTGACAGGAAATGTTTGTATTCACTGTTACTTTTGAAAGATATTCTTTCTGTGTATAGAATTCTGAGTTGATAAGTTTCTTTTCTTTCAGCATTTTAAAGTTGTTATTCCATTGTTTCCTGGCTTCCATCATTCCTGCCAAGAAGTCCATTGTAAGTCTTATCACTGCTCCTTTAAAGGTGCCCTGCTGGCTGCTTTTAATATTTTTTCTCTGTCTTTAGTTTTAGGCAGTTTCACTATGACATGACTAGGATAGTTTTCTCAATATTCATACTGGCTAGAGTTTGTAGGTCTTCTTGAATTTGTGATCTGATGTATTACGTCAGTTTTTGAACATTCAAAAACCCTTCAAATGTTATTACTGATCACTCTCTGTTATGGTTTGGCTCTGTGTCCCCACCCAAATCTCATCTGGAATTGTAATCCCCACATGTTGAGAGAGTGGTCTGGTGGGAGGAGGTTGAATCATGGGGATGTACTTCCCCCTTGCTATTCTCATGGTAGAATTCTCACGAGATCTGGTTGTTTGATAGGTGTGTGGCTCTTCCCCCTTTGCTTGCTCTCCCTCTCTCCACTTGCTTCCCCTTTGCCTTCTGCCATGATTGTAAGTTTCCTGAGGCCTCGTAACCATGCTTCCTGTTAAGCCTGTGGAACTGTGAGTCAATTAAATCTCTGTTCTTTATAAATTATCCAGTCTCAGGTAGTTCTTTATAGCAGTGTGAAAATGGACTAATCCACTCTCCCTCTCCTCTCCTTTAATTACACATAAGTTTGACCTTTTCATCACCATTTCCTTTATTTCTCTCATGTTTTTTCTTTATAATTTTCACCCTGTTTGCTCTTCAAGATTTAGTCTGAATATTTCTTACTAATCTGTCTTCCAGGTGACTAATCCTCTCTTTAGTGTGTAAAATTTGCTAGTAAACATATTACATTTTAAATTTGTGTTATTGGCTTTTTCAGTTTTATACTTTTTATTTGGTTCTTTTTATAAATTTCAGTTCTCTGAAGAAATTTTCCATCTTATCTTTTTTTTAATATATCGATTACAGTTAATTTAAAGGTCCATGTATAAAAAGTGCAACATCTGATTTACCTATGGGTCTGTTTCTATCTTCCGATTTTTTTTTCCCCTCTTTTGATACTGTTTTTTGGTATGCCTAGAATTTTTGTTGTTTTTTTTGTTTGTTTTTTTGTTTTTTTGGTTTTTTTTTTTGAGACAGAGTCTCACTCTGTTCAACCCAGGTTGGAGTGCAGTGACGTGATCTCAGCTCACTGCAACGTCCGCTTCCTGGATTCAAGTGATTCTCCTGTCTCAGCCTCCCAAGTAGTGGGGATTACAGGCACCTGCCACCAAGCCTGGCTAATTTTTGTATTTTCAGTGGAGGTGGGGTTTCACCATTTTGGCCAGGCTGGTCTCGAACTACTGACCTCAAGTGATCTGCCCGCCTTGGCCTCCCAAAGTGCGGGGATTACAGGCATGAGCCACTGCACCCAGCCTGGTATTCCTAGAATGTTTAATTGGGAGCCAGATATGGTATATGAAAAATGGAGAAGGTCAGGATAATGATGTCTTCCTCCAAAGAAGCTTCAACTCTATCATCTTTCAGAAAGCTAGAGTAAGAGCAGATGGCTTCCAATCCAGTCAGTGACATTGTTGACCTGAGTCTGAGTAACAGTCTTTCTAAAGCTCTAGTTCACAACATCTACAGGTGTAACCCTCTAGGTGTCCAATTCAGAACCTTACTTACTGGGAGTACTTACTAGGAGTAAGTCAGCTTGGAGTACTTACTAGGGCCCCTCCTCCTAGGCAGCTCCTGAATTCAAATATTTATCTCTCCAGCACCATGAAACTGCCAATAACTTACTGTTTTCTCAGCCACTTTTTTCTTGGATTCCTAGCCTCTTGCCCTGTGCAACTGTGACTTGGTAAACACCTAAACGTGAAAAACATCACATACTGGGTTCACTTCCTTTCACTTCCCTTCTTTCCATGATTCTGACTGTCTATGTTCTGGTTTACCTAAGTAGCCCCAATCTCCAATTTTGTTTCCCTAGCCCTGCAAGATTATAAAAATTCGACTGGCTTCTCTGCCTCTTAGCAAGGACCTTTTACCAGACTTTTCAGCCTCTTGTCACAAGCAAACGTCAATAAATCACCCCAAAGTAAAAGCAGCATATAGAATGTTGAGCTAAACTCAACGGCGCCTTCACACTCCAAGATGTTTGTCTCTCAAATCTTGGCTATCATGGCAGATCTGCAATGCTTTCAAACAGATGTTTTTGGTTTGGGATTTTTATCTAATTTTGTATGGATTTTCTAGTTGTTCTCAGTGGGACCGTTGGTCTAATATAAGCTTCTCTGTCATACACAAAAGGCAAAAATCTCATTAAGTTTTATTTCAGCATGGAATTCAGGATCCAAACAACATAACCCCAACTATTCTTACTAATTTTACCTCCTGCCTTCTCCCTACGTGGGCTATGGACTTTGCTTTTTCTCCTCTCAGCATTCGCTCCTACTGTTTCTTTACCAGAAATGTCATCGCCTGCCAATCCCACCTGTCATTTTCCAAGACTCATCAAAAATATCACTTTTTCTGTGACTCCTGTCTTCATCCTACCTGCAGAATGTGATCCTTTCCCTCCCTGACCACCCAGCACTGATCTGCCACTGCCTTGTCTTTGAGACATTGTGTTCCTGTCCTGTAACACTAAGCTTGGACTTAGATCATTCACATAGGCTTGAGGGCAACATTACCTCATTCAGATCTATGAATCAACTTGAAATTTAATATATCTGTAGTAGTCAGGAATCTTGGATTTAAGGGGCAGAAACTTAAATCAAATTGGCTTAAGCAAAACAGAAAGGAATATAATGGCTCGAATAACTGAAAACTCCAGATATAGCTCTACTTCAGGCACACCTGGATCCAAGAGCTCAAATTATATCTATAAAAACCTGTATTTCTATATCTTTCTGTTTTGCTTTCTCTCATGTTGACTTTATTCTCTAAAAACACTTCCCAAACAGAGCAGCACTCCCCAGCAAGGGTTTCCGAGCTGCACCACGCCATAGCCTCCCAATCATTAACATCAGAGGAAAAGAAAGAACACTTTCCAGCAAGTGCTCAAGCAAAAGTTCTGAGATGCATTCTGATTGGATGAACTTGATCACATGCCCATCCTAGATCAATCACAGTGATCAGGGAGATGATATACTTTACTTGCATGTCCCAGGTGAGGTTGGATTATCAACGCCATTCAAACCAGGAGGATTAAGAATGGAGAAATGGTGTTCTTCTGAGAAAATTTAGGGACCTATTATCAGAAAACAGTGATGGCTGCATGCTGACAAGGCAGAAACCACATTCTTTCATTGGGGTGACAGCCTATCAGGAAGGATATTATCTAATCCATTTCATGAATTACTCCTGGAGACCCAGCTGTTCTAATGAATTGAAAAAACAACAGCCTTGTGGCTCACTTTCCAATGCTGGCATCCCACAGAATTCCACCCAACGCAAATCTGATACTCTGCAATCTGTCTTACTGATAAAGCTTCTGAAACCTTCTGTGACCATGATTCCTTTCACAATGCAACTACACCAGCTCTTTGCAACAACCACTTTTCCTACTCTTCTTCTGAATTCATTACCCTACCTTGACTGAATCACCCTCAACAGATGAAGAATCTTGGCTGTCAGTTCCTCCCTAGTGAGGATTACCTGTGGTTTGGGGAGGAGTTGGCAGCTTCCTCCCCAGGGAGCTGTTCCCTTTGTCACTTATGGTTTCTGCTCCTGGGGTGGGGGCTGATGCCAACACTCACCGATGGGAAAGAGGCTCAGTTACTGCCCTCCAAGGTGTTGGTGACCCTGCCTCTTCTGCAGGCTGCTAGTTTCTTTCCGGAGTGATATCCAGCAGCCAGCCTACTGTAGACAACACAGTTTCAGCCCTTCTTGCTGAGAAGATGTTCTACTTGAATGCTGCAACAAGTGCAGCAGATGTCTTAAAGTACTCTGCATGTTTTGCCAGGGAAAATGCTATTTTTAAGAGGAATAGACGGTCATGTCAATGTGCATAACCTTTGATACAGCACCCCTGTTTCTAAGAATTTATCTTAAGGAAATTATTATAGACACACAAAGATACATGCAGAAGGATGTTCACTGAAGCACTGTTCTTAATAGCAAAAAGTTTAAAAAGGAAAGGGCCTAAATTTTCATCAATATCAAAAAGACCACAGAAATGGTGATCTCAGCTGAGTCATGGGCCCTTTTGCAACCATTGAAAACCATGTGCTTAGGCTGGGCATGGTGGTTCATGCCTGGAATCCCAGCACTTTGGGAGGCCGAGGTGGGCGGATCACTTGAGGTCAGAAGTTCGAAACCAGCCTGGCCAACATGGTGAAACCCTATCTCTACTAAAAATACAAAAATTAGACGGGCTTGGTGCTGGGTTTCTGTAATCTCAGCTACTCAGGAGGCTGAAGAAGGAGAATTGCTTGAACCTGGCAGGCTGAGGTTGCAGTGAGCCGAGATCGCACCACTGCATTCCAGCCTGGGTGACAGAGCAAGACTCCATCTCAAAAAAAAAAAAAAAAAAAAAGCTAAAATATTCACTAACTTGGAAAAAGTGGTATAAAGTGTTCAAAGTACAGTAAGAGAGAAAAAAGGCTAAAAATTAGTATATCCAGCTTATATTTTTTAAAAAGATTAATCTTGATGTACAAATTCACCTAGAAGCAGTTCTAAGAAGATACACACCAAAACACTAGCTGCGGTTATTGCTGGGTAGTATAATAACAGTTGATTTTTGGCTTTTGTGTATGAAGAACCATCATCTCATTTCCTTCTGAGTGAGATGGGAAAACTTCTACACCCTTCCAAATAGCCTCATCCACATCAGCATCAGACCACAAACACAACATCTGTTTTAAAGAAATTTGCTTCTGTTAACTGGGCTCCAAAGAACAATTGCAATTTTTTTAAAGCATGAGTATTAGCCCCGAACATGGTTTTATTGGTGGCAAAAAAAAAATTTTTTTAATGCTATAATGCTGGGAAGGGACCAACTTTCAAGACCAGAAGCAGGCTTCTGAGGCCAAGAGTCCCAGCTTGAACATAAAAGCCAGAGACAGGCCTCCCGTTGGGCTGGTATTTGAGGCAGCTCCTCTTCAACTGCTGGGCTGCTGGGAGATTTCTCTCCCATTTCCGAAACTCTGAAATGATGTTCCATTATCTCTATAATACATTTTCAAAGGACAAAATACGTGACAAAGATGAGGCTCCAAAGGTCCCTTCCAAACCCAAGGTCTGCTCAGAGATGGTGCAAATCGAACAGAAAGTTTGGCCAGAAAACAAAAGGAGGTGAAGAAGGAATCCGGGTCTTCAGGTGGCTTTATGCTGTAACCCACAGGTGATAAAGGCACCAGGCAAAGATTTTGTTCGCATTTAAATATGTGATTTTCGCTCTCCCTGGATCCCTTTATTGTTTGTTTTTCCTGCTTCTTGCTACATCTTAAATTTGAACATTATTTTAAGCAAAGTTGTTGTATGTTAATTTACTTTACCAAATACACAACCATCTCCAGGGCTGACATGATAGATGGAAACTGCAGTGGCTATTGGCCCCAAAGGCAGTCATTTGTGTTTTGAAATTCCTTAATTATATATGTACACAGCGCCTCTAATAGCCCCTGCAGAGGCACCAGGCCCGGCCGGAGTCCCTAAACACTGTCACACAAGCAGGAATAAAAACTTACAAAGGAAGAGTTTTAAATCAGTGGTGGGAATAAATCATGTTTTTAAAAATCTGTAATGTCAAATATAAGACATTCTAATCACCACATCTATAATTACAAAGCAGAGTAAATCACTAAAAAAATTAAGTGTCCTCAATATGATAAAGAAGAATAATTAACTTCTAACGCAAAGCTGGCATCCTGATGCTGGATGACTCAGGCTAACCCTTAGGAAGTAAGGATGACAAAGGAAATCAACTTTCAAAGCAGTGAGGAGACTGCCGATGGCTTCAGGAGGGGCTTGTGTCTTACTATTATACACAGCAAGACAAACAAATGAGCCACTGAAATGATCACGCATATGCAAGGGCCTCTGTGTAAATACCCAAACTTTGAAAATAAAAAAGCCTTTCTGTTTTACAGTGTACACGCTTGATGAAGAAGTAGCATGTACGTCTCTTTGCATGCACAAAGCATTTCCACAGAGCGCTATTGGTGTGGGCTCATGAAGCCCAGAGGCCCAGCTGGGCATACAGCATCATCCAAATTTTACAGAAGAGGAAACCAAAACTCAGTTGGTGCCTGGTCTATGGCTCCATGGTCAGAAGTAACAGAGCTAGGACCAGAAATCCAGTCCTCTGAGCTGTTATCCTGCAGTGCAAGGGCCTTCAATGCAAAGGATAGAAAAGAAGCCATGTGGAGGTCACCTGCGCCATGGGGCATTGGCCCAGGTAGGATGCAGGCAGGGAGGCCCACAGGGCTGGCACCAGAAACACTGGCCAGCCACCACTGGAATGGCCCAGTGAGAAGAAGCGGACACCATCTGGAGCCCAAGTCCCTACTCCTGCTGGTGGTCCCAACTCTCTTCTAGGGAGATGGCAGCAGCAACCTGGAAACAGATCCCAGGCTTGCCATTGTCCCCTAGGACACCTTGGGCAGCATGCTTAATGTTTCTACAAACAATAGTGTCCCCTTCTTGGCAGGCAGGCTAATACCTGCCCTGTGTAATTCACAGGATTGTTGTGAGGATAAAAACGAGGAAATTCACGCCTAGCACGTAAGCCAAGAGGAACTGCTGGTTTCATCGGAAGAGAAATGGCAAGTAATGAATTAAGCATATGAAAGTGCCTGTGAACTGTGAAGTGTTCACACATATGAGGGCTGTTATTATTATTCCTCTAACAAACAGTATTGAGAAGACAGCACAGCACTGGACTAGGTTCTCTAGGGGATGCCAAGTGTTGGGTGAGATGAATTCCCCATCCTTAGGGAGCTTGGGCTCTAGAAAAGCTTCAAAAAATTAAATGAAAATGGCCTTACCCACGTGAGAGTCAACAGCGGCAGAAACCGCAACCCCAAGCTCTTTGTGAGGGCTACAGGAAAATATCTGAAAGGGCTTCGGAAGCGCAGGGAGAGGTCCCAAGAGCTGAGGGTTTTTGCAAGGAGGCAGCACCTCAGAGGTCATCCAGGGTCTCAAGGGTGGTCCAGGAACCAGCAGCATCAGCAGCGCCCGGAGCAGGCCAGCCGTGCAGAATGTCAGGCCCCGCCTCAGACCTGCTGAGTCAGAATCTGCAACGTAACCAGATCCATGGTGATTCATGTCCACATTCCAGCTTGAGAAGCCCTGGGCTAGTGGATCCCAATTGCTTGAATTCCAGACTGGCTGACCCACCCAGCCTGGTGGAGGAGCTGCCCTGGGAAATCCACCCCACTCGACAGCCTCCCCATGAGGCCCCTGCCCGGAAGGGCTCAGCAACTCTGAAGCAGCCGCTCTGCCATGTGGGGTTCTATCCTATGCATTTGATTCAAGGCTTATATCTGAAGGCTCCATTCTCTGGCCACAGCATCTTAATATTAATAGGCCTCTCCCTAGCAGCAGTTACAGGGACCTCTGCAACCCTGGCTTCAGCTCCTTCAGAGGCTGAATGCCCGGTCATTGCACGGGGGTTTCCCATGGTCTCCCAAAGTAAGTTTTGTATCAGCTACATGGCTTATATGCTAAGTCAGACCAACCCAAACACACCCTTCAGGTTTGGTGAGCAACCACCCGGCTGTTCTTGCATGATGCAGTAACCAGCAGAAACGCCATTTTATCTATGGGCAGGAGGACCCTGCCACTCCAACAGTCAGTGACCCATTCAAAACCTGCACTCTTTAGTGACAGAGCTGGGGCTGCGATCCTGGTGACTGCTGCCCATCAGCACCCTCTGCCTCCCTTTGCTTCATAGTAAGATGTAACGTCTACCACAGCACGGTGAGAGGGTGGAGCGCCTTCTGTCCACATGGGCTCCGGCAGCCTGGCAGCTATGGCTGGGATGTCTAGGAGCAGCCTGCAGGGAAAATGGGCTCCAAGAACATGCTTTGAAATAACTAAAGGGGGCCAGGCATGGTGGCTCACACCTGTATTTGGGAGGCCGAGGTGGGTGGATCGCCTGAGGTCAGGAGTTTGAGACCACCCTGGCCAACATGGTGAAAACCCGTCTCTACTAAAAATACAAAAATTAGCTGGGCATGGTGGCAGGCACCTGTAATCCCAGCTACCCAGGAGGTTGAGGCAGGAGAATCGCTTGAACCCAGGAGGCAGAAGTTGCAGTGAGCTGAGATCATGCCACTGCACTCCAGGCTGAGCAACAGAGTGAGACCCTGTCTCAAAAAACATTTTTAAAAATAAAATAACTAAAGTGACCACGATTAGACCTCACACCCATGAGGATGGCTGTTATTTAAAAAGAAGAAAAAGAGAAAGAAAACAGCCAGTGTTGAGAAGGATGTGGAGAAACTGGAACCCATGTGCATTGTTGATGCGAATGTAAAATGGAACAGCTGCTGTGGAAATCAGAATGGCAGTTCCTCAAAAAAAATAAACATGGAATTACCATATGATCCAGCAACTCCACTTCTGGCTATAGACTCAAGGAAACTGAAAACAGTCTTGAAGAGGCATTTGTACACCCATGTTCACAGCAGTATTATTCACAATAGCCTAAAGATGGAAACAACCCAGACATCCACATGTGGATGAATGGATAAAGAAAATGAGGTACATACATACAGTAGAATAGTATTCAGCCATAAAAAGGGAGGAAATTCTAGCACATGCTACAACATGGATGAACCTGGAGGGCATTATACTAAGTGGAATAAGCCCATTACAAAAGGACAAATACTGCATGATTCCATTTATATGAGGTCTCTAGAGCAGTCAAATTCATAAAGACAGGACATAGAATGGTGATTGGCTGGGCTGGGAGCAGGAGGGAATGAGAAGTGAGGGTTTAATGGGGACAGAGTTTCCGCTTTGCAAGATGAAAAGGGTTCTGGAGATGGATGATGGTGATGGTTGCTGCGAATACACTTAGTACTACTGAACCACACGCTTTAAAATGATTAAAATGGTCAAATGTTAGGTTTTGTAAATTTTTTAAGACTTCATGCAATTTTTTAAAATCTGAAAAATGGTGTTCAGAGTCTCACTTGTCATCCTGTCCACATGTGCTTTGAGCCAACAGCAGCAGGTAAGAAGTGTCCATGCTGTGTGGAAGACAGTCAACTGATTTAGGAGTTGGGAAAGTTCAAGTCCAGACTCATCTCCCTTTGATGCCTCCATGAATTTGGATGAGACCACCTGCCTGCCTTTTGGAGCCTCATTTCAATTGCAGCCGAAAGCATTTGACAATCCCTATTGTCCCTGCCAGATTTCCAGTATCTGATGCTTCTCCCCAGAGCTCAGTGGTTCCCGCATTAGTTTGCACGGAAAGCTTGTTACATATTCAGATTCCTGGGTCCCAATCCCAGAGATACCGATTCAATCAGGGTCTGGAAATCTGCCATGCAACAAGCAGCCCAGGTGATTCTGACGCAAGGATTCCTCAGAACACCTTAGGAAACACTGCAGTGGGTCACTCCTGGGCTGTTTTACTGTTATTGTACAGTTTGCTGGGGGGAAAAAAATGCAGCCATTTACTAGCTGTTTGACCTTAGGTAAGTTACCAAATCTCTCTGTTCCCCTAGTTTCTTATTTTGCAAATGGGAATTACAACAGCACTGATTTCATAGATTTGTTGTGAGACTTCAATAAAATAAGTAAGTTCAAGGAAATAAAGTGCTTGGAACACTGTCATAGGGTGAGTCCCATGAAACAGACTGGGAGACTCTGAGATTTGCAGGCAGGAGGCTTACTTGGAGTGCCCTCGGGGGTCGGTGCCTATATGAGCTGGGGGTTGGACTGTAGAGGAACCTGAACAGTGATAAAATTGCTACAATGGTCTCAGATGAGCCCCTGTGAAGGTCTGGGGCTCTGATGATCCTTCAGCCAAACTGAGGTCTTTCTGCCTCTCCACTTATGGCCCAGTCATTGGGTGCAGCTACAGCTGGGGAGTCCTGGGAAATTTTCAGACAGGAGTGAGCTGGGAGCCTCAGCTGGCAATTTCCCTGGCTTGCTGTTAAGGGTCTCTGGGCAGCACCTCCCAGCATCCACTACCCTGTGCCTGCAGGTAGCGGGCACTGAGGAGACACCCATGCCTCCCCTGACTCCCCACTGCTTCCCACTGCCCGCGACGTCACCTTCCTGTGCACGTTACCCCACTGCTTCCCACTGCCCGCGATGACACCTTCCTGTGCACGTTACCCCTTCCTGTGCACGTTACCCCTTCCTGTGCACGTTACCCCACTGCTTCCCACTGCCCGCGACGTCACCTTCCTGTGCACGTTACCCCACTGCTTCCCACTGCCCGCGATGACACCTTCCTGTGCACGTTACCCCTTCCTGTGCACGTTACCCCTTCCTGTGCACGTTACCCCACTGTTTCCCACTGCCCGCGACGTCACTTTCCTGTGCACGTTACCCCTTCCTGTGCACGTTACCCCACTGCTTCCCACTGCCCGGGACGTCACCTTCCTGTGCACGTTACCCCTTCCTGTGCACGTCACCCCACTGCTTCCCACTGCCCGCGACGTCACCTTCCTGTGCACGTTACCCCTTCCTGTGCACGTCACCCCACTGCTTCCCACTGCCCGCGACGTCACCTTCCTGTGCACGTTACCCCTTCCTGTGCACGTCACCCCACTGCTTCCCACTGCCCGGGACGTCACCTTCCTGTGCACGTTACCCCTTCCTGTGCACGTTACCCCACTGCTTCCCACTGCCCGCGACGTCACCTTCCTGTGCACGTTACCCCTTCCTGTGCACGTCACCCCACTGCTTCCCACTGCCCGCGACGTCACCTTCCTGTGCACGTTACCCCTTCCTGTGCACGTCACCCCACTGCTTCCCACTGCCCGGGACGTCACCTTCCTGTGCACGTTACCCCTTCCTGTGCACGTTACCCCTTCCTGTGCACGTTACCCCACTGCTTCCCACTGCCCAGGACGTAACCTTTCTGTGCACGTTACCCCTTCCTGTGCACGTTACCCCACTGCTTGCGGTGACCTGGAGAGAGAAAGAAAGATGACCCCTTCCTGAGGCCCGTTAGTGCAGACACACCTCAGAGTCCTGAGCAGGTCAAGGCCTGCCCCCAGGAGGTGAACCTGTTGTCCCTACCTGGTGACGGATGGCTACGGCCTTAGCGTGCATACGGCCAGGTGTTCACTCCCTGCTGAACTCACTCAGTCCTCTTCCCACTTCCTCGCTGCAGTTATTCCCCGTCGTACACAAGAGAACACTGTGGCTTCGAGAGGGCCAGGGCCTTGGCCAAGCCCACAAAGGTCGAACATGGTGGAACTGCAATTTAAGCTCAGGGAGTCTGGGCCTCAGGGACGTGAGTTTAACCACAGGAGCCTACAGGGTATGTGTGGATTGGAGTGGATGTTGGTGTGGAGACAAGAAGAGGAGGTGGGACCCCCCACCGCCCCCCGGGGCCATCCTCCTGAGAGCTGGGGCTGCCCCCAGGGTTTGCTCTGCAGACACACCTGGGAGGCATCAGCACGTTATGCTTTCTCGCCAAAGAACTTAAAATGGAGACCTGGCTTCCGCTGAGTTTCCTCTCTGCCCCATTTCCCGGGGTAGCCCAGGACATCACCTCCCTCTCTGGCCTCAGCAGCAGTGAGGGTCACACAGCATGGTCTCTCTGGCAGCGTCCCCAGGCCAGCGTCAAGAAGTGGCAGTGCCTCCAAGACAAAGCCCACAAAGGACTGTGCCCAGGACTCTGCCCCATCAGCACGGCTCCCTTACCAGCCCTCAGCCAGCCTGTGCTGCGGACTCCGGCGCCCAAGAAAAGCCGAAGGCTCCCTTGGGCCTGCCAGGGCTCACCTCCAGTTCTGGGCCGCCGGATTCCTGCCCCGCCTTTGCTCAGCGCCTGACCCCTGACCCTTACAGACCACCATCCGCAGTTTCCCTTCCACCTTACAATGATGGGGCGCCCTGGGCCAGGGCTACCGCACCTCACCCCGCCCCATCCAGACTCCCAGAAGGCATGGCCCCAGGACCCACTGGGCCAGGAGAAGTAGCTGGGTACACAGCATTTAGGAGCAAGATCCAAGTTTGCTCTGATCCAAAAAGTCCAAAAAATAACTTCCAGGTTACTTGTCAATCTACTCCTCTGGTGTGGGATTTGCTTTCTGCCAGCATCTTTCCATTCCCAGAACCTGGGAGAAAACACTGACCTCTTTAGGAAGTTGGGCTCTCCCCTCACCACTGCCACCCAACTTTACAACCTTGGCCAACATCTCTGGTTGCTGCTGCTGAGAGAGGTCAAGGCCAAGGTCATACTCTAGTTGGTACATAAGCCAAGATCCACTTGAGGCCCGACTTCAGAGTGGACATTTCCCACCTTGAGTGTGCGCTGACCTTTCTAGAATGCAAGGCGGTGCAGGTAGGGCCTGTGCCTGTTGCTCTTCCACTCCCTCACATGCCCCTTGCCTAGCCGGCCAAGGAGGCTGTGCAGCCCGAGGCTCTCAAAGGCCTCTACCAAGGCCTTCTCTTCCTTCCCACCCAAGCTTCCGGCAGCCTGGCTCCAGTCTGACCCAAACCCAGATCACTGGCCAAGCAGGCAGAAGGTGCTGATCAAAAGGGCCCTCAAAGCTCATTTTATCTAATTGTGAGTCTTCACAGAGAAAGGGCTGAAAAGGGAGCTGACGTGAACAGTAAATCATGTCTGCAGAAAGAGGAGAAGCTTCCCTTGGAAATTAAGGAACGACTGTCGACAGGCCGGACCATCAGAACGCCAGCTGCCTAATGAAGCAATAAAGGCCTTTGTCCCCCCACTTCTCGCTGCTCTGCTCTTACATGTACAATTATTACAAAAATCAAAGAGAGGAATGTTGCCTTGAGATATGATTTCCATATTGGTATGGATTGTATTATACAAGCAGTACAATACGCTCCATTATCATTTTGATTATATGCGCCTTTCGTTTGCACTATTGGACCATTATCTGCCATACATTCATTACATTATAAGAAACTGGAACTATATCCTTGCAATGAATTGTAAAAAAGGATTTCTATTTTTTGCAGATTGATATTTCAGGGGAGAACATTAAACAGCAAACATTATTTGTAAAGTTTTTTTTTTAACATAAACTCTTAAAAGAAGGAAATAACCCTGATATTTCTAACAGACAGAAAGCCCCAGGCTAGATGCAATAAATGATTGCAATTTAGAATGCATGTACTATTAGGGATTCCTGATTAAATTGTAAGTTCCTTGAGAGAAAGAAGTCAAATAGATGAGGCTGGGGAAGCAGGCTGCTGGTTGGGAGAGAACAGATCCAGTCCGTGGTGAACAGCAAGACGTGGCTTAACTGGCCTCCAGGCTGCAAGGCTAGGTTCACAGGGAGCAAGGGAAGTTTCCAGGGAAGAGGAGTAGTTGTCTAAGAGTCTGGGTGGGATGCTGAAGGCTGCCAATTTCAGGTGTTCCTATGGAGAAACCCAGAAGAGGGTTTGTCTGGTTGTGACTCAAAGGCAAATCAATTCATTCCCTGACCTGTGCAAGTGAGGGAGCTGAGAGAAAGAGCTGTGCCCATGAGTGCCCCCAGCCCCTTGCTCTCAAACCCTGCTCTCAGGCATCAGGCATCAGACATGAAGCAGGGACTCCGCGTGGTGCCTCCTGCTTCAGAGGCCACACAGGGGCTGTGATCCAGGCAGACCAGAGCTCACACCTGGCTCTGCCAACGCCAAAGAGCTGTGTGTCCTAGGGCAAAGTCCTTTGCTTCTCTGATCCTCAGTTCCTCCATTGATAACATGTGGCTAATACCTAATCTAACTGGATCACATGTTTGCTAGGATGATCCAATAAACCTAGAGGTGGGAAAGTCCCTTGAAAAGCGTAGCCCTGCTTATTATATGAATAATAAAAACATAATTTCCATGTTATTGCAAACATCATTACTCTTCCCAGCTCAGTCTGTCTAAATCACAAGCATCTCTCTGCCACTCAGGGCCTAGCTTGAATGCCACCCCCTCCGTGGGACCCTTCTTGCTGCCCCCAGCCAGAAGGGTCCCACCCTCTCCTGACTCCCTCACGAGGCACTCTCTTTTCTCTTGAATCACTTTTCATGTCTGCCCTCCCTCTAGATAGGAATTTTTTAACTTCACCTCACTATCCATTCATAGTGGGTCATGAAATCAATTTTGAGGGTTGCAACCAGCACTTCTTTTTTCAATAAAATAGGCTAGAATAGAAACTATCAGAATGTAGCCAGGTGCAGTGGCTCACGCCTATAATCCTAGCACTTTGGGAGGCTAAGGCGGGCAGATTGCCTGAGCTCAGGAGTTCGAGACCAGCCTGGGCAATATGGCAAAATGCTGTCTCTACTAAAAATACAAAAAACAAAATTAGCCAGGCGTGGTGGTGCACACCTGTAATCCCAACTACTGGGGAGGCTGAGGCACGAGAATTGCTTGAACCCGGGAGGTGGAGATTGTAATGAGCCAAGATCATGCCACTTCTCTCCAGCCTGGGTGACAGAGCAAGACTGTCAAAGGAAGGAAGAAAGGAAAGAAGGGAGGGAGGGAGGGATGGAAGGAAATGCATCATGCAATGTAAAAGTGAATATTGTTCCATAAATTTTTTTTCCAAAAGTACACGAATATACTGGATCCCAATGTAGTACGTATTTCTGGTTTAAAAGTTTGACAGGCACTACATCAGAGTCTGTGCTTCCAGACGGCAAAGCATTGGCCTCGCGAGCTGTATATCCATCCCTGTGGCACAGAGCCCAGCCCCTGACTTACAAGAGGAGTATGACAAGTGTTTGTTGAATGAATCTTTGTTATTATCCTAGATATTATGTTACAGCATGATTTACAATTCGGACCCATTTGGGGCCAGGGAAAGTAAGCAATTACTGTCTCTGGGCAAAATCTCAGCTGATGGAAAGGGCCAGGTCTTTATGATCTGTTCCTGCAGAAGCAATCAGTACTCTTTTTTTTTTTTTTTTTTTTTTTGAGACGGAGTCTCACTCTGTCACCCAGGCTGGAGTGCAGTGGTGCGATCTCGGCTCACTGCAACCTCCGCCTTCCGGGTTCACGCCATTCTCCTGCCTCAGCCTCCCGAGGAGCTGGGACTACAGGCGCCTGCCACCACGCCCAGCTAATTTTATGTATTTTTAGTAGAGACGGGGTTTCACCGTGTTAGCCAGGATGGTCTCGATCTTCTGACCTCGTGATCCACCTACCTCGGCCTCCCAAAGTGCTAGGATTACAGGCGTGAGCCACCGCGCCTGGCCAATCAGTACTCTTTAGAAACAGTTTTTCCACCTGCATCAACAATCACCCAAATACTCCCGCCTCATTAGCTGCAAGGCTGGGCGGATTAAACATCCTCCTCATCCGTTCCTTACCGCGGCACACTTGGCTATGAATGGGACTAACTCAAGCTTTAGAAGATCCTTTTATACACTGTTATATTGATTTTTAAAACATTTTTAGTCGACACAATGAAAAGCTCACCCAGGGGTCTTCCTTCAACTTCAGAGTTGAAATCCATATCTTAACCTCTTACTGCCTGGAGCCTACCTTGCCCCAGAGCAACTCTGGGGACTGTGGTGGGACCTGACTTTACTCGTGTGGTTCACTAACCCCTTTTAGGATAAATATATTGATTTTTGAATAAACATTTTCATTTTCCCGTTCTCTCCAGTTTCCTAATTGCTTGACATGGAGCCTCTTGGGGTGTGTTGCATGTTGATCTTTACCGTATTTAAAAAACTAAAAAGCCCTGAGTGCTATTTTTAGAACTTGTAGCTCTTTATTTATGTGATCCTGTGTCCAGTACAAGTTCATCAATTACTTTAATTCCCACTAAATGTGGAGCTGGATTTCAAGTGGCGCTGGAAGGTTCACGCACCCTTTTAGCTCTTGGTTTAAATCTTGATGAGGGCTGAAAGTGAAGGGTCTTAACCTTTTTCTCCTTCAGCCCACCCCCAGGCCCAGGGCGCAAGATGGCATAGCTTTGTAATCCCTCAGGGAGGACAGGGATGGACTCGAGCGGAGAGCAGTCAGGGAGAAGGCAGCACCATGGAACCTCTTTGCCTTTAGGGCATTTCGTGCAAATTCAGCCTCTGCTCAGGGTCTCAGGACATGCAGCAACCTTGCAGACTGCGTCCCGGCCGTGCAGCCTGTTCAGTGAGCGCTCTACCTGCCCCGTCTGCCCCAGTTCCTAGCCCCTCCTCCAGTGACTAACCCCACCCTGGCTCCCCAGAGGCCACCTGACAACCTCTGCCTCACCTGCACTTCCGCCCACCAGACTGAGAACCGGAAACCTTAGACAGCCAGAGCTGAGGGAGGGATTGTTTAGAAGAGGAAGGGGTGGGTGCTACAAGCTCCCAGCCATCCACTTACTGGGAGTCCACCATGCACCAGGCCTGCAATGAAGGGGAGAGGTGTGGTCCCTGCCTCCAGGGGAGACAGTCACAAAACCCCTGATATAGGACAAATGCTTACCCCAAGGTGAATGTATTAGCAGAGGGGGCTTTGGGGAGGTGACTCGGTGATGAAGGCAGAGCCCTCATGGATGGATGAACATCCTTCCAGGAAGAAACACGAGGGGGCTTGCTTCCTCCCCTGCTCTCCGCCATGCAAGGACGCAGGAAGAAGGTGTTGTCCATGAACCAGAAATCAGGCCTTCCACACACACGGGATCTACCAGCACCTTAATCTTGGACTTGCGGCCTCTGGAACTGTGAGGACTAAATGCCTGTTGTTTAAGCCTCCCAGTCTCTGGTATTTTGGTTATAGCAGCCTGAACTGACAGGAGTGAAAATCAGATGTGGCGGGCTGGAGATAAAAGGGGAAAGTAGGAAGTACAGGTGGCAAGAGTAGCCCATTCCTTCAAAAAGCTCTCCTGTGAGCAGGAGGCAAAGGGGGCACCCAGGACGGACAGAAGGTCACTGACAAGGAGGAAGCATGACTGTGTGCGAAGGAGGAGCAGCCAGCGAGGGGAGGAACAGTCTGTGCAGAAGTGCAGGGACGCCAAGAGGTGAGGAGCGAGGGTGGGGAGGCTGTGGCTGGGAGGAAGGGAAGTGATTCCGCATCAGCATCTGCCACGCTGGTCTATGAGGTCCTGTGAGGTACTGACTGGTGTTCAGTTGTCAACCAAGTAGAAGCAACACCAGGTTACAAAGCCAAATGAGCTTCATGATAGCAGAAGTGCTCAGAACCAAAGTCATCTCAGGCCAGTCACATTCAGAGAGAAACAGTGGTCAGCTATCCGAATGTTTTCCAGCACTTTCCAGTCCTCTACTCCACTTTGACTCCAACAGCAAAGTACATGGACCTGGTGGGACCATGTGTGTGCCCAGGTCACACTGAGATCCAGCTCCCTCTTGCTGGATAATGTGCACATTTCTATCTAGGAGGGGCTGAGGGGCTGCAGGGTTATCCAAACTCGGGCTAAAGATGCTGTTTTCTTAGCAGCTGTTGCTGGAGACTAAGTGTTCTGTGGATCGCAGTTTTGGAAAATGCTCTAAAAACTGGTTAAGGTGCTAGAGAGGAAGGTGTCAGAGTGCTGGAGAGGTCCCTGCCTGTGGACCCCACTTTCTCTGGAAAGTGGGGGGCAAGTCCCTCTCTCGCCACTTCAGGGAAGCTGTGTGAGCTCAGTTTGGGAAGATGCCACTGGAGAGAAGGATCACAAACTGGCCAGACCGGAAACCACCTGTGGCTGCCTTTCCTTTCCTTTTCTTTTCTTTTCTCTTTTCTTTTCTTTTCTTTTCTCTTTTCTTTTCTTTTCTTTCCTTTCCTTTTCTTTTCCTTTCTCTCTCTCTCTCTTTTTTTTTTTTTAAGACGGAGTCTTGCTCTGTCGCCCAGGCTGGAGTGCAGTGGTGCGATCTCGGCTCACTGCAAGCTCTGCCTCCCAGGTTCACGCCATTCTCCTGCCTCAGCCTCCCAAGCAGCTGGGACTACAGGTGCCCACCACTGCGCCCGGCTATTTTTTTTGTATTTTTAGTAGAGATGGGGTTTCACCGTGGTCTTGATCTCCTGACCTCGTGATCCACCCGCTTCGGCCTCCCAAAGTGCTGGGATTACAGGCGTGAGCCACTGTCTTTTTCTTTCTTCTTTTTTTTTTCAAGTTCTCACTCTGTTGCCCAGGGTGGAGTGCAGTGGTGCAATTACAGCTCACTGCAGCCTCAACCTCTGGGGCTCAAGCAATCCTCCCACCTCAGCCTGCCAAGTAGCTGGGACTACAGGTGCGTGCCACCATGCCCAGCTGACTTTTGTATTTTTTTATAGAGACGGGCTATTGCCATGGTGCCCAGGCTGATCTCAAACTCCTGGGCTCAAACGGTCCACCCACCTTGGCCTACCACAGTGCTGGGATTGCAGGCGCAAGCCCCTGCACCCGGCCTGACCCCATTTCTAATCCTGGTTTTCATGGGATGATTTTTCTCCAACGGCGTTCGGCAGCCCTGGTGAAATATAGCAGAGGCAGATAAGGAGGGATGAAGAAGGAAGAGGGGCTTTCAGCAGGGCTATTGGATTGAAGGAGCGCTGGCCCAGAGTCAAGGAAGCTGGGTTCTGGTCCCAAATCTGGCAAGCCGGTCACCCTGGGCATGCTGCTGAAAGCCTGTGAGCTCTGGTTTGCTCTTCTGCAGCTGGGCTTCATGTGCCCGTCCTGCCTGCTTCCAGAGGGACGTGACAAGAACGAAATGGCCCCGTAGATCTGGATGTCCTTGGCAAATTACAAAAATGTGCAAGGGGCTTTTGTTGGAACTTAGGTCCTCTCCTTTTAGGTGCTCATGGTATTTCAAGTCCAGAAGCAATTCAGGCTGTTTCTGAGAGTGGTCATCGCAACAGCCACCACTGGAGAACTGACACTCAGACCTCCTGGCCACCAATCAGTGACCCACAGGTGGAAGGAAACTGGGCCTACAGTGTGCCTGAGAGATTGGCCAATGCCTCAGAACCCTGCTTGCTTGGCTACCAGGCCTGCCTTCATTCATTCATTCACCCAACAGAGATTTGGTGGTTTCTGTCTGTGCGTGGTAGCTGGGAGGCCACAGGGAATGGAACAGACACAGTCACTGCCTGCACCAAACCCACGAGCCGCTGGCACTGCAGCCCAGACAATGTGATGTCCTGGAAGAGTTTCCTAATGGCGGATTGTAGGAGCGATGAGGTTGGAATAGGGGACCAGGGGCCTAAACCCGACTAAGGACTTTGGATTTTGTCCTTAGAATGTGCGGCACCAGCTAAGAGTTTTAAGATGTAAAGTGGCACATATTTACATTCTTTACATGTCATTTAGGCCAGGGGTCAGCAGTCGTGTCCTATAAAGGAACCTGAGAGTAAATATGTTAGGCTTTAGGAGCCAAGAGGCAAATTGAGGACATTATGTAAGGACAGGTATAACAAGAGAAAAAACACATTTCCAGAAAATTTCTGTCGATGAATATGGGTTTATTCTTGTAACATAGGTCTGCTACTGAGAAGAATCAACTCTCTTTTGAAAGGGATAGCATTTTGCCTAATTGAGGTTCAAAGTTAAGGTTCTTTATCATCATATTGATTCCAAATGCTCATCTATAAAAACTGCTCTTCGCTCGTGGGCTGCACAAAAGCAGGCAGTGGGCCCCTGGTTTAGAGCAGACACGGTCAAGGATGTAGAAGGAGGTCCACTCCCTCAAGGGGAGAAGAGTTGATGAAGCTGCAATCCTGGAACAGGTGGAGTCCACCCAGGGGAGGTTCCCAGGAAGGCATAGGCTAAAGGTCAACAAGAACAGTGCAAACCCCAGCGGGTGACCAAGGAGAGGGATCATTTGCATTAAGGCACAAAGTCAACAGGAGTGGCTGCAGAGCTCACAGAGCAGGACACAGGACCCAGAAGCCCCCAAGGGCCACAGGGGCCACAGCTCCAGGGTAAGAAGAGGCCTGCTCAGAGGGCATCTGGGGAAGACCTCTCCAGCTCCAGGGTAGAAAAGGAACAGAGGGGTCTCAGGCCTGGGTGCTGCCCAAGGCCAGGTGAGTAGTGAGAACCCAGACAGAGGGAAGTGTGAAGGGCTGCAGAAGAGGGCCATGGGAGACAGGCCAGGGCCTCAGGACAGGAGACTGGGGTCCCCCAGGCTCCCACTTGGGTGCTGAAGTTGGGGGTGACACCAGCTCAGGGGGTCCCATGAAACACCTAGTCATGCAGGGCTGAAACTCAAAAGAGAGGACTGAGCCAGAGAGACCCATCTGGATTTTCAGCAAAGAGCTGACCAGTGAACCCTCAGGAAACGCTGGAGTGCAAATGGCACCACCAAGAATCAGTCCCAGGAAAGAGGCACAAAGGCCGGGAAGAGGACTGGGCAATGAAGAGTCGCCCTTAGAGAACAGGAAAACCAAGAACGGGAGGTCAGAGAAAGAAAACTCTGCCAGAAGAGGGAGCATCAGCAGGGAGGTCCAGGCCCTGCAAACATGAGGGTGCCCAGAGCTGCCTTCAGGGTAGGTGGGGACAGGAGCCAGCCATGGTGGCAGGAAGATCAGATGGGATGTGAAGACACAATCCAGGACAGGGAGGACAGACAAGTCTTCCCAGAAGCTTGCCTGGGAAGGAAAAGAAAGATCTGGAGCCAGAGTTGAGGGACAGGTGTCAATGCTGAGGAGAAGAAGCCAGGAAAGAAAGAAGAATAAAGGTGAAGTGTGAGTTGTATTTCGACATTAGATCCTTCATCTTATCCCAAAGGAGACTAAGCAATTCCATAACTGGGTGTGGGCTCTGGGCCGCATGATTCAGTGTACTTGGTATGAAGCTTTCAGATCCAGTATACTGGTTCTAAATTAGTATACCATTTGTTTCTTTTAAATAGTATACTAATCTGCCCTTTTTATATTTGATGGAGTTAATTTTACGACTTAAAAAGTGAATTTTGGCTGGGCAAGTTGGCTCACGCCTGTAATCCTAGCACTTTAGGAGGCCAAGGTGAGCAGATCACCTGAGGTCAGGGATTCAAGACCAGCCTGGCCAACATGGCGAAACCCCGTCTCTGCTAAAACTACAAAAATTAGCCGGGTGTGGTGGCTCATGTCTGTAATCCCAGCTACTTGGGAGTCTGAGGCAGGAGAATCACTTGAACCCAGGAGGCAGAGATTGCATTGAGCCCAGATCATGCCACTGCACTATAGCCTGGGTGACAGAGTGAGAATCCGTCTCAAAAAACAAAAAAAAAAAGTGAATTTTATAACTTAATGTGCCTTCGCTTTTTGCTTTGGCTCCCAGGAAGCTCAGAGCTAGTCTGCAGGCCAAATTTAATAACTACATAGAAGAACAAGATTTGCAGATCTGAATTATTTTCTCCCCTTAGTCGTATCACGCTATTCTGTCCATATCCCCTAATTGTATTTTTATTTTTAAATTTCTGTCTGTGTTCCATTGTTTTCTTTTAGCGGGCTGCTTGAGATGTTTGGTGAAATGAGGCAACGTGCCTGTGATTTTGTTTTCCACCCCAGTTGCCGGGGCATGCTCTGAGGCTTGCAATTTCCGTGGGCACAGCCAGGTGAGTTTGGGTGGCGTCGTCTGATCCCCACTCTTGACCCCTTGGCCCCTGCAGCTCTCCGAGCAGAGAAGTTGTTCTTCTGTCACTGCTTGCACATTGGTGAGCAAAAAGATGGAAAAGCCAGTGTGATTTCCAACTAATCTTGACTAAGTCAGATATAGGGGGTTTTTTCCCCACCTCTGGGAAGATTGTCAAGTGAAACAATGTGGCTTTGAGCTTCTGACAGATGCTAATGAATTGTTGTTTACATTTTTGATTTACTGCCTAAACAAAGATAAGACATGCTCTTGAAAACACATTGAATGCACAATCCAAACACATCCATTAAATCTGTCACAATAAACATGACAGCTTTCTTCTAACCTAACAACTGGCATGCCTCATTTGCATATTAATGAGAAAACCGGGATCAGCCGCGCAAATTACTTATATCTCATGAAGGGGCTGCTCCTGATGACAGCGAGACACTTGGGGGTGTAAATACACCACGTTAATACCTTTGCTGTTTTGGTGCCTTTTCCCTCTCTGTGCTTGGGCTCTGTGCGCCAGGTTGGATATTTCCGTTAAGCTGTGTGGGGGCAGGGGCCCCTGACGGGAGTCATCATGGGCCCAGAAAGAGCTGGATTGGCCTCAAATCCTGCCAACACTCCAAGAACACTTAGTGAGCACCTACTACGGCCTGGTCAACAGTTTCCAATTGCAGTTGAACTTGATCATGAATTGCATTCAAATGAACCAAGAGAAAAATATGAGAATTTACTGGTACCAACCAGGTGTGACTTTTCACATGCATCATCACATTTAAACCTCACAGGAAGCCTTAGAACAGGGTGCACAAAAGTAAAAGTGCAAGGACCCCGACTCCCATTCCTCACCCACGGCAGACATAGCTAGTCAATGCCAGAACTCCTTCCAGCTGAGCCTGGAATCAAACTCGCAATGCTCAAGGCAAGACTTCAAGAGGCTGCCACCATCCAAAGGATCCACACAGGTGATGAAGCCCCATTGGTGTCCTGCCTTAGGACAGGTATGATTGTTGACATTACAGAAATGAGAAAAAGACCCATTTGGAAAAGTTAGGGGACCTACCAGGTCACCAGGCAAGGAAGAGGCAAAGTCGAGATTCCACCCTGGGTCTTCCAGCCACCAGCCCAGTTCCCTCCTCACTTCTGCCGCTTCCTAGAGCACCTCACGGCTCCACTCTTTACACAGCTTCACCTGGGCCTATGTGTCTAGGTAGGAATTAAGTTGATTATGATTGAAGGTATCAGCAACAAGATAACTCAAATTGAAGGGGCCAGAGAACATAATGCTTCCAGGAAGAAGTGGTCCAGGCCCCAACACCACAGTGATGTCTTCAGAGTCACGAACGCTGAAAGTCTGCAGGATATCCCATCCTCAGACACGCTTGGGTCTGCACCCCACTCTGGCTGCCTGGGGCAATTCCCTTCATTTCCCTGAGTCTCATTTATAAAAAGGAAATGATAGCTCTCACTTTCTACCACCATCATGAGCATAAAAGGGATTTTGCTCTAAAGAACTTAGCACAAAGCCTGCTCAATAAATGGTGGTTTAAAAATGCCAAACCCTCACCACCAGAGGTTTTGCTAAATCTTTTACTCCAGCTGGCTCCACCCAGCTGCTTCTTCCTTGCTATACGCCAGACTCAAGAGTGCGGCAGTTACTCTCAGAAAGTGCCATGCCATCTGAGGGAGACTCACACCTAAAGAGAAGCTCTCCTTTCCCCTTCTTCCCTCTGCTCCTCCAGCATCTTCTTCAGGAAGGGCCTGTCCCTGAGCTGGAACTGCCAAGTCAGGGTGGTGCAGGCCCTGCCCACAATCCAAAATCCCCAGGTCAGGCAACTCAGCCCTGGCTTATTCTTTTAGAGCTCCCATCCTCATTCCACATTGCAGCACCCACATCCCAGGCTTTGGCCCCTGGCCATTGAAAGGCCCGCTGGGTGTCCAAGGTGGTGTTCACAGAGGCCAGGTGCTCAGAATCTGCTGACAAGAAGACCTCAAGTGTACAAGGTGGAGAGAGCCAAAGGCACTCTATAAAAAGGAATTCTCAGGGATGCTGCCACTGGGCATTTTTATTACAGATTAATCTATCCACATTACTTCACAAGAGAAAAAAGGTCCTATTCCTATTGAATTAGATGCACATGGAAATATTTCCAATGCTGCAACTCTTTCCCCTACTGATTTCCTTTTCCTTTTCTTTTTTCTTTTTTTTTTATTTTTTTATTTTTTTTCATTTTCTTTTTAGAGACAGGGTCTTGCTTTGTTGCCCAGGCTGGAGTGCAGTGGCACAGTCATGGCTCACTGCAACCTCAAACCCACCTAAGCCTCCCAAAGTGTTAGGATTACAGGCGTGAGCCACCACACCTGGCCTGATTTTCTTTAACTACCACGTCTTGATATCTTTAAAAAAAAAAAACAAAAAAAAAAACAAAACGGAGTCTCGCTGTGTCTCCCAGGCTGGAGTGCAGTGGCATGATCTCGGCTCTCTGCAACCTCTGCCTCCTGGGTTCCAATGATTCTCCTGCCTCAGCCTCCTGAGTAGTTGGGATTACAGGTGTGCACCACCACACCCAGCTAATTTTTGTATTTTTAGGAGAGACAGGGTTTTGCCATGTTGGCCAGGCTGGGCTCGATCTCCTGACTTCAAGTGATCCACCCGCCTAGGTCTCCCCAAAGTGCCGGGATTACAGGCATGAGCCACTGGGCCTGGCCCAAGATCTTTGTGTTAGGCTCATGCTAGATGTTACATGTTGTGGGAAGCTCCTAAGATGACCCCCAGTGAAAGCCCCTCTCCTGGTTTTCACCCCCTTGATACCTGTCCCTTGAGTGTGGGCTGGACTTGACAGCTCACTTCTAACAAACAGGATATGACAGGGGTGATGAATGTCACTTCCGAGATTAGGTTATAAAAAGACTATGGCCTCTGTCTTGGGCTCTCTCTCTCTCTACTCACTCTAGGGGAAGCCAGCTGTCATGTCATGAGGCACCCGGAGCCTCTGCATAGCAGGGAGCTGGAGGCAGACTCAGCCCAAAGCCAGTAGGAGTTGGAGGGCCTCATTCTACCAGCTTACAGGGGACTGAAGGCTAGCTACAATTATGTGTGTGAGCTCACATTGCAGTCAGGCTGGGGATTCCGTCTTGGCCAAGTCTTCAGACGAAACTGTAACCCAGGCCACAGCTTGACTGCAGTGTTGTTGGTGACCTTGAGGCAGAGGCACCAGCTCAGCTGCACCTGGATTCCTGACTCAGAAACTATGAGATAATAAATGTTTATTGTTTTCAGCTGCTAAATTTGAGGGCAATTTATTATGCCATAATAAATAATACATATTAAGTGGAACCATATAAAATTGTTACTTATTAAGTTTTTAAAAGTTAAATGTCAGCAATTTCTTATGAGTCAAACCAAATGCTTTATCCTATTTATTTCATATAACGTCCTGCAAGCTACCTGCTCTTTAACCTCACTCAAAAAATGTGGAAATAGACTCTCAAAAGTTAACAAATACAGCATGCCTCTCCTGTACCAGTAGTTTTGCTAGGCACCAGGGGACGAATGAATGGGACACAGTCATTGCATTAAGAAAACAGAGGGGCTCTGTTACAGGCTTCAAACAGACAGAAAGCCAGAGCCACCCATAGCTGAGTCAGTGTGGGAATTCCTGCAGTGCCCCGGCCGACCGAAACGTAGAGCATGAAACACACAGACATTTGACGGTAATTATCTCAAAAAGATCAGACCGGTGACATTTCTGCAAGGAGACCAATTCTGCCACAATTCCTTCCATCTATTAGTCACTATCTCACAATTATTTTGCCTTTTCTAATCAGCAGTGAGGCATTTGAAGCCCTTTCTTGAACACATTTATCATCTCCAATACTACGTGGACAGAATCAATTTTATTTACCCTTGCTAAGCCTACCAGGATCTCATTTGTAATTAGAGAAGTACGTGTGAGGGAAAGGATTTGTTGTTGCTAAATTAGGTCAAATGTTCCATCCTTGGCGTGTCTGGCGTGTTTATAACATGCCCTCCATGGCTGGTGGCAGGCGGACTCAAGTGCCCAACAACGTCCTTCCCTAAATCAATGCTCATCATGGTTTTTCCTATCTAAGTTGCTTCAGGGATTGTCCCAGCTGTCCCTAGCCTATCCAAGGAGTTCCCTGCTGGAGGGAGATTGTTCGCAGTCCCCTAGAGCTGAACCTGAAATTGATTTTGCCTACTCTAGTACGATCTGCAGACAAGGAAGAAACCACGAAATGGTGGCCAAAGAAAGACACCCGTGGCACCTCAAAAGTGACAAAACATTGAGAAGCAATGCCCATCGTAATTCTCCATTTGTGTCCAAATGGGAACCTCCTGGGGAACCAAGAGGGCACTTCTGATTAGCAAAAGGATATCTTAGGAAGCACATTCACCTCCCATTCCTCACCCAACCCTTGGTGCTTCCAAGCTTCACCTTGAATGGACCTCTCTCCTTCTCCTGATGGCAAACTGAAGGG
Source organism: Homo sapiens (assembly GCF_000001405.40). NCBI lineage: Eukaryota > Metazoa > Chordata > Mammalia > Primates > Hominidae > Homo > Homo sapiens. The sequence continues at coordinate 125,212,874 of NC_000010.11, read as the reverse complement.
CTCTGAAGAGGTAATACATTTCCGGGTCAGGAATGACCCACAATATAACTCAATCTGTGTTATAACTCCCCTCTTTCTCACCTTTTTAACTTCCCAGTACAGAGCAGACAGCTGTGCTCAGGAACTGCATCTCCCAAGGGTCTTTATTTGGGGAATATGACAAGAAGGAAAAAATGGAAAACACACCCTCAGGTGTCACAAGGGAGAGGATGATCCAGCAGCAGTTTTCCCCCTCTTTTCCCATTAAAGTCCTACCTGACAGCCTACCCCATGGAGAAGCTTCATAGGAATTAAGATATTCCAGATATTCTCAGGAAAATGAAATATTGAAGAATGGCTTCCTGAGCTGATAATGGTGGTACATTTGAAAAATAGACCAGAGTGCCGTGTTTAAAAGCCTAAAGTCATAAAAGGTATTATGAATGGATGGATGGGGAACCTCTACAAGCAGACTTCATTGATGTCACCGTAAACGATGAATGCTGTCACTCTTTTTTATATGTAACAAGAAGATATGCTGCTGCATCCAGATCTCATTGTAGAAGCTGTCAGACTCACTGAAATGGCATTGCATAAGCTATTTATGATGATATGAGGGAAAATACAAGGTTAAGAGATCTTTATCTGCTATCTATGGAAATGTGCTTCCACACGAAGGCAGTACATGAAATAACCTTCCGGATAACCCACGACATTGGGGGAGCTGTAAAGTGAGATTAACCAGCAGAGACAGGTCTGCATTCAAATTATGTTTGTCCTCACCCTGATGCCTTGGCCTCATGAACACACAGGTGTTTTTCTAGCTTTCTCTATGTAAAATCCCACTCCGAGTTTTACAGCACTCATTGGTGTGACAGATTCATAAATGATCCAACAAAAAATTCATGCGCCACCTTTCAGAAGATAGCAGGGCAGCGGAGAACAGCTGCCCAGGCACAGATGACGTCTCCCAGCCACCCTTGCCTTTGTCATGGCCAAACCACAGGCTACAAGTGGAGGGGAGGTGGTCATTTCCAGGCAGGAGTTTTTCAAAATCAGGTGTGCTTCCCCCATGATCTCTCCAGGTTTCCAATGCCCTGGGGGGGTAGAGGATTTCCAGGCTCTAGGGGATGGTGGAGCTATGACAAGAAAAACCCTGGGCCCTGAGTCACCCCATGGAGAAATGACACCACCAACCCAGGACCAATCCACACCGCACTTTATATAAATGAGAAGTTAACTTCTATTTCACTGCCCAGCCAACTAAAATTTGCAGTTTGTTATAACAGCTAGTGTTATCTTTATTAGTTGATATGGTTTGGCTCTGTGTCCCCACTCAAATTTCATGTTGAATTGTAATCTCCAGTGTTGGAGGAGGGGCCTTGTGGGAGATAATGGAATCATGGGGGCCGACATCCTCCTTGCTCTTCTTGTGATAGAGTTCTCACAAGATCTGGTTGTTTGAAAGTGTGTAGCACCTCCCCGCCCCCTCTCTCCTGCCAGCCATGTGAAGATGTGCTTGCTTTCTCTTCACTTTCTGCCATGATTGTAGGTTTCCTGAGGCCTCCCCAAAAACAGAAGCCTGTATAGGCCAAAGAACCATGAGCCAATTAAACCTCTTTTCTTTGTAAATTACCCAGTCTCAGGTATGTCTTCATAGCAGTTTGAGAACAGACTAATACATTAGTACAATTTGGTAACTTTCTAAGAAATTTATTCATTTAGTTATACTTGCATTCATACCATGAATGGGAGGAAATATGGTGCAGCAGCCTCCAACAGGTCTGGAGTCAAGACCTGCATGTGCCACTGGACTTGAGGTACCATGGGAAAATTGCTTATACTCTCTCAGCCTCCATATTTGTTTTTGTAAAATGAAGATTTTAAAAATCCTGACCCTTATTCACAACAGCCAAAAGGTAGAAGCATCGAACATCTGAGCAACCTGTTCATCAACAGAGGAGCAGATAAAGTGTGAAATGCACACACTGGAGAATATTATTCAGCCTTGAAAAGACGTTATGCTAAGTGAGGTGAGCCAGCCACAAAAACACCAAGACTGCAGGATTTCACTTTCTGAGGTTGCTAGAGTTGTCAGACTCATAGAGACAGAAAGTAGAAGGGTGGTTGCCAGGGGCTAGGGGAGGGGAGACTGGAGAGTTGTTCAACCATGCCCTTGAATCCAGGAGTTTGTACAGGCCCCAGGCCTGCCTGAAAGAAGCAAGAGCCTCCACTTCGGGTTCCCTGAGCCAAAAAAGGCCCCCGTTTGCCTAAGATGTAAGTAGAGTGCCCATCACTTACATCAATATCGGTCTCTCTCCCTCTTGGTCCCATACGTGCCTTACTCACCACCCAGGAACCCAGCTCAGGAGCTGGCATGGAATTAGAAAGCAATGCACGTGGTAGTTGCCAAATGATACACATTTTTAGGGTGACCAATCATTGTGATTTTCCCAAGACTGAGGGGTTTCAGGGCTAGAAGAGAAGCAGTCCCAGGCAAACTGTGAAGCCTGGTCACCCTGAACGTTCTCCATCTCTCCCTCTTCCCCCAGGTCCAGCTCTGGATGCACCAGCTCTTCCTGGTGAAAGAAACAAACAAACAAACAAACAAACACTTCCCAGGGCACTTCCCAGGGCCCAGGGAGGAAGTGCCAGCCTCTGAAGGCAGAGTTGTTGGCAGCCCTCTAAATCTGTGCACTGAATCCATGATCACTCTGAGCCCCCTCCCTCCCAGGGCCTGCACTGGCAAAGCCCCAGAACTCGGTCAAACCAGAGCTTCACAAGTTTGTCCTGGGGTGCAGCTGGACCAGTCCTAAAGGGGCCACTTACTGTCATTTTCGGGCATACCCCGGGCGTTTGCACAATCCATAAGTGGGTTTTTTTTCCCTCCTGGGGATGTACTATTTGTAACCGGATAGTGTAAGAAAAAAGCTTGTGGGCAAGACATTTCTAGAAAACTGTCTTCTTTCTGTGGCTTCTTGTTCCACCAGCCTCAATGAAGTTCTGTTAACTATTATAGGAAAAATAGTTAATCTCACATTCTCTTCTGGATTCTTGAGGAATCTTTCCCAACCACAGGCCCCAGAAACAACAGCCTTGACCTCCATCATATGACCAGGGAGTCAGCTTCCCAGGATCGAGGAGACAATTTGTTTGAGAGGAGAAGGGACAGACGCTGTTTTGAGCAGACTGGCAGGAAACGAGTTGTGGATTTCCTGCTGGAAACCCTTGCAGCGGAATAGAACTGAATTCTCCCACTTTCAACGATCCCTTTCCCTTGCTTTCTCTTTGTCAATATGCTATTATCTCCAGTGACTCCTGCCCTCCCAAGAAAAATGAGGCAGGAAATAGACAATAGAAGAGGGAATATGGCAAATGCATATTTCCTGTCAACAATATGCCTTCCTAATAGATCGTCAGATGAGTATTTTATTAGAACAACGATTATGACAGCTACAATATTTCCAGAGACAAACGAGGGTGAATCTGAGCTAGAGGAATGTGGAAGGAGCTTTGCCAAAAAACAGCATGGGTTTGGGGCTTGGCTGTATATCTGGGCACCAGAAACGTACCCGTTCTAATCTTAGGTCTGGCTCCAATAGATGTGTGGCCATGCTCGCGGACACAGACATGTCCTCTCCCTTCCTTTCTCCCTCTCTGGCCTGAGGTTGATAACATTCACAAGTCTCCCTCCCCGGAGGCCTGTGCTTGGGACGCCCTGGGTGATGCACCCCGAGGCGCTGAGAGTCCCAGAGGCGGCTGTGAGAAGTAGGCACCTGCAGCTCGGCTGTTCTCCCTGGCTCCTGCTTTTAGGCGGCTGAGTCCTGACTCCAACCAGACAGGTTCCCTACCACCCTCCCGCCGAGCTGGGGCACCACGCCCAGGCCCATCTCAGCCTGCCCGGCAGCCCACGCAATGGATCCCATCCAGGAACACAGATGCCTTCAGAGCTTGATGGGGAGGGGGACGGAAGGGGCAAAGAGTTTACAAAAATGCCTCCGTGGACGCTTCCTTTTCTAGCCTTGGAGCACGCTGCCTGCCTCAGAGCAGAGGCACAGTGGTGATGGGCCTTGGTGCAGAGCTGAATTCAGGCCCCAGGCCCTTGACCTTGGGCCCCCATGGTCTTACGGAAGTGCTCACCACAGTCCAAAATATCATAGGTATGGTTTCTGATGAGTGTCCACCTCCCCCCGGGACTGTGCATTCTGTGAGAACGAGGGCCAATCTAGCTTTGCTTACCATTTTTCCTGGAGATTATAGCAGCCCCTGGCACCTAGTAAGTGCTCAATACATGAGTGCATGAAGCTTTTCATGGAGCAGCTGCCGTCTCTGCTCCTGGTGTGGCCACCATGGGGAACAGTCTCGCATAGCATCTCACACACAGACAGGACAGAAATCGTCCGTGTTTCCCCAACCCAAACACTCAGGCTCCAATTCCCCCTTGCCCCCACAAAAGATAAGGAAAAGCTTCCTGGTCCTGCTTGAGGGAGTGCGAAGTACCCAGAAACCAGTGTTCTGTGAATTGAGGCACTGGAAGGTTCTTTTGCTGGGGAGAGGTAGGAGAGGGAGAGAGAGAGTGACTGGAGCTTCTTTTCTTCAGGATTTAGAAGAACAAGCAAAAGAAAAAGGCACACTTCGTTGTCCCTGGGATCCAGAACAGTGAATTCAAATAAAGAATTCGTCTCATCAGTGGACAGCCAAGAGGAGGGCAAAAGGGAGAGAAAATTCAAGTCCAAGGAGATCTTCCTTTTCTTCACAGCGCAATGATTTGAAAAGCTTCATCATAAAGTGGGGACTGCCTATGCACGTTCCATTTCAAACTTCATCATATTCTGAGATGATAAAGTCGTCTCTGTCACGTTAGCAAAAATAAAAATAAGAGAACGGGTAGAGGCAGATGGCTTGAGGGCTTTATGAAAGAAAAGAAAAGAAAAGGCAGAAGTTTAACCTCCGGAGCAGGGTCTATAAATAGAACCAAAAAATCAGTGAGACATTAAAATTGATGGTTAAGCAAAAACACAAGTAAGTTATTAAAGAACAAAAAAATTGTGTACAACAATCAACTACTCAATTAATGGAACCATGTCCGGATGAGTAAATGGAATGGCCAGAATGGAGGTCCTGCCAAGGGTGGCTGGCCCCTTCCAGCCCACTCTTTTGCTATCAGCACAGCTAGGCCCTCCACTGCCAGGCCCTCCAGCCCCATTCTCCAGAAAGACGGTGACCCCAGGGCCCTAGGGCCGACTTCAAAGAAAGTTCAAAGATTCCTTTCAACTTGTTAACTAGTCCTACTTTGTCCAAACATGGACTCAGCTATTGGAGGCCCAAAAGGTGAGTCAAAAAAAAGAAAGCAAAAACAGCTCATGTCCTATAGAGGAGTTATTGTCGAATTTCAAAATGAAACAAGCACCCTCAGAACCGTCAATCATGGCAGGAGAATCTCCTCCGGAAGAGACGTGCACAGCTCCTTGGAGTTTGCTTTCTTCTGAGGAGAAAGTAGTTTATTTTCAAATCATAAAGGTTATACAAACAGAAAGTGTGAAAAATGCAGAAGAATATAAAGACCAAAATCCAAAATGAGCTGTAACCCATCAACTAGAAATAATCAGCCTCTACTTTTTGATCTATTCCTCTTTTCTTCCAGTCTTCATACATATATAAAAATATTTATATTTTTCCAGGCTTGGTGGCTCATGCCTGTAATCCCAAAACCTTGGGAGGCCAAGGCGGGTGGATCACCTGAGGTTAAAAGTTTGAGACCAGCCTGGCCGATATAATGAAACCCTGTCAGTATTAAAATACAAAAATTAGCTGGGTGTGACGGTGCATGCCTGTAATCCCAGCTACTCAGGAGGCTGAGGCAGGAAAATCGCTTGAACCCGGGAGGCGGAGGTTGCAGTGAGCTGAGATCAGGCCACTGCACTCCAGCCTGGGTGACAAGAGCGAAACTCCATCTCAAAAAAAAATGTATACTTTGTAAATAGCCTACATTGTTCACATACTATATCACAAGCAGTTTCCCGTGTCACTGTATATTCTTTGAAACCACAATTTATAAGTGGTGGGATATTTCATCATATGGCCTTGCTCTGATAATGTATTTAGCCATGACACCCTTGACAGGCATCTAGGGTAGATTCTAGACTGTTTCCATTAGGGGAACATATAAGTAAGTAATGCTCAAATCTCATCTAAGAGTCTCCGATAGCATTTCTAATTTTTTCCATAATATAGGTTCTTACAAGTGGAACTTATTGGGTTTGAGGAGAGAATTCTAAAACCTCCTGATATATATGCCAAATTGGATTTCTGAACGATTGCATCAATTTAAACTCTACAAGCGATACAAGTGATTGTCTGCTTGCCGCCTGCTGGCCAGCTTTGAGTGCTAGCATTTTTTAGAATTCCTGCACTATCTGCCAGGCATGGTGGCTCATGCCTGTAATCCTAGCACTTTGGGAGGCTGAGGCAGGTAGATCACCTGAGGTCAGGAGTTCAAGACTAGCCTGGCCAATATAGTGAAACCCCGTCTCCACTAAAAGTACAAAAATTAGCATGGTGGTGGGTGCCTGTAATCCCAGCTACTCGGGAGGCTGAGGCAAGAGAATTCCTTGAACCTGGGAGGCAGAGGTTGCAGTGAGCCGAGATCGTGCCACTGCACTCCAGGCTGGGTGACAGAGCAAGACTCCATCTGGAAGAAAAAAAGAAAGGAAGAAAAAAAGAAAGAGAGAAAAAAGAAAAACAATCCTGCACCATAGATTTGTAAAAGTAGAAGAGGTCTTTCCAACACATTTAATCAGGAGTTTTCCTGAAGAAAGCAGCATTTGCAATGGGGCCAAAGGGGTGAGAAGGATCTCACGGTGGAAAGGGGTAGAGCTGCAGCTGGAACGAGCCCTCTAAGCAAAGGGTCAAAGGCAGGAAGGGACACTCCAGGATCGGCAGACAGTCCTGCTTGGCTGTGTGAGGAAAGGGTGGAGGAGCTGCCTGGAAGGAAAGACCAGGAGGACAAGGCCAAGGGCCTGCAAGGACTCCTCACCAAGAGATGACATCTGAGCTACAGTCCAACAGAGGGCCTACCAGAGAGCCCCATCTCTCACCATCTTCTGCCATCCCAAATTTCTGGCTGTCCCTGATATGCCAAGTTGCTGTCACCTCCAGGCCAGTCCTGGACCTGGACATCCTGTTCCACCAGCTTACACTTAGGTCCAGGTGCAGTGGCAGCCCCCACAGCAAGCCTTCCCTGTCCAGCCTCCCCACCTGACAAAGGTGCCTGCCCTGTGCCCCTTCCCTCTGGGCAGCATCCCTCTCGTGTGGTTGGAGTCTGTCTACGGGGGTCTCACCAGAGTCACCTGCAGGGATTGTCCTAGGCCCAGAGGCTGGAGCTGGACTGTGCACACCTATCCAGCATCTCAGGTGATTCCATGGATGCTCAGGTTTGGAAATCAGTGCACTTAGTCCTTAAAGGAAGGACCCTGTTTTCACAATAAGAAAAGCTGGCCAGAGGGAGGGAGAGCATCAGGACTAACAGCTAATGCATGCAGGGCTTAATACCTAGGTGATGGGTTGATAGGTTCAGTAAACCACCATGGGACACGTTTACCTATGTAACAAGCCTGCACATTCTACACATGTATCGTGGAACCTAAAAGAAATTAATTTTTTTTTTAAAGCTGGCATTTACTGAGTATCTACTAAGTACTGAGCACTGTTCTAAGCACTTTACACCTGGTTACTGTAATCCACATGACAGCTCATTATTACCCCCAATTTACAGGTGAGGGCACTGAGGCCCAAGCAAGTCACCCGAGCAAACCACCCTGTGGCTCTATCACAGTCCCAGCAGGGAAGAGATACCACTCAAAGTCATTATTTGAGAGGCGTTTATTGAAGGGGGGATTTACGGAAGTGGAAGCAAGGTGTAAGGGAACCAAGAAGGGATGGGATAGTCTCCTCGGGCCAGTGACAGCAGGGGACTCTGCCCATTCCTGGCCTGCAGAAGTAAGGGGTGACAGTGAAAGCCATGGTGTTCAGTGAAAGGTGCAGCCAGTCCCTGACAACCAGCTGGCAGGGAGCTGAAGAAAGATCACCCCTCCCCACTCTCCTACTGTCTCCCATCCCTTGTCAGTGTCTCCTATCGGCTAAACTCAACTAGAAGCAGAGGTCCAGGAAGTCCATGATATGGGCCACGCAGGTCAGCCTCCAGGGCGTGAAATAGAATCCAGAAGGAGTCTGGAGGAGTAGCCAGAGCCCTGGCACCATCCCACAGCCAGTAAGGGGCAGAGGGAGCTGGATTGAACCACATCCTTCATCACTGCCCCATCCCACAGCCAGTAAGGGGCAGAGGGAGCTGGATTGAACCACATCCTTCATCACTGCCCCACCCCACCCTGGCATCTCCAGGAGCATGTGACGTGTGGCCCAGCGTGGGCTCTCAGCACCTTTTGTTAAATGCACCTTTTGAGTAAATGAATGAATTCATGCACTGCAGGTATAATGCCTGTGGATACTGGAATCAGGCCTGGGTTTGAACTCTAGCTTCCTTGCTTAGGAATGGGTGACCTTGTACAACTCACTTCATCTCTCTGAGCCTGTTTCCTCGTCTGTAAATGGTAGGTAATCATAGCACCTGCCTCGCTTCCCTGAGGTAAGAAGAACTTGAGATAATGCATGTAAGTGCCAAGCACCAAGCATCAATAAATGCTAACTACTGTTGTTATTGCTGATATGGTACATAATTGAATGCATGTACTGTTTTTGGGATACAGACTTAGGAAGCCTAGTCATTTGCTATACTCATCTGATATTTGGCAGAGGGGAGGTGGGGAGAGAGGTTGAGAAGGGCAGGTAGAAGGATTTTCCTTGGCATCACGGCCAGCAAGTTTGGCCACCCTTTGTGTTCTTGTTCTGTGTATGAAGAGCCCCCTCTGACTTCATTAGTCATGAGTGCAGCAGCAAGCAATAAGTTAATTTCTAACTGTGGTACTTGATAAATTTTCCATTTACCTCATTAGTTTTTACAGCCTGCAATATTTGTGAGAACACTTCCAATTAACCATATGGGAAGCTTCAGTATGGAATCACAACAATTTTTTAAAATGTGTTATTTAACCAAATAAGAATCACAGTCCCCAGAAATAAAAATGCTAGAAACCAGCAATTGATTCCCTGGGAAGGTATTTCCAGGAGGTTGTTGGTCGGGATTCTGAAAGGGGTTCACCTGGAGAGGAAGAGGCTGACCTGGACACTCCCCCTGCATCCCCAAAGGGAGTTCTGGGAGGGCTCCCACAGGGGAAGGGCTCCTGGCACCAAAGCCAGAGCACGTGACTGGGTGTCTGGAGGGCCCGTTCTGAAATCTCACCTATAGCATAGCTGTATGTGCTCCTCCTTGATTTAGCTATTAAGCATTCCTCAACTTCTTTTATTTTTTTTTTATTTTTTTTTATTTTGAGACAGTCTCAGTCCATTGTCCAGGCTGGAATGCAGTGGCACGATCATAGTTCACTACACCCTCAATATCCCGGGCTCAAGGGAACCTGCTACCTCAGCCTCCTGAGTAGCTGGGACCACAGGCATGTGTCACCATGCCCGACTGATTTTTTTTTTTTTTTATGGAATTTCGCTCTTGTTGCCCAGGCTGGAGTGCAATGGCGCGATCTTGGCTCACTGCAACCACCGCCTCCCAGGTTCAAGCAATTCTCCTGCCTCAGCCTCCCAAGTAGCTAGGATTACAGGCATGTGCCACCACACCGGGCTAATTTTGTATTTTTATGGGGTTTCTCCATGTTGGTCAGGCTGGTCTTGAACTCCTGACCTCAGGTGATCCACACACCTTGGCCTCCCAAAGTGCTGGGATTACAGGCATGAGCCTCCGTGCCCAGCCTGATTCTTTTTTTATATTCAGCAGAGATAGGGTCTCACTATATTACCCCGGCTGGTCTCAAACTCCTGAGCTCAAGCAGTCCCCCGACCTTGGCCTCCCAAAGTGCTGTGATTATAAGTGTGAGCAACTACACCTGGCCTCAACTTCTTTTCTTTGTTTTGTTTGGTTTAGTTTGAGACAGGGTCTCACTCTGTCACCCAGACTGGAGCGCAGTGGTGCAATCACAGCTCACTGCAACCTCAAGCTCCTGGGCTCAAGCAATCTTCCTATCTCAGCCTCCTGAGTGGCTGGGACTACAGGCATATACCACCATGCCCTGCTATTTTTTTACTTTTTGTAGAGACAGGGTCTCACTATGTTGCCCAGGCTGGTCTCCTGCCTTGGCCTCCCAAAGTGCTGGGGTTATAGGTGTGAGCCAGCATGCCTGGCCCTCTTTTCTTCATTGATGATCACCAGAAGCCTGTGAGATGGGAAGTGGTCTTCCTGTTTCATAGCTAATGGGACCAAGGACCGGAGGGATTCCAAGACTGCCAACGAAAGTGCATGACCCCGCTGGGGCTCAGGCCAGGTTTTCTGAAGCTGACTCCTACAGACTGGGGACTCACTCCATACTCAGGCCTTTCCTAGGGGCCGTGATTGGGCTACCTGCACATTCTCTGGGATGAACCTCCCAGGCCTCGGGCTGAGCTTATGGCTAAGGCTGGGCCATCAGATATGTCATTCCCCTGATGCCAAGAGTGGTCCAAGCCATAGGCAGAGGCTCCAAATGTGTCCCCAGAAGTCTGCATCCTGGAATCAGGAGAAAGGCATTCAGAATTCTGTCCTGGGGCTAAGTGGGAGAAGCAAATCCAGAAATACCAGCAGCCACATTCTTGACCATGAAAGAGAATTTGGCCTGCGGTAGGAGGTGGCGACACCAGCATGCAGAGAAGCCAGCAGATGTGGGGTGAAGTGTGGGTGTGAGGAGGGGAACAAGAGACAACAACTGCCAAGCTGATGATGCCCCTGATCCCTGGGGCCAGCTCCATCCCTGCCTATGCCAGTAAGTCCCCCGGCCACCCAGGCTAGCTTGAGTAGGGTTTCTGTCACTGCAACCAAGTAACAGAACCGAAGTCTCAGTTTCCTCATTTATAAACTAACTTAGGGAGATGAGATCAGCTGGTTTTTGTTTTGTTTTGTTTTGTTTTTGAGAAAGAGTCTCGCTCTGTTGCCCAGGCTGGAGTGCAGTGGCACGATCTCGGCTCACTGCAAGCTCCGCCTCCTGGGTTCAAGCAATTCTCTGCCTCAGTCTCCCTCATAGCTGAGATTACAGGCACCCACCACCACGCCTGGCTAATTTTTTTTTTATTTTTATTTTTAGTAGAGACGGGGTTTCACCATCTTGGCCAGGCTGAGATCAGCTGTTTTCAAACTGCCTCCAGAGCACTGGGAAGACCCACAGGCTGGGGGATAGGATGGAGGGGGATACCTGGGGTTCCCAACCCCACGTTGGGCTTCTGAGCAAAGTGTTCTTGGATTCTGAGTCTAAACAAAGTGTAAAAACCACAGGCTCAGGTGACTCATTCAGCTGAACTCTCGGCTTTCACACATTGGCCCCAGGAAAAACCTGGGATTTAGCCCCGTGGGCACCTCTGTCCATGGTTCCATTGACGTGGAACCGTGTCAGTGGTTCATGGGGGCTGGTCATGGGGGCTGCCCAGGTCCTTCCTCTTTCTCTCACTCTGTGCATGAGTTACTCAGAGCAGCTTTTCTGTTGTAGAACAAGGAGCGTGTGGACCTGCTGCTGACTCATTCTGTTTCTCTGCTCTGTCAAAGTGAACTCCTTCACCTGCAGAGTGGACAAAGATTCAGGTTTCTGGCCTCTGTCACTGTCTGCAGGTGCAGTGGCCCAGGCTCAGGACTGGCAGTTGAAAGACATGGGTCTGACTCAGACCTGGTGCAGCACTGAGACCATTAACCTACAAGAACAAAATGCCCAAGCCCAGGAGGCTTTATGAATTCAGATTTTTTTTTTTTGAGACAGGGTTGCACTCTGTTGCCCCATCCGTAATGCAGTGGTGTGATCATAGCTCACCGCAACCTCAAACTCCTGGGCTCAAGTGATCCTCACACATCAGCCTCCCAAAGCGCTGGAATTATAGGTATGAGCCACCACATCCAGCCTTCAGATTTTTCCCATCCCCAGAAGGAGATATCCAGCAACGGGTGAGATATGGACTTGTCCATGTTTTAACAATATCATCACTAAAGCCACAGGGCCCTCTGTCTTTCTGCCATGCCATCCTTAGTGTGATGGGTAGGGTCAACTGCCCATTTGCTCTCAGCTCCATTCTCTGCTCTGCCTTGTTTCAGAGAACTGCAGTTCCCAGGATTCTAGGGAGTTCAGCCAATGGGAGGCACTGATGGAGGATTGAAGGGCAGATGGAGTGAGTCGGGCATGTCTCTGCCTCCCTCTGTGCTTCCTGCAGCATCTCTGGCAGTGATTGAACCTCTGCTGTACGTAGCTCAAGCTCCCATCAGACACCACCCTGATGCTCCCAGCTCCTTCCAAGAGGCTCTCGGCTGTAACTTCAGATCCCAGCTCCAGCTTCTGGGTGCTTACTCCTTCCTCCTCTGTCCCTCCAGCCCTAGGAGTGTTAACAGTATCTGTAATTGCTGACCTCTTGGGGCAGGGGAGGTGCTTTGGCATTCCCCTTTGGCTTATCAGTCTTCCATCATCTATGTAAGCAATCACTGCATTAATTTCCTCTGTTTTAAACACCTAGAGTGGTTCCTGTCTCCTGGCTACACACCAGCTAATTAGCAGTCAACTTCAAATTTTGCTCTCATGGCTGTAAGATAGCTGCTGCAGCTCCAGTCATCACATACTCGCCACAAACACATTGAAAGTCAAAAAGAAAGACAGTTTCTCCTTGCTGGCTTCTTTTTGCCAGGGAAGTAGACCCTTTCCAGAATTGGGCAGGATTGAGTCAGTGCCCATGCTGCAGCTGGAAGAGAGGACAGAAAGGTGAGCAGCCAGCATTTTTAGCCCGTATAATGTGAGATGAGCTCTTCAAGCAAGACAAAGGGAGTTGGGCAATGGCTGCTGAGTAGCATCCAATCATGTCTGCCACATGCACTTTGAGCATGACCTTGCTCAAGTCACCTCCTGTCTCAGGGCCTCAGCCTCCTCATCTGCAAAATGGGGGACTTTGGTGAGATCAGTGCTTCAAACTGTGCTCTTTAGAGCCCTAAGGTTCGTAGGAGGTCCCTGTGGGGCCACTGCAGGGCCACTGTAGGGGTCAGGGAGTGCGGTCTGAGCAGGTAGGATCCTATCCCAACTTAAACAAGAACAGTTTCATTTGATCTTTTTGGAAACAAAAGAATTCTGCTGGATTCACTGATTATTAATGCCCCTAGCAGCCCTCTCAAGGACCCAGATTTAACGTTATAGATCAATTTATAAAAATGAGGAAATAACCAGGATGATGTTCTTGCTAAGAATGATCCATTAGCTTTGGGGGTTACTCATAATAAACTTTGGAGATTGATTAAGCTTCTTGGCTCTTTGCCAGCTACTAACCAATCTGCATGATGCTGCAGACTCTAGACATGAAGCGAAGACATTCTCCCTGAAATATTCTTGACTCTCTCTCTGTTCTCTTCAATTATGAGAAGGCAAATACTTTACATATATACAATTATTTTAAACTCTTTATCTTGCACAGAGGAATTGATCCTTGCAGGTCTTTCTTGCTGGCCTTGACACTGATGAATCGCATTAGAGATGGTCTCAGAAAGGGAAGACATGGCCCCTAATGGATGGCTCTTCTCATCTTAATTTTTCCCCTGGAGGGTCTTCTCCATCTGGAATCTTCCTTACTTCCCTTTGTGGATTTAACTCTGTAAATGCCATGCCAGCATCAACACCCACTTTATTTCTGTTGTTTGAAGGCCTCTTTTACATCAAAGGTTCAAAGGCACAGACTGAGAACAGCAAAACCCTAAGAAGCCTCCAGGCACTCATCAAGGCTCAGCCCTGCGCTGAGAAGAGCTGACACCATCTCACAGGTACCTTCAAGGATTATCTCTTAAACACCTACCCTGTGACCCACATGGTCAGAAAGCAATCCTAGGCCCTCAAATTGTTTCGCCGTTTCACATTCTCTTACTTGGATCTGTGGGTCCTTGAAGCTGTTCGGTTAGCACCTTGAATTCTGTCTGGCACAAATCAGACAATGCAAGTGATGTCATCCCCATGTTACAGATGAAGAACTGGAGGCCCAAATAGCTGAATGGCTAACTGTCTCGCCCAAGGTCACACAGGTAATAACAAGGTCAGCAGTTGCACTCAGCTCTGATAATTCCGAGTTGAATGCCCTAGCATGGGGTTTGACTCGTAGGAGATGCTCGATAGATTCCACTCTCTTTCCTCCTCCTCTCTTCCTCTGGACTATCTCTGTGGATTCAGCGCAGATGAAACAGGTGGGTCCAGGTGTGCCCGGCCTTCTGGCGACCTCACAGGATCTGCTGGGGCCTATGTTACAAGGCAGTTTTTCTGCATCAATTACCATATAAAATAGGAATATGGTCTCATTATGAACTATTCAAATAATACAGGTTAAAATAATACAAATAATACAACTCAAGTCCCCTCAGAACCTCACTTCCAATTCCAGACTCCTTTCCAAAGTAACTCCTGGCATTTGTACAGTGTGGATCTTTCCAGATTTGTTTCTATGAACTTATCAGTAGAAGCATATAAAACTATCGGCTGGGCACAGTGGCTCACGCCTGTAATCCCAGCCCTTTAGGAGGTCAAGGCAGGAGGATCACTTGAGTCCAGGAGTTCAAGACCAGCCTGGGCAATGTAGGGAGACCCCATCTCTATAAAATATTTTAAAAATTAGCTCAATGTGGTGATGCACACCTGTAGTCCCAGCTACTCAGGAAACTGAGGCAAGAGAATCGCCTGAACCCGGGAGGTCAAGGCTGCAGTGAGCTGTGATTGTGCCACTGCACTCCAGCCTGGGCGACAGAGTGAGACACCATCTCAAAAAATAAACAAATAAATATAAATATAAATAACAAGCATATAAAAATATCATTTAAAGAAATATGTAGTTGAGTTTTTTTATCTGCTGGGCTTTTATTAATTTAAACAGTATCATACTCTATGTATCTTTTGCAACTTGCTTTGCAGAATGTTCCAAATCACTGTGTACATATTGGCCTCATTTGTCTTTTTTCTACAGTTTAGTGGCCCAATCCTCAGTATGGATGTGTTGTTAATTTGTTTAACCAGTCCCTTATTGATGAACATACGGGTTTCTCCAGAGTCTCACATTAAAAACAATGCTGCAATGGACATCCTTGTCTTGGCTTCTTAAGCATGCATGAGTATTTCTCTGGAGAAAAAAAAAAAATGAGTATTTCTGTAGAAAAAAAAAAAAAGAAACTGTGCCAGGAGTTCCAGACCAGCCTGGACAACAAAGCAAGACCCCATCTCTACAAAAGGAAAAAATTGTTTTAATTAGCTGGGCACGGTGGCACACACCTGTGGTTCCAGCTACCACTTAGGAGGCAAGCAGGAGGATCGCTTCAGCTCGCAAGTTTGAGGCTGCAGTGAACTGTGATTGTGCCACTGTACCCCACCCTGGGCAACAGGGTGAGACACTCATCTCTGAGAAAATAAAAAATAAAAATATCATAATCTAAGTTAAAAGAAGGAGACTGGGAGAAAACAATTGTAACATACATGACAGACAAGGTATTAATAAGCAGATTATACAAAGAAATGTTTCAATTTAATAATAAAAATTCAACGCAATAGAAAAATGGGCAAAGAATATATGAGGCAATTCATCGAAGAAATACACATGGCCAATAAGCATATAAAAAGTTGCCTCGGCCGGGCATAGTGGCTCATACCTATAATCCCAGCATTTTGGGAGGCTGAGGCAGGCGGATTGCCTGAGGTCAGGAGTTCGACACCAGTCTGGCCAATATGGTGAAACCCCGTCTCTACTAAAAATAGAAAAAAAATTAGCTCGGTGGGGTGGCGTGTGCCTGTAATCCCAGCTACTCAGGAGGCTGAGGGGAATTGCTTCAACCAGGGAGGTGGAGGTTGCAATGAGCCAAGTTCGCACCACTGCACTCCAGCCTGGGCGACAGAGCAAGACTCCATCTCAAAAAAAAAAAAAAAAAAAAAAGGTTGCTTCACCTCACTGGGAATCAAGAAAAAGCAAATTAAAACAGCAGTAAGATACCTTTTTTACTCACTGGATTAGCCCAAATCTCAGACATTGGCAAGAGTCTGGGGAAATGGATACAGTGCTGGATGGCAAATTGCTCCTGTCTTTTGGAGGCAGTTTCCACTTGTGGAACAACAATGTTTCTCACTATCTACTTGTTCATGCCAGGCACACATCATATACCTGATGTCCCAGTGGGGGTCTGGAGCCGAGTTGGGAGGAGCTGCATGCTTGGTGGGACAGGCCTCGGGTGACCACGACTCAAGGACTGCCCCACCATCTTGACCAAGTGGTTTTTTCTAAATAGCGCTCCAGCCCCCAGGCCTATGGGCAACTGCTCACAGTTCCTAGTGAGTCAAAGACACCTCTAGGGTGAGAGCAATGTTTTATGGGGTGGAGTGGGTGGTTCTGAAGAGACCACATGCACGATGACCATTCTTGCACGTTCTTGGTATAATTGAGATGCTGTCGACCTGCACACTACGGTACACAAATGACGCCACTATGGCCAGAGCAGTGGGTAGCAATGCTCTATTTCTCCACTCAAAGGAGGGCTCACTCCACACCTCCTCTAAATGTGTAGTTTCCTCGCAGTCTCTGGGCCGTTCCCACAGGCGACATGCATCCGCGGCAGGCCTGACATCACATCCTACTGCCGTGGACAGATGGCTTTGACTTAGAGCTGCACCTGGTTCCCAGAGACTCAGCCTCTACAAAGGATCGAAGCTTCATCTGGGCTTTGCCTTGCAGCCCTCCGTTGGCCAAATCACTGGAGGATGACAGTCAAGCCCGAGGCCCATGTGACAGTCTTGCAAACCACATGCTTCACTTGAGCTGCATCAAACCTGGAGAAGGCGTTTTGGGGCTTTGTTTATGAACTTGAAGGAATACTGTGACTGAGACTCAGGGAGCAGAGGTAAGAGACAGCCCGGCTTCATGTAAATGTAACAGGCCCGTCCGATCGGACAGGCAAAGATAAAAGCCAGCTAAGGCTATAAAGTCAGTGACATGAATAGAATGACAACCATAACGTCAAACATAAACAAACAACTCAAAATCCACCTGCAGTGTGGTTGTTCGGAGCTCTCCAGCTGTGAGGACACTGGGGTCATAATGGAAGGACACAGGACTCTAGGAAACCTCTTTCCTGGTTTCCCAGGACCAGCCTTGGGATTTCCTATCAGGTCCCACCCACTGGCTCTGATGCTTCCATACCCCTCTGTCCTCCCCCACCCAAGTCCTACCCCATCCTTGACTGGAAAGCCAGAAACCTGGGCTTTCACGGTATCCTCCTTGCCAATATCAGATTCTCTGTAAAAATACAGTAATCTGAAGTAACCCTGCAAATTTTTCCTATTTTCAATAACATGGTATCAATTTGTAAACAGAGTAATGATTCTCTGTTACTTTTCAGGAAATTATGTTTAATATAGTTGACTAGAGCAAAGGAAGAACAATTTAATTGAAAGAGCTGCTATGAACCATATTTAACCTCAGATGTACTAAATGGAGTGTCTCAGAGATAAGTTATGGTTTTTAATT
This sequence comes from Homo sapiens, assembly GCF_000001405.40. Classification (NCBI taxonomy): domain Eukaryota; kingdom Metazoa; phylum Chordata; class Mammalia; order Primates; family Hominidae; genus Homo; species Homo sapiens. The sequence continues at coordinate 125,195,240 of NC_000010.11, read as the reverse complement.
TAATGTAAACTATTCTGTGCATAAGTATTGTGTTTTTGCCACTCTAATAATGACTGGTTGGGGTTTATGAACTATTTTTTCGATCATCTCTTTCCTCCGGTGAATACTGCTCATGAATGCTAAACCCAGTCTGGAGGTTTTCCCCACACAGAATCTAAAATGAAAGGCCCTGCCAGCCAGGCCAGCTCTGCTATCTGGTGACGCCGCGCCTCAAATGTGACACGTGCTCACACTGGAGAGGATCTCCCGGTTTTTGAGAAGTGCCCGTATTTCACCGCCCGGGTTCATTCTGCACCCAGCTGGCTCCTTCAACACTCTGATTAATGGGTTCCAGCCACTGCACCAGCACTTTAAATTAAGTTTTGTGCTCACTAAGATTAATTGCTAAGTGAAAAATATTGAAACTTTATTAATCATATAATTCATTTGAGGGGATAATCCCGGGAAAATGTAGTATGTGGTTGAAGTTAATCATCTGACTGTAATGGATGGGCAGGAAGATGGAAGGGAGCATGCTGGGCACCTCACAGCCCAACCTCCTCCGTCATTGGGGGTGCAGGCAAGCCGTGCGAACTGGCACCAACGTTTTTTGTTTTTAAGACAGTTGCTCAGGCCGGGCGCGGTGGCTCACGCCTGTAATCCCAGCACTCTGGGAGGCCGATGCGGGTGGATCACCTGAGGTCAAGAGTTTGAGACCAGCTTGGCCAATATGGCGAAACCCCGTCTCTACTAAAAATGCAAAAATTAGCCGGGCATGGTGGTGGGCGCCTGTAATCCCAGCTACTTGGGAGGCTGAGGCAGGAGAATCGCTTGAACCCAGGAGGTGGAGGTTGCAGTGAGCCGAGATCACGCCCTGCACTCCAGCCTGGGCAACAAGAGCAAGACTCTGTCTGAAAAAAAAAAAAAAAAAAAAAAGACAGTTGTTCATATGTTCATTTGCATAGTGAAGCCATCACACCATCACCAACACTTGCTTCTTGGTCCTCCCCTCTCCCAGCCCAGGCTCTGGCGAGTCCTATGATGGCCGGCCTGCTGCCCTGTTTTTATTTTATATTTTATTTTATTTTATTTTATTTATTTTATTGTGGCAGGGTATCACTCTGTCGCCCAGGCTGGAGTGCAGTGGCATGATCTCGGCTCACTGCAACCTCCACCTCCTGGGTTCAAGCGATTCTCCTGCCTCAGCCTCCCTAGTAGCTGGGATTACAGGCACCCGCTACCATGCCTGGACAATTTTTGTATTTTTAGTAGAGATGGTGTTTCACTATGTTGGTCAGGCTGGTCTCGAACTCCTGACCTCAGGTGATCCACCTGCCTCGACTTCCCAAAGAGCTGGGATTACAGGCAATGGCCACCCTGCCTGGCCTATTTTATTTATATCTCTTCTCTTGTTTATCTGTTTGCTTTTCAGAGGGGGCATTTGTTGTTTTTCTGGCCCACTGGACATCTACTCCCCTTATTTGGGTAAAACCGCCAAGTTCCCTCTAAGAAACTGTTCCCCAACTCTCAGCCCTGAGCTTCATTCAGTTAGGACTCCTGGGGGAGAGCATGTGACCCAGTGTTAGCCAATGAGACTACTGCATTCACCTGGCCACAGTAACTGGTTCAGAAATGAATACCTGACCTAATCAGGGCCGATGAGACGCAGTGAGTCCTTTCCCGGGAAGGCTGGGATGGAAGCTGGCCCTCGTCTTTAGGAAAGCTGCGAGCACGGAGGGCTGGAACTGCAGGCGCCATCATGCTAGCACAAGGGAGAGGACAGCGAGGGGCCACGGGGGAAGCACAGTGAGAAACAGGGAGAGACCGGGTCCTGGTGATGTCATTTGAGTCCTGAAGTTAGCCCTGGATGTTGGACACTGGGGTTTTGTTTTGTTTTGTTTTGTTTTGAAGTTATGTGAGCCATATATTCTGTCTTTGCTTGAGCCAGTTTGAGCAAAGTTTTTTGAACTTGAATCTTGAGTGAAGTGGCAAAAGGACGAAAAGCACCACTCGGCCAGGCTTGGTGACTAACGCCTGTAATCCCAGCATTTTGGGAGACCGAGGCGGGTGGATCACAAGGTCGGGAGTTCGAGACCAGCCTGGCCAACATGGTGAAACCCCCATCTGTACTGAAAATACAAAAATTAGCCGGGCGTGGTGGCAGGCGCCTGTAATTTTCCAGCTACTTGGGAGTCTGAGACAGGAGAATCGCTTGAACCAGGAAGTGGAGGTTGCAGCAAGCCGAGATCATGCCACTGCGCTCCAGCTTCGGCAACAGAGCGAGACTCTGTCTCAAAAAAAAAAGCACCAGTCAGAGGGCCTCCATTCTGGTAGCTTTATGACAAGGTGGTGAGTTAGTTCTTGCCATCCAGATTCCCGGGACTGCCCTCTTCCTGTCTGTTCCTAAACCTGGTTCTCATATCCAGCTTCAGTTAGCTGGTGTCAGCTTCCGTTGCTTGTAGCCAGAGCTTCCTGATGGAATGTAGAGGCTGTTATTGGACAGCGCGGCACCCAGGGTCTCAGCCACTTCATCCATCTGCAGACCTGGATCCGCGGGCATCGCTGTGGGCAGGTCTCAGAGACAGACAGTTGAAGGGAAAATCGTGTTGCAGGATGATAGCATCTGTGTACATTTTCAAAGCACACGAAACACTGTAAACTGTTTACAGATTCAAACATATGTAGTAAAATTATTAAAATGAAATGGGAAATATACACACCGAATTTGTGTCAGTGGCCACCTCTGGGGAGGGGTACAAAGGAGACTTCACCTGGATCTGCAATGTTTTATTTCCAAAAAATAGACCCAAGGCAAGTATGTGATGCTACTGTGTTGGGTGTATGGGTGTATTCTCTGTGCTGCTCTGAATTTTTGTCCTAATAAAACGTCAGATCAAACGAAGGACCTTCCTAGCTCTGAGGTGCAGGGAGTCATGGGCTGAGATCCTGGTGGGGCCCCAGGGGGACCTGGTATGGAGCACAAGGAGACCCTGGCCTGGGACAGTTCAATTTCATAGGGAATGAGGGTCAGGCCGGGATAAACCAGGAGGCAGAGAGTGTGCGCATGCGCCATTCGGGTGGCCAGAGAAAGCCCAGGTAGGCAGGGGAGAGAAAGCCGCTGATGACTGGAAGGTGGGCATGGAGGGCAGGGTGGGAAGTGCTAGGACAAGACTTGTGAAAGGCGTGATCCTGGCCTTGAAGGACAGCTAGGGGCTAGACACGTAGATCAGTTTGCAGAAGGATACACATAACCAACTGGAAGCGTACACATTATTCTCTTGTCGTCGTTATAACAAAGCATATTTTAAAAATAAAAACTAAGAAAAACTTTAAAAAATGAAAAATACTGGAAAGGATCAAGAAGAAAATGACCATCCATAATTTCATCATGCAGCTGTAAATAACCACTTTGGACATTTTAATGCAGCTCCTCCTGTCTTGGCTACAAAAGACAGATACTCTCTGAGAGTCAGGCATCAGCGTAAATACAGAGCATTTTACACAAAGTCAATGGGTTACCATTTGTGCAGTGGTTTTCCTGTTGAAAACAGGTTTGTGATCATGAAAGGTACAAAAGACAGAATAGCAAATGCTTCATAATGTTTACTGTGGCAGGCATGGTCCTAAATGCTTTATATATGCTAGCCCATTCAATCTTCACAACCCCATAAAGTATTTTGCTTTTGTGCTATGATGAATTCCCATTTTTCAGATGAGGAAACTGAGGCCCAGGGAGCCTGTCCAAGGTTACAGAGCTGATGTGTATCTCTGGATTTCAAAACTGGTAAGTCAGGTTCTTGAGTACTTTTTGGTGGTCACCTCATGATTCTGCCTCTCAAGGAGGCTGATGCCTACTGGAAACCCATTCCATGGGGCCTGAGTCCATGCTAAGTAGATTCAGACACAACCTCCTTCCATCTGCACAGCAAGGGAGATGGGCCAGCACTGCGTTCCATTCTACAGGTGAGGCGCAGAGAGGGACGTGCTCTGCCCAGGTCACCCAGCTGAAGACTTGGCTGACTTCAAGCTCCAGCCCTTTCCCTATGCCTGACCCAGGGGCCCAGGGCCACAGGCTTTCTGGGCCGGCCACAGGTTTTCTGGGCCGCCCTCCCAATGTCTGGCCAATTCCTCTGGCTCGTTACTGTCACTTGAGGAATTTCCCACGCTGAGCTAGGCAGCCAGCAGTCCCTTTCTTTCTTTTCACAGCCCTTTGGCGGAGGTTTGCTCAGGGGGTGGGGTGGACCTCTTCATTCCAGCCTTCCTTGTGCCAGCAAGTTCATCTGAGCACAACTTTGTGCATCCAACCAATGAATAATAAATTTAATAATCAAAGAATAATTAATTACACCTGAAACTTCTCACTTGGGGGTACAATTAGCCTCTGGCGCCTTTAGAATGAGTTGCTGGTGACTAATTATGCCCTCAAGGAGGCATTTGTAAGTACAATTAATTGTGTGCAAAGTTGAACCCACAAATACTTGGGAACAAAAAAATTATTCCCACAAAAAGAGTTTGTTCAAAATCCAGACCCTTACTTTATTTTTTTTAAAGATCCCTGTGGCAGGTTCCCCAGCGTGATCCAGATGTTTAAGGCCTACGTGGGGGGGCATCCTACCCCCAGCACAAGGGTCACCTGAGCACAGAGACTCTGATGCTGCGGGAACGCTCCCAGGCAGCCACACAACAGTGAGGGCATTGTCTGGTGTCTCCAGTCGTTTAGTAAGAAATCGTGGGAATGGAAAGAGCAGGAGGAATAAGTCAAGAGTTTAGGGGCAAACCTTCCTTCTTTGTTTCAAACTTCTTGGTCAAAGTTCCTCCTAAGTTGGACCCTGGTTACCAGTTCTCTTGCTCTTGCCCTCGTCTTCTGAAATGCACCTGTCTGTGCCGTTCCTGGTCAGCAGGATGGGACAGGGTGGAGGCACTGGACATGCTCTGGCCGTGTCATTCCCTTGCTCAGAGCCTTCAGTGACTCCCCAGGGCCCACAGATTTAGTCGTGATTCCTCAGGTGGTCCCCAAGGACAAATGAACTCAACTATGTCCCTCCATCTGCTCCCAAACCTAACCCTGTTACCTAACACCGTTCTCCCGGGAAACCCAAAATGATGACCAGCTGTTCTCCATTCTCATCCTATGCACACTCGCACATACACACGTACACATGTATACATACAAACACATATGTGTGTGCGTGGGTGCACACAACACACGCATGATTGTGCACACACATAAACACATATGTTCATGTATGTATATACATGTAAACCCACACGTGTGCCTATAAACACTGACACATATGCACAATACACACACATATACAAACAACATACATGCTCATACACATATACACGTACACGCTCACATGTAAACACACATATACATTCATCCATGTACACTATACACACACACATATAATAAAAACACATGATGCTCACATGCACATGTGCACTTTTGCCACCTGTCTGATTTCAGCCATTTCCCCAGACTCGACGCCAATGCTGCTGTAGCTGCATTCTTTCCTGACCACCTTCCTGCCTGAGCCAAGCTCCCTCCCTCCCCTGGGCCAGCTCTCAGGCTCGCTCTACCTGTGGCCAGCTCTGAGCCCTCTGGCTGGAAGCCCCCCAGAACAGAGTCTGTGACTGCCCTTTTTTACCCCAACAAATGCTCCAGGTGTGTTTGGAGCATGAATGAATGAGTGAAGGAGGAAGGAGTTTGGGTTTATGTGCTTGCATAAGAGTCCATCTGGAAATCTCCTTTAGAACACAGCTGTGGGGGGCTCTGAGGCGGGAGTCCCTCTCTGGAGGTGTCCCCATGAGTAAGAGCAAACAGCAATCAGAGAGCTACTAGCTCACTCCTCCCATTCAGGAAGGGAGTCCTGGCTACGCCTTGGTGCCCACTGCTCCCCCAGCAAAAGGAAATCACTGCCCTCACCCCTGAGCAGCCCTCGTCCCAGCTGGAGAGATGTCGCCAAGGAATCCAAGCTTCTAGAGCACCCGCTGTGCTGGATGCTGAGGGGACTGCCATGTTGGCCATGACGGAACTCACATTCTCGTGGCGGAGATCAAACAGGAAGCTGAGAGGGAGAAGGAGAGTTTTCAGACCAGAGGCAAACATACGGGGTTGGAGGAGGGAAGAGATGGCAGAGGATGCAGGGAGATGATGGTACTGCGGATGGCCTTGAATACCTGCACGAGGAGCTTGTCCTAAGCATGGTAGTACTGAACTGGGGAGCCACTGACGACTCTGGAAGGGGAGAGCAACACAAGCAAGAAAGACTTCAGTGCCAACAGAGCCACTGGGGCTGACTTTGCTAGCGACCAGTAGACACTTGACCTCTGCTTGTGCTCTTCTTCCTTGTCACCCAGTGAAGCCCTGTCAATGCTTCCAAATTTCACTCAGATGTCATGGTCCCTGAGAAGCCTTTGCCCTCCCAAGAAATAGTGTACCCCTCCAGGAGCAAGATGCTTCCAGCAGACATCTTAGAGCCTGGAGAGCTCCCCTGGGTCTCCTCCCCAGGCACTGGTTCTTTGGAAGGGAGAAACCTCTCTTCATTTTCTGTCTTCAGAGCCAACCAATGTTTGGTGACAGCACAGACATTCCTGATAGCAAAGGTGGAGAAGAGCTCCTTAGAGAGGGTGGCATTCTACTCCCGGCCTGCAACCCAGCTGCCAGCGAGGCACCACTGGCAACAACAATTTTGCAAAGCCTGGTGCTTTGCCTTGGTGATTTTCATATTATTTCTGGAAGATAAACCCCCTTTAGTGGCACATTCTGTGTGCTGGGTCTCTGGTTAAAGAGATTTGCGTTCCTTTCTTCGATTTTCTTCTTGGCAGTTTCTCAGTATGTTGCTCCATTGTCTTCTGGTGCTGATGTGGGGTCCCGAGGGCTGCCAATCCTCTAGAAGCCCCTGGAAACTAACAACAGAGCAGAGCCATCTGCCATGTTTCTTATTTGCAGTTTCAGGGCTTTGGGAAAGCTTTCATGAATCCCAGGTGTGGGTTCAAGTATAAAATGGTAGCAACCTGCTTAAGGAAGCCAGATACTCTGTGACATTCTGCCATTCACCAACACATAGGACACACCTTTGAGATGACAGGCCCTGGACAAGGCACTCCAAATACAGAGACGGGCAAGACCAAATCTCTACCCAGAAGTTTCCAGGCTTGAGGGGAATGGTGCTATAGGGAGGCTGGGAAGCCCCAGACAGGAAACACCTATCTCTATCCAAGGAAGCAGGCAAACTTCCAGAGGAAGTGAGCTCTGAAATGGGCTTTGAAGGATGAGTAAGAGTTCATCAGGTGGGAACCTAGGGAGAGTGGGGCTAAAGAGGGAGGAGGGGGAAGAAAGGAGGAGTTAAGGGGAGGGAAGAAAGGAGGAGTTAAGGGGAGGGAAGAAAGGGAGGAAAAGGGGAACAGCCTTCCAGATACACAGAGACAGTCCTGTGAGAATCAGGGACACCGTGCAGGTGGCACCTGGCACAGGCTAACAGTGCTCTGCAAATGTCCTTTGTTATTCAAGCCAGTTCATTCATTCATTCATGTGTTCATGCCTGCCTGCCTGCCTGCCTGCCTTCCTGCAACAGCATTTGTGGAGCACTGGCGTCATTCCAGCCTCTGGGGAAGCCCTCTGGGAGCTTGCAGTCATGCCAAAGCCTCATCACACCAGTCCATGAGCAAGTAAACCTCCTGGCTGAGCAGTGACCTCAAGGGACCAATATGCTAAGCACCCTAGAGCCACTTCCACTCAAAGACTTTAGGATCAAAATTACTGGTTCTACCGAGTGCCACCTGTGTGCGGCTCTCTGCAAGACCCTTTCATGTTGCCTGACTCATCTGATCTCCATGACAGCTCTGTGGGTTGTGCACTACGATTTTCATCAAGTAGAGAAAACTTAGGTTCAGAGAGGACATGATTGCCCAAGGCCAGTGCTGGCTCTGGAACTAGGTGTTCTCACAGCCACCCACATACTGGAGAAGGCAAGACACAGGGGGTGGGCAGGGGTGGGGGCAGAGGGAAAGAGGGATAGAGACCCACAGAGAGAGACCCTGGCTTGCAAATTTAAATGTGTCCGTTTGCTTTGCCAGCCCTCTCTGTCTTTGCCAATGACACCCAAGCTATTGGCTACTGGTCTGTAGAGCGTTCTTTCCTCAGTTGCTACCTTCTCCTTTCCTGCAAAACAGGGTGGGAAAAGGCCACAGAAAGCCTTTGCTCCTTGCACAGAAGACAGCGTGATTTGCGATGCTTCTGGCTCCAGAGTGCTGCCACATGGCGCCTGTCCCTCTTTCCCCAGAAGCCCGGAGAAGGCGGCAAGGCCAAGGTTTGCAACTCCAACAATTCACTGACCCTCAAGACCTTGGCTAGGAGTGTTAAAATCCTAACCGGGCCACGAGTGTACTCTGTTCCTTTTGAAGAATAGTGTTTTCTTCTTGGAAAACAGGCGGGATCAGAAAAGTTCACAAACCAAACCCAGCCTTCCAGAGCTTCGAGTGAGCCAGGGAGAAGACACCTCCAGAGCTCCCAGGCCCTGACAAATCCCTCGGGCGGTACCCCAGCTCCTCAGCTCCCCTCCTGGGGAGGCTCAATGCACTGGGTTATAGGGACAGAGGTTGCACTTAGGAAGGACAGTCACACCAGGCCCCAAGTATCAGCGGCAGCAGCTCACTGAGGTCCCTGGCATCCTGTGGAGATGTGAGCAGGGGTCTCATTGTCCCTTAGTTCTCAAAGACAGAGCAAATGATGCTTCCCTGTCACACGTGAGCACCATTGTATGTGGCATGCCTTTGGCCCAGGCGACACAGCGCAGATCCGTGCATCCCCCGTCTGACCCTCAACATCTCAATCGTTAGTCTGTGTGGAAAGTCCTGCCTAATTAGGAGGCTCCCCACCTCCTGTTCCATTGGCGTTTTGGGGAGAGTTTGTCATTAGAATGTTGGACCAGCACTCTATTAATTGCAAGAATTGTGATTCTTTTATGTATTTATTTATTTTTTGAGATGAGTCTCACTCTGTCACCAGGCTGGAGTGCAATGGCACAATCTCAGCTCACTGCAACCTCCACCTCCCGGGTTCAAGCGATTCTCCTGCCTCAGCCTCCGGAGTAGTTGGGATTACAGGCACATGCCACCATGCCCAGCTAATTTTTGTATTTTTAGTAGAGATGGAGTTTCACGATGTTGGCCAGGATGGTCTTGATCTCTTGACCTCATGATCCACCTGCCTTGGCCTCCCAAAGTGCTGGGATTACAGGCATGAGCCACCACACCCAGCCAAGAAATGTGATTCTTAGATTGAGTTAATAGCTAGTATCTGTATGCAATGTTCCCCAAAGATATTGTACATTACAGTAAATAAACCCCCATCTGAATTCAGAGACATAGCCATAGGTGACCATAATTATATTTAGGGAAGCCACAGTTCTCTAGGCTCCCTTCTCCAACACCCTCCCAACATATATTTCAGAACTAATCTGGCTTCCATGATGGGTAAGCTGCCATGATTATTTCCCATTCTTTCATGAAAACGGACTAAACTATCAAATTTACTGGTCAAGATCCTTGCCATTATGCTTTGCTAAAAATGTCTTGGTACAAAAAGTCAGGCACTGCAAATGGTTGTCATTGGTCTTGAGAAGAATCATCACACATTGATTGTGGGAGTGAGGATTATTGATCTAAGCTGTTAGAAAGTGTTTTGGTAAAATGAGTGAAGAACCTTAAAAATGTCTAAACTTGGTTTTTCATGAAGTATATCTCCATACCATGGCATGCTGTGCAGCCAAATAAAAAGATCTGGTCCTCTATTAAATTATTAGGAAGACACTCATGATACGTTAAGGGAAGTAAGTTAGAAGTGAGTGTGTGTGTGTGTGTGTGTGTGTGTGTGTGTGTGTGTGTGTGTGTGTAAGCATATAGGAAAAAGTCTGGAAGGAAAAATGTTAGCAGTAGTTATATGTAGTGAATGTGCCCGGTAATTTTCTTTTTCTTACCTAAATTATTTACATTGAGTAAGTATTTCTTTTATAATTGGGGGCAAATCTATTTTATCTGGAAAAAAAGAAGAGAAAAATATAGCCTTAGCAACATGAAATAAAATTTGATCAAAAAGAATCCCAAAACAAAACACTAAAAAATGTGCATGCTTTTTCCGTTCCAAGATGGCAGAATAGAAACAACTCCGGTCTGCAGCTCCCAGCGTGATCAACGCAGAAGACAGGTGATTTGTGCATTTCCAACTGAGGTACCTGGTTCATCTCACTGGGACTGGTTGGACAGTGGGTGCAGCCCACTGAGGGTGAGCTGAAGCAGGGCGGGGCATCAGCTCACCTGGGAAGCACAAGGGGTTGGGGGATTTCCCTTTCCTAACCAAGGGAAGCCATGACAGACTGTACGTGGAAAAATGGGACACTCCCGCCCAAATACTGTACTTTTCCCAAGGTCTTAGCAACCAGCAGACAAGCAGATTCTCTCCCGTGCCTGGCTCGGTGGGTCCTACACCCACAGAGCCTTGCTCACTGCTAGCACAGCAGTCTGACATCGAACTGTGAGGCAGCAGCCTGGGTTGGGAAGGGGCATCCACCATTGCTGAGGCTTGAGTAGGTAAACAAACTGGCCAGGAAGTTCGAACTGGGCAGAGCCTACTACAGCTCAGCAAGGCCTCTGCCTCTATAGACTCCACCTCTGTGAGCAGTCTGTAGCTGAACAAAGGGCAGCAGACAGCTTCTGCAGACTTAAACGTCCCTGTCTGACAGCTCTGAAGAGAGCAGTGGTTCTCCCAGCATGGTGTTTGAGCTCTGAGAACAGACAGACTGCCTCCTCAAGTGGGTCCCTGACCCTCGTGTAGCCTAACTGGGAGACACCTTCCAGTAGGGTCCAACAGACACCTCATATAGGCGGGTGCCCCTCTGGAACTAAGCTTCCAGAAGGAGTATCAGGCAGTAATATTTGCTGTTCTGCAATATTTGCTGTTCTACAGCCTCCGCGGGTGATACCCAGGCAAACAGCGTCTGGAGTGGGCCTACAACAAACTCCAACAGACCTGCAGCTGAGGGACCTGACTGTTAGAAGGAAAACTAACAAATAAAAAGGAATAGCATCAACATCACTAAAAAGGACATCTACACCAAAACCCCATCTGTAGGTCACCAACATCAAAGACCAAAGGTAGATAAAACCACAAAGATGGGGAGAAACCAGAATAGAAAAGCGGAAAAGTCTAAAAACCAGAGCACCTCTTCTCCTCCAAAGGATCACAGCTCCTCGCCAGCAATGGAACAAAGCTGGATGGAGAATGACTTTGACGAGTTGACAGAAGTAGGCTTCAGAAGGTCAGTAATAACAAACTTCTCCAAGCTGAAGGAGCATGTTCAAACCCATCGCAAGGAAGCTAAAAACCTTGAAAAAAGGTTAGACGAATGGCTAACTAGAATAAGCAGTGTAGAGAAGACCTTAAAAGACCTGATGGAGCTGAAAACCATGGCATGAGAACTTTGTGACACATGCACAAGCTTCAATAGCCAATTTGATCATCAAGTGGAAGAAAGGGTATCAGTGATTGAAGATCAAATTAATGAAATAAAGCAAGAAGATAAGGTTAGAGAAAAAAGAGTAAAAAGAAATGAACAAAGCCTCCCAGAAATATGGGACTATGTGAAAAGACCAAATCTATGTTTGATAGGTGTACCTGAAAGTGATGGGGAGAATGGAACCAAGTTAGAAAACACTCTTCAGAATATTAACCAGGAGAACTTCCCCAACCTAGCAAGGCAGGCCAACATTCAAATTCAGGAAATACAGAGAACATCACAAAGATACTCCTCAAAAAGAGCAATCCCAAGACACATAATTGTGAGATTCACCAAGGTTGAAATGAAGGAAAAAATGTTAAGGGCAGCCAGAGAGAAAGGTCAGGTTACCCACAAAGGGAAGCCCATCAGACTAACAGCAGACCTCTTGGCAGAAACCCTACAAGCCAGAAGAGAGTGGAGGCCAATACTCAACATTCTTAAAGAAAAGAATTTTCAACCCAGAATTTCATATCCAGCCAAACTAAGCTTCATAAGTGAAGGAGAAATAAAATCCTTTATAGGCAAGCAAATGCTGAGAGAGTTTGTCACCACCAGGCCTGCCTTACAAGAGCTCCTGAAGGAAGCACTAAACATGGAAAGAATCAACCGGTACCAGTCACTGCAAGAACATGCCAAATTGTAAAGACCATCAATGCTGTGAAGAAACTGCATAAATTAACAGGCAAAATACCCAGCTAGCATCACAATGACAGGATCAAATTCACACATAACAATATTAACCTTAAATGTAAACGGGCTAAATGCCCCAATTAAAAGGCACAGACTGGCAAATTGGATAAAGAGTCAAGACCCATCAGTGTGCTATATTCAGGAGACCCATCTTGCTTGCAGAGACACACATAGGCTCAAAATAAAGGGATGGAGGAAGATCTACCAAGCAAATGCAAAGCAAAAAAAAGCAGGGGTTGCAATCCTAGTCTCTGATAAAATAGACTTTAAACCAACAAAGATCAGAAGAGACAAAGGAGGCCATTACATAATGGTAAAGGGATCAATTCAACAAGAAGAGCTAACTAGCCTAAATATATATGCACCCAATATAGGAGCACCCAGATTCATACAGCAAGTCCTTAGAGACCTACAAAGAGACTTAGACTCCCACACAATAATAATGGGAGACTTTAACACCCCACTATCAACATTAGACAGATCAACGAGACAGAAGGTTAACAAGGATATCCAGGACTTGAACTCATCTCTGCACCAAGCAGACCTAATAGACATCTACAGAACTCTCCACCCCAAATCAACAGAATATAAATTCTTCTCAGCACCACATCGCACTTATTCTAAAATTGACCACATAATTGGAAGTAAAGCACTCCTCAGCAAATGTAAAAGAACAGAAATCACAACAAACTGTCTCTCAGACCACAGTGCTATCAAATTAGAACTCAGGATGAAGAAACTCACTCAAAACCACACAACTACATGGAAACTGAACAACCTGCTCCTGAATGACTACTGGCTACATAACGAAATGAAGGCAGAAATAAAGATGTTCTTTGAAACCAATGAGAACAAAGACACAAAGTACCAGAATCTCTGGGACACATTTAAAGCAGTGTGTAGAGGGAAATTTATAGCACTAAATGCCCACAAGAGAAAGCAGGAAAGATCTAAAATCGACACCCTAACATCACAATTAAAAGAACTAGAGAAGCAAGAGCAAACAAATTCAAAAGCTAGCAGAAGGCAAGAAATAACTAAGATCAGAGCAGAACTGAAAGAGATAGAGACACAAAAAAATACTTCAAAAAAATCAGTGATTCCAGGAGCTGGTTTTTTGAAAAGGTGAACAAAATTGATAGACCTCTAGCAAGACTAATAAAGATGAAAAGAGAGAAGAATCAAATAGACGCAATAAAAAATGATCAAGGGGATATCACCACTGATCCCACAGAAATACAAACTACCATCAGAGAATACTATAAACACCTCTACCCAAATAAACTAGAAAAACTAGAAGAAATGGATAAATTCCTGGACACATACACCCTCCCAAGACTAAACCAGGAAGAAGTTGAATCTCTGAATAGACCAATAACAGGCTCTGAAATTGAGGCAATAATTAATACCTACCAACCAAAAAAAGTCCAGGACCAGACAGATTCACAGTCAATTCTACCAGAGGTTCAAAGAGGAGCTGGTACCATTCCTTCTGAAACTATGCCAATCAACAGAAAAAGAGGGAATCCTCCCCAACTCATTTTATGAGGCCAGCATCATCCTGATACCAAAGCCTAGCAGAGACACAACAAAAAAAGAGAATTTTAGACCAATATCCCTGATGAACATCGATGCAAAAATCCTCAATAAAATACTGGCAAACTGAATCCAGCAGCACATCAAAAAGCTTATCCACCACGATCAAGTCAGCTTCATCCTTGGGATGCAAGGCTGGTTCAACATATGCAAATCAATAAACATAATCCATCACATAAACAGAACCAATGACAAAAACCACATGATTATCTCAATAGATGCAGAAAAGGCCTTTGACAAAATTCAACAGCCCTTCATACTAAAAACTCTCAATAAACTAGGTATTGATGGAACATATCTCAAAATAATAAGAGCTATTTATGACAAACCTACAGCCAATATCGTACTGAATGGGCAAAAACTGGAAGCATTCCCTTTGAAAACTGGCACAAGACAAGGATTCCCTCTCTCACCACTCCAGGGCAATCAGGCAAGAGAAAGAAATAAAGGGTATTCAATTAGGAAATGAGGAAGTAAAATTATCCCTGTTTGCAGATGACACGATTGTATATTTAGAAAACCCCATCGTCTCAGCCCAAAATCTCCTTAAACTGGTGAGACTTCAGCAAAGTCTCAGGATACAAAATCAATGTGCAAAAGTCACAAGCATTCCTATACACCAATAACAGACAAACAGAGAGCCAAATCATGAGTGAACTCCCATTCACAATTGCTACAAAGAGAATAAAATACCTAGGAATCCAACTTACAAGGGATGTGAAGGAACTCTTCAAGGAGAACTACAAACCACTGCTCAACAAAATAAAAGAGGATACAAACAAATGGAAGAACATTCCATGCTCATGGATAGGAAGAATCAATATAGTGAAAATGGCCATACTGCCCACGGTAATTTATATATTCAATGCCATCCCCATCAAGCTACCAATGACTTTCTTCACAGAATTGGAAAAAACTACTTTAAAGTTCATATGGAACCAAAAAAGAGCCCGCATTGCCAAGACAATCCTAAGCCAAAAGAACAAAGCTAGAGGCATCACATTACCTGACTTCAAACTATACTACAAGGCTACAGTAACCAAAACAGTATGGTACTGGTACCAAAAGAGATATATAGATCAATGGAACAGAACAGAGGCCTCAGAAATAACATCATACATCTACAACCATATGATCTTTGACAAACCTTACAAAAACAAGAAATGGGGAAAGGATTCCCTTTTTATAAATGGTGCTGGGAAAACTGGCTAGCCATATGTAGAAAGCTAAAACTGGATCCCTTCCTTACACCTTATACAAAAATTAATTCAAGATGGATTAAAGACTTAAATGTTAGACCTAAAACCATAAAAACCCTAGAAGAAAACCTAGGCAATACAATTCAGGACATAGGCATGGGCAAGGACTTCATGACTAAAACACCAAAAGCAATGGCAACAAAAGCCAAAATAGACAAATGGGATCTAATTAAACTAAAGAGCTTCTGCACAGCAAAAGAAACTACCATCAGAGTGAACAGGTAACCTACAGAATGGGGGAAAATTTTTGCAATCTACCTATCTGACAAAGGGCTAATATCTAGAATCTACAAAGAACTCAAACAAATTTACAAGAAAAAAATGAACAACCCCATCAAAAAGTGGGCAAAGGATATGAACAGACACTTCTCAAAAGAAGACATTTATGCAGCCAACAGACACATGAAAAAATGTTCATCATCACTGGCCATCAGAGAAATGCAAATCAAAACCACAGTGAGATACCATCTCACGCCAGTTAGAATGGTGATTATTAAAAAGTCAGGAAACAACAGATGCTGGAGAGGATGTGGAGAAATAGGAATGCTTTTACACTGTTGCTGGGAGTGTAGACTAGTTCAACCATTGTGGAAGACAGTGTGGCGATTCCTCAAGGATCTAGAACTAGAAATACCATTTGACCCAGCCATCCCATTACTGGGTATATACCCAAAGGATTATAAATCATGCTGCTATAAAGACACATGCACATGTATGTTTATTGAGTCACTATTCACAATAGCAAAGACTTGGAACCAACGCAAATGTCCATCAATGATAGACTGGATTAAGAAAATGTGGCACATGGAATACTATGCAGCCATAAAAAAGGATGAGCTCATGTCCTTTGCAGGGACATGGATGAAGCTGGAAACCATCATTCTGAGCAAACTATTGCAAGGACAGAAAACCAAACACCGCATGTTCTCACTCATAGGTGGGAATTGAACAATGAGAACACTTGGACACAGGGTGGGGAACATCACACACCGGGGCCTGTCATGGGGTGGGGGGCTGGGGGAGGGATAGCATTAGGAGATATACCTAATGTAAATGATGAGTTGATGGGTGCAGCAAACCAACATGGTAGATATATAGCTATGTATCAAACCTGCACGTTGTGCACATGTACCCTAGAACTTAAAGTATAATTTAAAAAAATTAAAAAAAAAATGTGTATGCCTTTGACCTAGTGGTTTCACTTGGAATCAGTCCTAAGGAAACAATCTGAAAGGCAAACAAAGTTTAATGGCACAAAAATATGAATTGCAGCAGTATTAATATTAATAAACTTGCCAACAACCTCAATGGCCAACCAAAGGGATCATGTATGGCCCAGCCACAGGATTGGATATTGTATGCCATTTTGGAGGTTTTTGAAGAATTTCTATTAACGTGAAAAATATGCCTATGTCATAATACTCAATGAAAAGCGAGATAAAAATACTCAAATTTGCCTTAAGAATGGAGACCCATTTAAAAAATCACACAATCAACTTGATGAAGCAAATTAAATCCCTAGACAGTTGAAAACAGACCCCTCAGTGTCCAAGATTCCTTTCAAAATGACTGCAGCAAATTCTGCCAGAGCCTGAAGTTCCTGCCATGTCTTTAATGGGCTCACAACTGTTGGTTCCATTATAGGCGAAGCTGGGTGTGACTGCGTGTTTGTGCAGTGAACAAACTCCCCTTCCAGCATGTCCACAATGCAGTTGTCAGCGGATAATACAAAAAGCTTCCTCCGTGCCCTTGGGCAGCGCTCCAAATCCCAAACACCTCTTTGTCAAAACAGCAACATCATCCTGCATTCTTTGCTACTGAATGAAGTTTAGATGCTGAAAATGGACAGTTGAACCCAATTGTACGAGAGTCCCCCCACCCAATTACGTTGCCCTCTTCAGTCTGAGACACCAGGCACATTCTCTCAGGGTTGGGGGGAGTTCCTCTCCCTGGTCCCCGATCCCCAGAGGGCAGACTTTCCAGGCCTCTGCCTGCTCCAGCTCTCACATCACCTCCCATGCCTCTGCGCGTGGGGTGGCACCATCCAACACCCTGGAACTTATGGACAGCTCCAAACACGAAGGCTTTCTAGGCCTGTGTGGTTGGCAGGTGCTTTTCCTATTTACTGCCTTTTATACTTTGGCCCTGAAAAGACATCTGGTGGGTTTGGCTTTGGCTTTGAAAAGAATTTGACAGTGACTGCACCTTGCTTTTACTTCATTCTTCTTTTTTGTTCGTAAAAGTGATACATACTTTTAAAAGTCTGTAAGGTAGAAAATGGAAGCCATTTCTCAACTCTCCCAATCTCACCTCCCAGAGCATGATGTAGTCCTTTCAGGAATTCATTCCTATTCTTTTTTGAAAAATTGCTTAATTCTGATTGCAGAAGTGGTACACGTTTGTCTTAGATAATAGAGACACACAAAAATACATAAAAGTCAGCTCTAATCCTTATGCCCAAAGGTGTCCCCTTGTTCATGTAGTATCTTGATATCTATTTTCTAGCGTTTGTTCTATGCATACATGCCTGAATTATTGCAAAATTAGAATCACAGTATAATTCTAAGTTCTAAAGTGTCTTTTTTTTTTTTTTTTTAGTCAGAGTCTCGCTCTGTTGCCAGGCTGGAGTGCAGTGGTGCAATCTTGGCTTACTGCAATCTCTGCCTCCCGGGTTCAAGCCATTCTCCTGACTCAGCCTCCCAAGTAGCTGGGATTACAGGCGCACCACCACACCCAGCTAATTTTTGTATTTTTAGTAGAGACGGAGTTTCACTATGTTGGCCAGAATGGTCTCGATCTCCTGTCCTCGTGATCCGCCCGCCTTGGCCTCCCAAAGTGCTGGGATTATAGGCGTGAACCACCACGCCCGGCCTAAAGTGTCTTTTTAACATAATAGTATGTCATGACCATATTACAATGCCATTAAATATTCTTTTTTAACAGGTGTATTGACAAATAATTGATATAGAGAACAACTGCGCGGTACTTAATGTACACAATTGGGTGAGTCTGGACATACACATACACCCGTGATACTTTCACCACAATCAAGGTAATAAACATATCCATCATCTCCAAAAATCTCATCCTTTTTTTTGTTTTGTTTTTTGGTGTTTTTTGTTTGGTTGGTTTTGGTGATAAGAATACTTAACATGAGATCTTTCCCCCCTTAGCAAATTTGTAAGTGCATGTATTGTTAATTATAAAAATATGAGTGCTATGTTGTACAGCAGGTCTCTAGAACCTATTCGCCTTGTATAACTGTAACTTTATACCCATTGAACAGCTCGTTTCTCCCTACCCCATCTCCTTGCAATTACCATTCTATTTGCTGCTTATATCAGTTCAACTATTTTAGATACCTTATGTAAGTGGAATCATGCAGTATTTGTCCTTCTGTGGCTGACTTATTTCACTTAGCATAATGTCTTCCAGGTCCATCCATGTTGTTGCAAATGATACAATTTCCTTCTTTTTTAAAGCTGCATACTATTCCATTGTATGTATATACCACGTTTTCTTTATTCATTTGTCAATGGACATTAAGGTTGTTTCCACCTCTTGGCTATTGTGCATAATGCTGCAGTGAACATGGATGTGCAAATATCTCTTTGAGAGTCTGCTTTGAATTATTGTAGATATACGCCCAGAAGCAGGATTGCCGGATCATAAGGTAGTTCTATTTTTAATTTTTTGAGGAACCTCCATACTGGTTCCATAGCAACTGCGCCATCTTACATTCTCACCAACGGTGCATAAGGGCTCCAATTTCTCTGCATTCCTCAGCAATACTTGTTTTCTGTTCTTTTGACAGCAGCCATGCTAATGGGTGTGATGCGATATCTCATTGTGATTTAATTTCCATTTCTCTAATCGTCAGTGATGTTGAGCATCTTTTCAGATAGTCCTTGGCCATTTTTGAGACTTTTAACACATATTGCCAAACCTTCCTCCAGAAATATTGGGCCAGTTGAAATTCCCACCAAGAATGTGAGGACGATTCTCCTTGCTTCTAGTCAACATCGTGTGTCTGTCAAGTTTTTAACTTTCTGCAAATAATGTCGATGAAATATTAAGCAAGCTGTTCACATTTGCCTTGTAACAGTAGCAGCTGGACACTATCTTTGAAGATAAAATGTCTCTGAGCCGGACGTTGCTGACCTCAATTTTCTTCTATGACCAGCGACACTGGAATCCTAGTCTTTGTTTTGGAGAGCTTTCAGTATCCCTTTCCTGTTTTAAACACTTGTATTGCTCCTGAGTTTTATCATTAAGATTTAAACGGCCGTTGAATTTGGGGCATTTTGGGCATTCACATCAAAGATTGCTCCAGAAAGAAGCCCTTGGGTTTGAGTGACAGGCTTAAGAAAACCTTGCCTTGTTATTCATGGGTCTCTACTATGGGGTCCATTGTCTTACGCTGCTGTTCTTGCCAATTCTTCCATAATACAGTAAAAATCAAAGCCTTAAGTAATAGGAGGTTATTTGCAAATGTTATTCTTTTTTTTTTTTTAGTAGCGCGATTCCTTGTTAACAAATGGAATATATTGAAAACTCTTTTGAGAATCCTCATGAGTAGGCAGAGGCTGGACAGTCTGTTCCCAGCCACCAGTGGTGACAAGGTGAAAGCCAGAAAATGGCTCTGTGTCAGCTACTAATGTTTCTCCCAAGGAGCCTCTTTTTAAAATTAGGGTTTCACACATTTCCCAAGTGTGTGTTCATGTGAGCTGAAAAGTTATGACCGCTTTTCAGTCCAGCAATTCACTAGGCATTTCCTCCATGTTCACTTCATGGATGAAGTGAATGCAGCCACTTTCAAAGTGTAGCTGAGGACCAGACTTCCCTGACAGGTGTTTCCAGAAGCAGCAGGTTTGGAGCCGGCAAGATCCCCTGGGATTCTTAAAACCATCTAACGACTTGGTAAAAGGCAAGAGCCATAAGAAAGAGCCACAGCCCAAATGTCATGTTATCAGCAAACCAATCATGTAATTATTTCTGCCCTCGCTCATCATGAAAATGTATGTGAACCACAGCCCAGCGTTGTGGCATGTTCCTGTCATCCCAGCTACTCAGGAGGCTGAGGCAGGAGGACTGCTTGAGTCCAGGAATTTGAGGCTAGAGTGAGCTATGATTGCACCTGTGAATATTGCCACTGTATTCCAGCCTGGGCAACAGGCTCTTGTTGTTGTTTTGTTTTGTTTTGTTTTTGTTTTTTTTGTTTTGAGACAAGGTCTCACCCTATAACCCAGGCTGGAGTGCAGTGGTACTATCTTGGCTCATTGCAACCTCCACCTCCTGGGTTCAAGCAATTCTCCACCTCAGCCTCCCAAATAGCTGTGATTAACAGGCACCCACCACTGTGGCCGGCTAATTTTTGTATTTTTAGTAGAGAGGGGGTTTTGCCATGTTGGCCAGGCTGGTCTCAATATCCTTTTTCATAAAAAAAAGCATGGACAGGGGGTAGCATGACCTTTGGTGGAAAGACACAGGCAGCCCCAGGCAACCTGGTGGGGATGGTGGGAGGAGGGAGAGAAGGCGGGGAGACAGGGAAATCAAAACACTGACCTCCGCTTCCTCCTTCTTTCTAATCCACTGTGGTTCCCCATTGTCCAGACCCAACTGAAAGCCAGTGGGTGAGCGGTTGGTGTTGTCTACACAGTTCAGCCTTCCAGGACAGAGAGTAGAGTGGGAAACGACGTAGGGTAGATCTGGAGGACAAATGAAGACGTCTGGCACGTCAGAGTAAACGGAAAATAAGAATGTGTAAATGCAGTGAAGCCGGGGATTAGTGACAGCATGTAAAATGTGTTCTATAAGGTATTCTGCAGCTGCTAGAGTGAGTTCAGATTTGGGGTATGTGCTTCCTACCAATTAGCACAGAGAGGGAAATCTGCTTGGAAGCAGATCCGTGGTGTCCATTAGGTAAAAGGAAGCTCAGGAGGAGACCCGCTGCTGAAGGAGGAGGCATGCTCTATGTGGAACTTGTTTCAGTCATGCTGTGGGACAGCAAAAGGAAATTGGTTAAAGAATTGGCTGCTATTCTCTGCCAGCTCAGGATTTATAAAGCTTCCCTCCCTATACTCACCTGGTGGATTGCTGCTGTCTTTAAAAGTTCTCTTGAGGCCGAGCACAATGGCTCACGCCTATAACCCCAGCACTTTGGGAAGCTAAACTGGGAGGCTTGCTTGAGCCCAGGAGTTCAAGGCCAACCTGGTCAACATAGCAAGACCTTGACTCCCTTAAAAAAATTTTTTTTTTAGTTTTAGTTTGTTTTTGCTTATGTTTTTTAAAATATAGAGATGAGGTCTTTCTATGTTGCCCAGGCTGGTCTTGAACTCCTGGGCTCAAGCAATCCCTCCACCTCGGCCTCCCAAAGTACTGGGATTACAGGCATGAGCCACAATGACCGGCCAAAAAAATTCTTTTTTTAATTAGTCAGAAGTGGTGGCACACACCTGTAGTCCCATCGACTTGGGAGGCTGAGGCAGATGATCTCTTGTGTCCAGAAGTTTGAGGTAACAGAGCCTGGGCAACAGAGCAAGACCTTGCCTCTTAAAAAATAATAATAATAATGCCGAGCACTGTGGCTCACACCTGTAATCCCAGCACTTTGGGAGGCCGAGGCAGGCAGATCACAAGGTCAAGAGTTTGAGACTAGCCTGGTCAATACGGTGAAACCCTGTCTCTACTAAAAAATACAAAAATTAGCCGGGTGTGGTGGCAGGCACCTGTAGTCCCAGCTACTCAGGAGGCTGAAGCAGGAGAATTGCTGGAACCCAGGAGGCAGAGGGTGCAGTAAGCTGAGATCACGCCACTGCACTCCAGCCTGGGAGACAGAGAGAGACTCCATCTCAAAAAAAAAAAATATTGCCAGGCATGTAATCCCAGCACTTTGGGAGGTCAAGGCGGGTGGATCACCTGAGGTCAGGAGTTCGAGACCAGTCTGGCCAACATGGTGAAACCCCATTTCTACTAAAATAAAAAAGTTAGCCGGGTGTGGTGGCGGGCACCTGTAATCCCAGCTACTCAGGAGGCTGAGGCAGGAGAATCACTTGAACCCGGGAGGCAGAGGTTGCAGTGAGCCGAGATTGCAACACTGCACTCCAGCCTGGGAAAAAAAAAATTATCTTGATTCTCGATATGGCAAAATCACTGAATGCACAGGAAGATGGCTCAGTCCTGGGGTCAGACCCCTGCTGTAACTGTTAATTCCCTGTGACCTATTGGAATGGACTCAATCACCCTATGCCTTAGTTTCTCAGTCTGTAAAATGGGTATCATGGCCGGATGCAGTGGCTCACGCCTGTAATCCCAGTACTTTGGGAGGCTGGAGCGGGCGGATCACCTGACGTCAGGAGTTCGAGACCAGCCTGGCCAACGTGGTGAAACCCTGTGTCTATTAAAAGTACAAAAATTAGCCAGGTGTGGTGGCATACACCTGTATTTGCAGCTACTCAGGAGGCGAGGTAGGAGAATTGCTCGAACCCAGGAGGCAGAGGTTGCGGTGACCCGAGATTATGCCATTGCACTACAGCCAGGGTGACAGAGTGAGAGTCCATCTCAAAAAAAAAAAAAAAAAAAAAAGGAATCATTAGGCCGGATGAGGTGACTCCCACCTGTAATCCTAGCACTTTGGGAGGCCAAGGCAGGCAGATTACCTGAGGTCGGGAGTTTGAGACCAGCCTGGTCAATGTGGTGAAACCCCATCTCTACTAAAAATACAAAAATTAGCTGGGCGTGGTGGTGGGTGCCTGTAATCCCAGCTACTCGGGAGACTGAGGCAGGCGAATTGCTTGAACATGGGAGGCAGAAGTTGCAGTGAGCTAAGATCCTGCCATTGCACGCCAGCCTGGGCAACAGAGCAAGACTCCATCTCAAAAAAAAGCGGGGGCGGAATTATTAAAATCCATACCTCATATGATTGTTGTGAAGATGAATTGAAATTATACGTGGCAAGGGCTGGAGCAGTTCCTGGTGCATGGTGCTTACTAAAGGTCTACACTGACTGCGATGATGACGTAAGAATTGAGAAGCCCTTTGGCATGATCTCATTATATTTGCTCATTTTTAGAGGAAGAAAAGGAGGCCCAGAGAGGGGTGTGACCTATCCCAAACCACATGGTCAGAAAAAAGGCACAGTCAAGAAAAGAACCCAGCTTCCAGTCTGAACACACAACAGAGCTTCTCAGCAGTGGCACTCATGTTTGTATTTTGCCTAGAAAGTTCCCTGGGCAGCCCCATTGGATTGCAGACACAGGAGGAGCGACGACCTCAGAAGCTGGTTCGTGCTATGCGTGCAGTGGCCATTCAGTAAATGCTCTTGAGTGAATTTGTAAAACTTAGATACCATTGCCTGGCAGACCAGGAGCTCTTTGAGGGCAAAGCCTGTGCCTGATTCTTCTTTGTTTCTCTAGTGCCTGGCATAGGAGACTGGCATAAATTAAGTGCTTAATAAATATTTTATATGTATTAATAATTAACATCTGAGGCTACTTATAAATAACTCTGTGGGGAAAGCCCAGTTGGGATTATGGCTTATATCAGACGTTAAATTCTCAGCACACTTACAAACAGCTATGTCAAAACATGGCTGCAATCCACCCAAGACGTTCTTTATAATGACATAATAGTGTAAATGCCATTTAGGGTGACATGTGAACTGATCCCAGAGGTACAAATTATCCTTTGCTCATTCTGCCAGTTTATCCAAGGAAAATCAAGCCCTGGTTGTTACGCATTTTATTTTAAATAAATTCCACTTTCCATCTGCAGTGGGTGAAATTGTGTTCTCCCAAATCATATGTCAAGTCCTAATCCCTGGTACCTGTGAATGTGACCTTATTTGGAAATAGGGTCTTTGCAGATGTCATCAAGTTAAGATGTCCAGTGACTAATATCCTTCCAAGGGGAGGAAACAGATGTAGACACAGACACAGAGGGAGAAAATCACCCGAGGACAAAGGAGAGGCTGGGAATAACCAGGACGGACGGCAACCATCAGAAGTTTGGTAGAGACCAGAGAGGGGCCTCCCCACTGAAGCCTTTCAAGAGAGCATGGCCCTGCTGACACCTTGATTTCAGATTTCTGGCTTCCAGAATTCTCTCTAGAGAGAATAAATTTCTGTCTTTTTTTTTTTTTGTGACAGAGTCTCTCTCTGTCGCCCAGGCCGGAGGGCAGTGGCGCAATCTCGGCTCACTGCAGCCTCCGCCTCCCGGGTTCAAGCAATTCTCCTGCCTCAGCCTCCTGAGTAGCTGGGACTATGGGAGCACACCACCACGCCCAGCTAATTTTTGTATTTTTAGTAGAGACGGGGTTTCACCATGTTGGCTAGGATGCTCTCAATCTCCTGACCTCGTGATCCCCCCCCTCAGCCTCCCAAAGTGCTGAGATTACAGGTGTGAGCCACCACACCTGGCCAATATTTCTGTCGTTTTTAAGCTACCCAGTTTGTGGTGATTTGTTATGGCAGCCCCAGAAAATGAATACACTGTCCCTGTCATACTTGATCTTGCATTTCACGTCCATTTCTGCTGCAGGGAAAACTCTGGATAGGTGAGATGGGAAGTTACACCAACACCGGCAACCACATACGGGGCTCCTGCCATGTGCCAGGCTCTGAATCGGATGTTTACATAATTTATCTCATTGGCTCCTGTCAATAATCCTATGAGCTAAGGCTCACTATATCCTAAGGTTCACTGATTTGTCCAGCACATATTCATCGAACACCCACCACTGTGACTGTCTTAGCATGGAATCCCCCCAAAGCAGAAGCAGACAAGGAACATCTTGGGTGCAGGTGGTTTATGTAGGAGGCGATCCCAGGAAGCAGGAGTGGTGGGTATAGGCAGGTGACTGTGAGCATCTAGGGCTTTGTTATGCTGGGAGCTCTGAGAAGTGTCCAGAATACATCCCAGAACTGTCTTTCCAAAGAGCAGGAGCCCACGGCATTTACCCACCAGCTCCTGCCCCCACCAATGACATCTGCTTGTGGGGTTCCCCACCACCACCTATCTCCCCACACTTCGGGACTCTATTTCAGTGCAGTGTTGGAGAAGGCTCAGGAGCAGAATGCGGAAAGTTGTGCTGCCCGTGCTGAAGGTGTTTGCTGTTGGTAGGAGGGGAGTCTGAGCTTGCACCCGACCATTCACCACATCTGCTGCTAAAATCAGAGATGGGTCAGAGAGATTTGGTGGGGATGGGACTGGCTACATGATCCTCAGGGCCCAGTGCAAAATGAAAACGCAGGGAGGGCCTCTTGTGCAAAATTATTAAGAATTTCAAGATGTCAGCTGCAGAGCTGAAGAGCACAGGGCTCTTCTAAGGGTAGGGTCCTGTGCAGCTGCACAGATTGCAACTCACAAAGCCCTGGGTGTGAGCTCAGGGGCGTCTGCTCTAAGCACGTTCCATGTGCCAAGCATCATGTGGAATGCTTTACACACAAAATAAATGGTAGTTATTTGTACCGTGCCTTATAACAATCACACTAATTAGTCCACTTCAGGGGGAATGAATTTAGACAAATGCATATTACTTCCTCGCTGAGGAGTCCCTAAATCCATACTCGGACTACCACTCCACAGCTGAGAACTACCTAGAGCCTAAACCAGACAACTTTCAATCTTGCGCAAAGAAGTTTAGCCAGATTTGAGTGCTGCATAAACACGTTGTTATGGTTTTCCTGATTACCATCTCTAACAGCAGAGCCGCACAAATCTCTGGCTTGGCTGATACTTAACATGAACACAGGTTCCCCTGCCTTACTCAGTATAATTCTGCCAAAATGCCAGATATGTTATAATTATTTTCTTTCATCAAGAAACCATTCATATGAAATTTGAAAATGATTTGTCGGATCGCTGGGCATACACTTTTATAGCTTTAAGAACAGTAATTTCTACAGTCCCAGAGAACTGCAGACCTGTCCCCGATCCAGGTCCCTGGTACTTGAATTACTTGGCTCTAAGATGGGCCCACCCACAAGTTCCAAAGACAAGCAGGAAGATGGCCCAATGCTTGCTAAGGGAGGCCAGCAGACCCTGTGAAAACCAAATGCTGCATGTGAACCTGAATTGGATACTGGGCTGAGAAAGAAATCCACAAAAGACATTTTGGGACAATTGGGGATGTTTGAATATGGTCCGAGGATTAGCCAGAGGCTCTGCAGACTATCTATAATGAAGGAACAGTTTTTGTTTTTGTTTTCTAGTGTGTCTCAGAGTGATGCTTTTGTAAAACATAAGAATAGTGACTTATTAGGAAGAAGTGGAAAAATACAAAAAATGCCAGCCCAGATTTTTTATTATTAGATTTAACAGATCTAAAAGTACTCTGTCAGATTGCTATAAAAGTTTCTAAAAGCTTGCTCTCAGTTTTAGAATTCAGCTTGTTGTTGACCTGCAAAAATAGTCCACAGGTTGGCCGCAGTATGCTGACCACGCACTGAACATTACTGAATTTACAACCCTGGCATTAATACATATTGTTAATTTTCATAGTCGTGGCTAAAGATATTAGAGTTTTGTAAAAGGTCTTTCTTCTTAAGAGACAAAAATGCTGAAGTGTTAAGGAGTGAAACACCAAGATGTCTGCAACTTACCTTTAGATGGTTCAGGGAAAAAAGTATCTACGTATATACAGTGAAAAAAAAAAAAAACAGCTAATGACACTGTGATCAATATGAAAAAATGGTTCACATAGGTGGTGGGCCTGTGAGTGAGCATGCATTGCACTCTTCAAATCAACTTTTCTTTCATCTTGAAATGAACAGTCAATTCCCTGACTTCAGTGAGTTTGTCCTCCCAGGGGACCTCTGTACTTAAAAAACAAAAAAACAAACAAAAACCATCCATGCTCTTCCCTGAAAAATCTACAAATAAGGGCCCCTGTGTGTCAGGTCAACTGGCCAGCCACTGCTTTATTTCTTCCTGGCACAAATTAGATGTGAGAACAAGCCTCCAGAGATTCCAGAGATGCACAGGCCAGGGGGCCAGGTGCCCGCACCTGTCTACAGCCCAGATAGCAGTAGGAGGCAAAACAGCCGAGCCAGGGAAAATCTGGGAAGCCCAGAGACCTGCAGTTTCAACCTCGGCTCCAGCCTACCTGCTGGAGTGACCCAGCCTCACAGCCTCCTTGGCTTCTTCTGTGAAATGCAAGGGCCACTCCAACCAACATTAAATAATGATGCTTTCCAGAGGCAAGTAAAGGCACGATGAACGGTATCTAATCAACCCTGACATGGGCTCCCCTGGCCAGCTGACCAGATAAACAGGGGCCCTAATTGTAGATACTTAGGGAAAAGCATGGACACTTTTTTTTTTAAGTAGAGAGTCCCCTGAGGAAGACAGACTCACTGCAGTCAGCTCTGTTATTAGGGTATTTTGCAGGTGCCAAAACTGCAGATGATATCAGGACCTTTTTTTTTATTTCAAAAAAGTTTTTACAGTAGTAAACATAAAATTTACCATCATTTTACCATCGTAAGCATTTAAGTGTACAGTTCAGTGGCATGAAGGACATTCACCATTTGTGCAACCGCCATCACCATCTACCATCCATCTCCTGTTTTTTTGTTTCTCTGGGTTTTTTTTGAGATGGAGTCTCACTCTGTTGCCCAGCCTGGAGTGCAGGGGCATGATCTTGGCTGACTGCAACCTTCACCTCCCCTGTTGAAGCAATTCTCCTGCCTCAGTCTCCCAAGTAGCTGAGACTACAGGTGTACACCACCACTCCCGGCTAATTTTTTTTATTTTTTATTTATTTTTTTTATTTTTAGTAGAGACGGGGTTTCACCATGTTGGCCAGGCTGGTCTAGAACTCCTGGCCTCAAGCGATCCACCCACCTCAGCCTCCCAAAGTGCTGGGATAACAGGCATGAGCCACCACACCTGGCCTCACCTCCTGAACTTTTTCATCTTCCCAAACTGAAACTCTGTACCAATTAAACAATAACCAATAACTCCTCATTGCCCCCTCCTAGCCCCTGGCAAACGCCATTCTACTCTTACATTACTTCAGACTCAGTTTCTTCTTTCACTTAGTAAAAGAGGGTCCACTGCTGACTAACGGGATTGTTTCTATATGTGGAGGCCTTCTTGCCAACATGGGATTGAGTTTATCGCAGAGATCAGTAATAGGAAATGGGATTGTTCAAAGAAACGAGATGGAGACACGACTGGATGAGGGTTTCACACTGGGTGTCCCATCCACAGGCCTCAGCAGCCCTGCCAGAGATCTGCCCAATTCTTTTACATCAAGAAGTTGATATTGCGAGCCATTTCCGTGCTATAGATCAGCCGGCACCTCTCATAGCTTTCCCTCTGCAGCCGGTGGCATGGCTTCTCACAATACCGCCGACGCCTAATGTCCTCAATGAGCCCATCCATAGTTAGGATTCTGTTTAGGGTCCTGTGTGCGCTTTCCACATTCCCTTCCTGTGCCATCACAGTCCTGGCGATGAACTCCAGATGTCTGGCCATGACCTTGGATTTAAGTCTTCACTCTGTAGAGCCTGACGCGCTCAGTACCCAGCAGACCCCGATTTCAGGAGCTTTTGACCATAAAGCTAATTCTGGTTGGAGCCGAATCGTTTCCTATGATAATGGAGCTCTTTCCTCCGTGTGCAGCAGCTCCCGGGAGGCTGCCATTCCATCTCTGTCCCATGCTTGGTCATTCTCAGCAGTAATCCCATCGTGGCCTCACTACTGGCCCCACTGAGTCAGTAGCCTGCATGACTCCAGCCTTAGTTACCATTGCTGATGTGTCTGAGGTCTGCATGTCACGGGCCTGCCCTGCTGCAGCATAGGAAAATTAACATTCCATGGGTGGACTCAGCACTGTACATGCAAGGCGGTGGCCTAGTGAGAGGCCAGGGGACTTCTTAGACTCATGTTGGTTCCTATGTGACTCCATGGGCTGATAATGAAGACTGCTTGGCTTTACCACTTTGTGTTCTATGGTGCAAGGATGCGGCCTTTTTAATCTAAATGAATGTAATCAGAACCAGCTATACAGTTTGTGAGGCCCGGTGCAAAACGAAGATGCAAAGCCCCTTGTTCAAAATTATTAAGTCCGGGCCCAGTGGCTCACGCCTGCAATCTCAACACATTGGGAGGCCGAGGTAGGAGGATCACTTGAGGCCAGGAGTTCAAGAGCAGCCTGGGCAACATAGCAAGACCTCATCTCTACAAAAAATTAAAAATTTCATAAAACATTTTTAAGATGGTGACAGCAGAGCCAAGTTCTCCCTTTTGAGCATAGGGTCACATGCCCGGGAAGCCAGGCTCAGTACCTAATCTTTCTGGGAGTTTCACCTTTCCCACAGATAACTGTGGAATCTTAATCCCTACCTCACAGTATTATGAGGCTTAAATGAGATAATACTTGAGCTAATGCAGTTTCCCTGGGATGCTCTCTCCTTGGAGATAGTGACCAGCTGGGGTTAATCTCTGTACCCAGGGTCCAGCCTGGGCCAGGAACGGCACAGACCTTCCTTCAATGTTTGTTGAGTAGTAGTTGCGTGGTATGTTTGCTGATTTCTTCTAGATGTTACAATACAGATTCACTTGTGTCTGTAGATCAACATGTTTGCTTTTGTTTTCCTAGGACTGTAGTCACTGTTTTTCAAAGGACTCAGGCAGTGAGAGTGTGTGTGTGTGTGTGTGTGTGTGTGTATTTAATTAAAAAATAAAAGTGATGGGCTTAAACCCAAATGCCAATTCAATCCTGAAACTGACAGCTTCAACCACTCCAGTTTTGCACCCCTTACTGCGTATGTCGGGCATGAGCACAGAGTTTTGCTCTGTCACCAGGTTGGAGTGCAGTGGCGTGATCTTGTCTCACTGCAGCCTCCGCCTCCCTGGTTCAAGCGATTCTGCTGCCTCAGCCTCCCGAGTAGCTGGGATTACAGGCATGCACCACCATGCCCAGCTAATTTTTGTATTTTTTTAGTAGAGATGGGGTTTCACCATGTTGGCCAGGATGGTCTCAATCTCCTGACCTCGTGATCCACCCACCTCTGTCTCCCAAAGTGCTGGGATTACAGGCGTGAGCCACCTTGCCCGGCCGAGCCTAGGATTTTCAATGCATAGTTGGAAAGGGCCATGGCATCTATAAAAGCAATATGTATTCACTGATTAGAATTAATTATGAATCACATAGTGATTATATTATAGCCAAAGAGAGCACTGTTATTCTATAAAACATTGCAACAAAATTCCCACATCCACTGAGGACAGCAACTGAGAGCTTCAGATAATTGCGGTTCTGAAGTGAGCTGAACCCTGAATAACAGAGATAGGTGAGTAACAATACAGTTAAGTCCAACTCCCAGTAACTCTCGCTGCACAGACCCTTGAAATACTCAAGTGCACACAACTAGTCCATTTTATTGCACAAAACAGTTCCGATAAAAGGACCCACCATTATCTAGGGCCACTATCTTTTTTTTCTACAACCATTGGTTCCTGGAAATGAAATAGGAAAGATAGGAAGCTGAGAAATAAGAACCTCGGTTAGAGGTCTTTGATTGTAGCGGGGGAGGCAGGCTGTGATGCAGCCGCAGGCCGGTCCCACGGGCCTTTTTCAGCCCCTGGGTTCCTACAGACATCAGAAGTGCTCCCGAGGAGGTATAAAGTAGGGAAGGAATTATGCCATCCTGTTTAAAGGCTGCCAGACGGAAGAAAATAAGTGCCTTACAAACTCAACGCTCCACACTGGGGCTGTGGATCTCTCTTTTCTTTCACTACTTTTTTTTTTTTTTTTTGATGGAGTTTCACTCTTGTTGCCCAGGCTGGAGTGCAATGGCGCGATCTTGGCTCACTGCAACCTCCGCCTCCCAGGTTCAAGCGATTCTCCTACCTCAGCCTCCCCAGTAGCTGGAAATACAGGCACGTGCACCACGCCTGGCTAATTTTTAGTATTTTTAGTTTCACCGTGTTGACCAGGCTGGTCTCAAACTCCCGACCTCAGGTGATCTGCCCACCTTGGCCTCCCAAAGTGTTGGGATTACAGGCATGAGCCACTGTGCCAGTCCAAGGGTTCCCATTTCTCCACATCCTCCTCAATACACGTTTTTTTCTCTTTTGTTGATAAAAGACATCCCGGTGGACATGAAGTAGTAACTTATCGTGGTTTTGATTTGCATGTCTCTAATGACCAGTGAGGCCAACCATCTTTTCATGTGCTTACTGGCCGTTGGCCATTTGTCTACCTTCCTTGGAGAAATGCCTATTGAGTCTTTGGCCATTTTTGAATTGGGTTTTTTGTTTGCAACATCTTAAAAAAAATAGTATGAAATAATTCACATGTTGGGGGCAAATGAGCTCCATATTTTAAAATGCAGGTAAAGTGAAGTGAGAAATACTTTTCAGCTCTCAGGATGCCTTGCTTTTAATGTCTTCAAAACAAATAATATATTAATAATACTTTCTCGGCCGGGCACAGTGGCTCACGCCGGTAATCCCAGCACTTTGGGAGGCCAAGGCAGGCGGATCACAAGGTCAGGAGATAGAGACCATCCTGGCTAACACGGTGAAACCCTGTCTGTACTAAAAATACAAAAAAAAAAATTAGCCGGGCATGGTGGCGGGCGCCTGTAGTCCCAGCTACTTGGGAGGCCGAGGCAGGAGAATGGCTTGAACCCGGGGGGCGAAGCTTGCAGTGAGCAGAGATCGCGCCACTGCACGCCAGCCGGTGACAGACTGAGACTCCGTCTCAATAATAATAATAATAATTATACTTTCTCTTTTTTTTTTCTTGAGACGGAGTTTCGCTCTGTCGCCCAGGCTGGAATGCAGTGGTGCAATCTTGGCTCACTGCAACCTCCACCTCCCTGGTTCAAGCGATTCTGCTGCCTCAGCCTCCCGAGTAGCTGGGATTACAGGCATGCGCCACCAGGCCTAGCTAATTTTTGTATTTTTTTTTTTTTAGTAGAGACGGGGTTTCACCATGTTGGCCAGGATGGTCTTGATCTCCTGACTTCGTGTTCTGCCCCGCCTTGGCCTCCCAAAGTGCTGGGATAACAGGCGTGAGCCACCGTGCCCGGCCAAGAACATGTTAGTAATACTTTCTAAGTCAGAATTCAAATTTATAGAACACGTGAAAGTGAAGGAGTGATATGGAAAATCAGGCTTTTTGTGGTTTCTTCCTGAGAAAAGAAGACCACTCAGAACCAAAGACTTCTGTGAAATAAGGAAGCAGAAAATCTTTATTTGTAGTTCTTATAGTTTATGCCTAAGAAACTCCGAAGAACAGGTACTGGTAACCCGGTAGCCTGGCGGTGGCCGCGGTTTGTTTACAGCCAAAAACTAGCTGAGGCGCCATGCCCTTGAGGCAAAACTGCTGAAGAGAGAAGCACCCTGAAGATCAGTTTGTGGAGATCCAGGGTTGCCAGAAGACGAGACAACCGTGATTGCATGTGCGGAGGTTCCTCGATGGAAGCGCAGCCCGGCGCGCCCCTCAGCTGGCCTGGCCAGGCCCTATGAAGGTCACGCGAAAACCCTGCTGCGGGCTTCTTAGCGACCGCATTACGTGGACTAGCGGGCAAGAAAAGCCTGGTCGGCGCTGCCCTCACAGGTAGGCGGTCTTCAATCACGTTTTAAAATCTTGTTGAGTGATTAAGCAATCTTCGATAGTCCCGGCCCCTCCACTGCAGGCCGCTCAGGCCGCAACGCACCTGGTGCGCTTTGGCAAACAAGCCCCGCGGCGGGCTGGGGCAGGATTTAAGAAATGTTTAATGAAGACTGGGAGGCCTGGAGCAACGCTCTTTGGGATGCAGAAAAGGGTCGTGCAGCTCGGTGGCCTCTCCTCCGGCCCCCTGGCCCTGGCTGTAAGTTTCCTCGGCTCTGCAGGGCGCGGGGCACTCAGGGATGGAGGAGACCACACCGCGCGGCTGGGTTCGCGGAATGGCGGTCCCTGCGGCCTCCAAAGGCGGGACCTCAGACCCCTCCCACTCCTTTCCTGCTCGACATCTCAATCCAGCTCCTAATATCTCAATAGGGTTTTTAAACAAATCGATCCTAAGGGCTCAGTTCAGCCCACCCAGGGATTCTTGGAGGACGCACGCCGAACTCAGGGTAGTGAGAAGAGTTTGGGGGGCCCTGGGGCGCAGGGAGAAGACCCCACACTCCACGGCCACCAGCTCCCTTCCGGAGACGGCGCTCGGACGTCGCGGGTCACGGGCGGGGAATTTAGCCCAGGTGCTCGTTGGGCCGCGAGCGGCCGCTGGGCCTGGATTCCCAGGCTCGCTGTGCAGACTCCAACCTTGAGACGTCAGGACGGCGTGGGCTCCGGGCCGCCGCGCAAGCCCAGGACCCCGAGTCGCGGGCCCCCACGCCGCAGCGCGCCTCCCTCCTCGAGACCCGGGGCTCCGACCCAACACAGGGCTTCTCAAATGCCCCGGCGAGATCCAGGCAGCAAGAGGGAACCTTTTTTTTTTTTTTCAATGTGTAAGAATGTTTTGCTTCTTTTAGGGCACAGCACTGCTGCAACTTGCAGCACAGAGGGCCCTTCCCTGCGCACCCACAGCGGTCGCCGCCTCTCCGGCACGGTCTCCCGGATCTGGATTTGGGGAGCGCAAGTGCCCCCTGTGGCCGGCCCGCGCCTGACCCCGCGGGCCTGAGAAGGCAGAAGCGGCCGGTGCGGGGCACCAGGAGGAAGTTGGAGCCCGGGGGCCGGGAAGGGGGCTGGTTGGCGCCGCTGGCTGGGCGGGGCCCCATGGGACCGGGGCCACCCGGGGCTCGCGTTCCCCCACGTGGCCGGCTGCCCGGTACCCCACGTGGAAGGGGCGGAGGAGGATGAAGGGCCAGGGGAGCAGCGGACCCCGAGCCACCGCGACAGGACCTCGGCCCCTGCCACCGAGGCCCCCGCGCCTCCCGAGGGCCTCCCGGGCGGGGCCGGGCTAGGGAGTGCCCGCCGCGCCCGGCCCCTGGCCCTCCCGCCCGCCGCGCTTGTGTGCACTTTCGCGGAGCCACTAATCCCCCGAGAGAGCCGATTTGTAGTGAGGAGTATCTGAAGGGGGCGAGGCCGGCCCATGTGGGGTTGTGTCATTGGTTTGCAAAAAGAGACCCCGCCTTTGCCCCCCCCCCCCAAAAACAGGAGCGAGGAGTGAGCGAGCGGCGACCCTCACCTCGCCTCCCGCCTAGCTCCTGCGCAGCCAGCGGGTACCGGGAGCTGCGGCCAGCGCCGCTTCTTTCCTTTCCTTTTCTCTCCGTTTTCCTTCTCCTTCCCCGGAGGAGAAAACAAATAAAGAAGAGCAAATAGCCGGGAGGCGCTCGGCATCCAGGACGTTCCCTCCCCCGATCCAAGTTGGAATTAGCATCCTCTCGGGGGTGAGCGCGGCGCGGGGCGGGCCCGGGCCGGGGACCCCCAGCGCAGCCCCCTCTCGGCGGGCGGGAGGGCGCGGGGCCGGGACGCGGGGGGAATTGGGAACCGGGTGGGCGGAGGAAGGGGGTGGGGTGGGTGGGGAAGTAGGAAGAGGCTCGGCGGCGAGGGGAGGAGGTGGAAGGGAAGGGAGGGGTAGGGTGGGGAGGGGAGGGGAGCGGAGGGAGGGTGGGGAGGGCGGGAGGGGGAGGGGCGGGGAGCTGGAGAGATTAAGTTTTTGTGTGTGTGTCCCTGTGTGCGTGTGTCATTTTAAGGTGGCTCGGGAGCGGCCCGGAGGAGCCGGCGGCGGCCCGAGGAGCGAGGGACCGAACCGGGAGCCATGCCGCGCTGAGGGGGGGCCGCACAGCCGCCGCCACCGCCACCGCCGCCGGGTGGGGTGGGAGGGGCGGGAGACGCCGCCGCCGCCGCCTCCAGGGTGGGCGCCTTTCGCCGTGGACGCCGACCGTCCGGGACGAGGTAAGGGGGGCCCCGGGGGAGGGCTGGGGCCGCCGCCGCCCCCGCCTCACCTGCGGCCGCGGGCTGGGGGCGCCGCGCCCGCGCCTCACTGCGCCACTCAGGGAGGAGGAGGAGGAGGAGGAAGAGGGCGAAGGACGCGGAGCCGGCATCCGAGGACATCTTTGGTCCGTGCCCCCGGCCTCGTGTCCCCCCTCGGCGCCCGGGGGTGGACGCTGGCTCGGGGGTCCCCGCCCGCCCCCGCCACCGATTGCGCCCGCTGGCCGCCGTTTGCGCCAGGATTTTTGTTGTTGTGATGAGAGTTGATGAATGCGAAGTAGGCGGTCACCTTCCTTCCCATCAGGGTTGAAAAAAAAAAAAAAAGAAACCCCGAGCGCGGCGGCGTCCGGAGGGCAGCGGCGGCGGCGGCGGCGGCGTCTCGGCGACGGTTCCCTGGGCGCCCCCGGCTCCTGCTCCCTGAGCCCGGTGGGTGCGCGCCCGGGGGCCGCCGGCGACCCAGGCCG
Organism: Homo sapiens; assembly: GCF_000001405.40. Lineage (NCBI taxonomy): Eukaryota > Metazoa > Chordata > Mammalia > Primates > Hominidae > Homo > Homo sapiens. Next base: position 125,159,818 of record NC_000010.11, on the reverse strand, counting down.
AGCGCGCGACGCGCCGCGGGGACAATACGGCCGGATCTCCGGGGAACAGGAGTCCGAGCGCGCCGGGGTGCGGCGGGCCTTGCGCCTACGAGGCGAGGGTGGGGGGGGCGCGGAGAAGAGGGGTTCCGTGGGGAAGTCGGGGCGTGAGCGGCTCTCGGTCCCCAGGGGCGCTGCCCCTGCCGGCGGGGGATCCCGCGCGGCTCCCCGGGAGCGCAAGTGAAAGACGGGAAAGGAGGCGAAGTGGAACCCTTTTGTTTTGCCGGCCCCGCATTGTTGGCTCCTCCGGGCAGCCGGGCCACATCTGCTGCCGCTGCCGCCGCCGCCACTGCCGCGCGGGGCTCGGCCCGCCAAAGTCGCGGCGGGGCGGGGGGCCTGGGCGGGCCGGGCGGCGGGCGCGGGCGGGGGCCGGGCGGGCCGGGCATTTCCTCTGCCCGGCCGCGCTCCCGCGGGCACCACTTCCTCCTCGCCCGCCGCCGCCGGGAGCCCGGCCCGCCCGCCTCCCCCACCTTCCCCGCCCGGGCCGCACTTTTCGGGTGGGGCGAATCAAAAAGAAAAAGTTTAGCAGGAGGGGCTGGCTAGGGCGCGCCCCGGGCGGCAGGGACCCGGTGCGGCGCAGGGACAGCCGGGCCGCCGCGGTTCCTCCTCCTCCCAGCCCTCCGCGGCGCCGGACGGCCCCGCGCGGCCGAGGGGAAGCGCCTTTCTTTCTCTCCCTCGCGCTGCCCCCAGCGCCCCGGGCGAGTTGGGCAGAGGCGCGCGGGAGCCGGGGCGTGCCTGGGCCTTTCTCCCGCGGGAGGCCCAGCGGCGTGGCGGGTCGCCTGCAGCCCACGCCGCGCCCTGGGGCTCGGAGGCCGCGGGCCCAAGAGCTCAGCTCGGTCACCGCGGGCCGCGCCGAGACACACACGCGCGCACACACTCCCTCCCGTGGCTCGCTTTCCGCCGGCGACGACGGTCGCGGACACGGAGTGAGCGTGTGCGCGCGAGTGTTTGTGGTTGTCCCCCCTCCCCCCGCCCGGTACTTTTTCCGGAGGCGGCCCAAGCGGCAGTTGGCTGCAGAGGACCCCACGTTTAGGATTTTATAGGGAAGAGGAGGAATTTTTCGTAGAAATCCCCGCTCTGCGTGCTCGTGGTGGAGGCTGCTGGCAATGGCCTACGTCGTCATACCGGGCTTCCTTGCCCTGTCCGGGGTAAACAATCCTTCTGTGTATTTACCCCCTTTTTTCTTTAAAGATTGGAGATCGGGTTAAGTTCTTAGAGAGTCTGATGCGAGTGGCTGGAAGGATAGACAAGAGAATTCTATTCTATAAATATGCATTGGGAATTTAAAATGCTAAACGCCTTATTTGCAATTCTGTTGGATATTCTAGAGACTGGTATATTTTTATCTGACATGGATAATTTTGAGGGGACGTTATATTTTGGGGAAGTTTACAAAGTGATTCTTTCTGCCTTTCTAACTTGGGCGAAATATATCGACTCATACCACCCTTTCAAAAAAGATAGCTTTCTCTACTAGGTGTTTGGGTTCGAAGACAGTTTAAAAATTACCTCGTGTTCAGTACCTAAGATTGCTGTTTTGCCTCGAGGGTTTTCCAAGTAGAAGTGGGTAGTTTTCATGTACTTTGAGAATTCTGAGGTTTTTAACCCCCCCCTTTTTTTTTAAATATAAATCTTTTCTATTTTGAAGTAATGAGACTTTAAAGGATCTTGTTTTTGTAATCACTTGATTTCAAAGGATACTTCTTACAGCAATTATAAAGTAATAGTCAAAATGCTAATTAGACATTTTCAGTCATAGCTGCTTTAATGTTGAAACAGAATTTTTTTCTTTAGCAGAGACTGTATCGTAGAGTTGAAACGCTAAATATTCTTTTGTCTGGCATCAGATCTCTGAACTGCTCTGACATTCTCCTGAAAAACCCCTAGTGCCCTTTTTATTGCCCCCAAAAGAAAAGTTAATGAGATGGTAGATTTCAAGCAAAAAAACAGGCCCTCTTTCTTGCAAAATATGCTTACAGTTGCCATTGAAGTTGGATGTTAGCCGTGAATGCACTTGCCTTTAATGAAACCAGTTTAATCGTTCACACTTGATCAAGTATAACATGAGCAAACAAAGGAAATAAGCCAGCATATTTCTGTAGAGTGTAAGTGTTGATGTTGGGTCACCCCCTCCCCCTACCCTGCCCCCCTGTAAAAGGGAGAGAGGGTTGAAGGCAAAGGGAATTTATGGCGCTGATTGGTTTTTTGTGCCCCAGGGGTAGGGGACCCCAGTTACATCCCTGTGGAAAGCAGTTATTAGAGGGAATTAAAAGATCTTGGGTTTGGAGCTTGTTTTGAACCTGACTAGGTGGTTTGGGTTTAATTCTTTTTCCTGTTCAGAAAGATAAGGTAAAGAATACCGACTCCCCCCCGCTCTTTTTTTTTTTTTAACCCCCACCTGACAACCCCCTCTCTAATTGTACCTTAATAAGAGTCTGCAGGTTGAATGCAGAACCCTGTGAGTTATTTACGGTTTCGCCTGGGAGCTTTGAAACTGACCCTTGAATGGGTGTTCTCCTGCGGGGAGGGGCAGGGTGAATTACCTTTTCTTAACTGATTTTAAAAAGCCTCATTGTCCCTAAAAATCATTTCCTTGCACGAGTTGCAATTTATGTGTGGAACTGAATCATCAATTCCGTGAAGAGAAAGATATTCGTAAAGTACATCTCTCTAAAGTTAAGAAAGTAAGAACGTTTGGCTAGTTAAAAACAAACACTACTGCCATTGTAAAAAACACGCCAGTGACATACTTGGTGAGATATTTTGGCCTTTTGAGAGTCGGGGCACACCTGTTCCTGTCCCTGCCAAGTTGTGTGTGCTTTCCCTGCCATTGTTAATCTGGTCGTGTACACAAGATGAAACGGTAAAACTTGCTATCTGTATAATTATTAACTAGTTTGTCAGTTACCCTTTCAGAGAATAATCAATAACTTCAGTCTTAACTTTTAAAACTCCAGAAATTTTACTTTTTAAGTCTGGAAAATGTTTCAAAGAGAGATTAAATGAAACAAACAAACAGCAACAACAAACAACAAAACCAGAAAATCAACCTACAACTTTTTAGTTTCTGAGTAGCCAGCTACAAGGCAAAGAAATGATGAATATATATAGTATGTACTGAACAAGCAGTGCACTGGATTTTAAAATGATATTTTTATTGTTACCATTGCTGTTAAAATACAAACAGCTCACACTATTTGAAATCCTTGAGATTCACGGATTGAAAAAAAACCGAAAAGGACACCTCTGAGTGAGGGAGTAGCCCTGCTGAGATCTAGCACCAGAATGCCATTTGCCAACAGTTCACTAACATCATGAATCATTTTTGAAAGCAAAGTTATACCCTTTGCACTTAACGCTTTCCCTAAATGGAAAAAATTTAAAGAGTTTACAGCAATGGTAGAATGGCAGCCCCAGTTGTCATTTTTTTACCACTGTCATTTCCATAGAGAGGGGCTGTCATCATAATGTATGTGCATGCAGCCTGGGTCCCTCTGTTAATCTATCAGGGAAAAGCAGCAGCCCTAGTGTCCTGTGGCCCTGAATCAGGCCACAAATATATATTCATACAGCACATGGTTGGGAAGGGAAATTTATCAGTTGGGCAGGGCACAGCTCAGGTAATATTTCCACTTTGGGATGGTAGGTCTGTTACACAGGGTGGAACATATTTTTGTAGTAACTAAAAAATGGGAGGGCAGTGTGTCTGTCCCTGGAAAAAGAAGTATTTGTACTTAATGGAAGTGACCCATGTGGTGAAATCTCGGGGTGTCTTTTCCCCAGCAATCTTTCTATGAATTGCTAGGGGAGGAATGCTTGTGTGAACTTACCCTGCTGAAAACTTTTAGTGGGCACATGAAATGCTGGAATGGATACACTTTTAGAGACTGTGCGGCCTGGCAGATATCAGTTTTCTCCCTTACAGCTGGTAAGCATGTCTTAATTTACGCTGCTGCAAGTTAAAGTTACAGCACTCCTGGAAAGAAGGGAAAATGCAAGGCTTCTCCTCCCCACCTCATCTTTTGAAGTTAATTTTCATTCAAGTCTGTGTTTGATGGAATATGTATCAAAGACTTATGAAAGAGTTTTTTTTTTTTTAATCCTATCTTGGGGTTTGGAAAATTATATTTAATAATTGCTAAAAACTTAAGAACCATTTTAAAGGTGTTCAGTGGCCCTTTTGATCATGATTTAATGGAGAGTATCCAAAAGCCATCAGTGTGACTCTAATGATATTCACAAATTAATGTTTGGGCATAATCTGGAGTTTGCTTTTAGCTATCATTATTAATGTTTAAAGCCTAAATTATGGCTGCACTTGGGCATTCAGAACTTCGCCTGTGAAAAGAAGGGCTTTGCACATTGTGTAAAAAAAAAAAGGGGGGATTCACAAATGAATACAGAATGTACAATAGGGAGAGAGCCAGGCCATTGTTTGTGTGGAATGTTGACCATGGGAGCCAAGGGCTAGTTTCGCCTTCATTCTTCTGACTGCTGGAGAACACAGAAACTTCAGGAGCTGTGGACGGGATGGGAACCAGGGGCACATTCATCCGTCTTTGCCGGGCATGGAGATTTGGCCTGCCCCCTTTCCAGAGTTTTTCTTAGAAGGTGGTCTTTTCTGGACTGCTAAGGAACGTCGTGTGCTTTCTCTTCTCAGTAATCTGCTTTTTTGAGGAACGATTTTAACGGCAGATAGTAAGAGTTCCTCAAGGAAAGTAAACAGACCTTTTCTACCCCCTCGAAATGTGATTTTAGGAAATGATATTCAACTTCAGAAAGGAGGCATCTTAAGTCACAGGAGGAAGTTGTGTTTATTTTTACTCCTCTCCTGACTTTAAAGTAGTTTTTAATCTGTTGGTAGCATTAGGGAGAATGCAGCTAAAATAAGTTTTTGCTGGATGTTCATGTTTTGCGTAGCTGCTGCCATTTCGGAAAAAGCTCCTCCCCCATTCACAAAGCCCTTCTCCTTCCACGTGGGAGCCGAGGTCCCAAAGTGGAACCAACTCTGTAGCTTAAGGGAGGTGCATTCCTGGCCCCTCACTTTCTAACCCTCACCTTAAGTGGAATATGTAGATAATATGTAGATCATTAACCATTGTTGGTGTCTGAAGCCTGTTCAGTTTTTTTAGCAACGACACTCGGTGAGAACCAGTTGTAGTTTGCATGTGTATATGCCTAGTCCCTCCCTCAGTGAATGTTTTAGAAAGTGATCTGCTTTAGCTGTTTACCTAACTAAATTTAACAGATGGTTGCCTAGAGTTGGCTTAATATTCACAAAAATTGTGATGAAATGGTTGGGATCTTATGAATGGGACAAGTGATGATTTTGTTTCTATAGAGAATTGTGACTTTTGTCCTAGGTAATAATAGAGACTTCGTTTTTCCCAAAGATCGGTTGGTGTTTAAAGGATGGGAACCCTGAATAGCTGCTGTTGTCTGCCCCTGATCCTGGTGGTGGCCAGCCTTGCCTTTGGTTTTGTTGCCTTCTGTGAGTCCAGAAAAGCCCTGGAGGCAGGGGTGAGGGGGGAGAGGGAGGGCTGGGCTTTTCATCCGTGGGGTTCTAAAAATCCTTCTCATTTATAAAATACAAAAATACTTACCTTCCATTGTATTGCTGATTTGTGCTTCCTCCAAAGCTCTCCTCTGATCAGCAGAAATGTGCTTCTTGCATTAAAACAAATCCTTAATTATGACTAAAAGAAACTGTCAGCTGCCTTAAAGATTGTCTGGAAATAGTGGCAATATTTCTGTGTCTCATTCCAGCCCACGTTGTGGCAGAAGCCTGGAAGGGCCACGTTAAAGGATGTGTCACAGAGACAGTGTGTGTAGGTCTTCCTGCAGCACAAGCAAGCTCAGGGCTTGTAAAGTCCAGCTTATCGTGGCTGTGCTCCAGCCATGCCTGAAATCTGGCCTCCAGCAATCTGTCCCGTCCCAGGACAAACAAAAACTTTATTATGGAGTCATGGAACCTGAGGAAGTTTCTCTGGAAGGAACCGAAGACCTAGACCGTGGAGGGAGATCAACTCCTCTGGCCTAATGGGGCTTTTCTTTTTCCAAGATGGAATTTAAAAATCTCATCTATAAAATGAGGCTAGCAAAGAATCATTTTATGGTGTAAGTGGCCAGAATCTAACCTGGAAGTGATAGTATTGTACCTGCCGCAGGTGTGTGTGTGGCAGCGGGAGGGTGGAGAGGGGAAATGAGAGGAGAAGAGTTTGGAGGGGAAAACAGAGCATTCGAGGTTTCTCTGCTGGAGGGGGTGAAAGGCCAGGAGTTTGTGCACCTTTCCTTTTAAATGAGCTCTAGCTGTGAGTTTATTATTTTGCTGATGGATGGTCTTTCGTGCAGTCTAGAAGTGCAAACACAGTCGGCTTATCCGCTGCTTGTTCAGGTCCAGGGAGACCAAGGGAACGGGTGGGGGCAGTGCTTGCAAATCCATCTGGATCCTGGACACCCCACTTGGTGTTGCTGCAGCCAGCTCCCAGGCCTGCCCACCTGGAGTACAGCCAGCGCCAGCAGCGGGCAGGGCCCGAGAGAGCTCTTAAAGCCATGTCCCAGGAACGGTTGAGGGAACTGAGAATGTTCAGCCTGGAGTGGAGACACCCCTGGGAAGCCCAACATTGTCCTCTGTGCGGTCATGTGGCCTTACTCTGCTCGGAACAGGGAGGCCTTGCTGTTGGAGCTGCCGGGCCAGATGGGCTGCGTGGGCTCCTGGCACAGGCAGAACTTGGCTGACCATTGGCTCCCAGTGCCAGCCAAGGCTCTGCAAACACCCGAGACCCTGATGGAGACTCAGGCTTTGGGAGCACCTCCTAATGAGCTGGGGAGGATACTGTGTTTTCTTCCCAGTGGGGGGTGACCAATAATCTTAAAGTTTTTTCCCTTTCTCCAGACGTTCAGCTGTGGTCCGCACTCTGGATTGCTCTATCTGCCCTGCGGACTGGATAGAGGCTCAGCGTAGATGCCCAGCTGACCTGACATTTCCTACCCATATTTCCTAGTGTTTCAGGAGCAGGCAGAGACAGACCTGATTCCTTTATCTCGGGGCTTTCAGATTACGGAATAGAAGTCACACTAGGAGGGCAATCAATAAAGAGTATATTTTGCTGTACAGATACCAATATGCACATATAAGTGCCTACAAGTAAAATCTGGGAATGTTTTTGATCTTAAAAACATTTCACAGTCATTAATCTTCACGACGCTCCTGCGGGCTGGGTAAATAGAGCAATTCCTATTTTATGCCAGGAAGAAATATTGAATTGCCTCCCCCAAGTCATAAAGAGGCTGTTTTTCCTCCTTGTTCCTGTGACTCGCGGTGTGGGGGGCCTGGGGCGCCTGGAACCCCTGCGATCCGCTCAGACTGACTCCAGGACGACTTCCGGTGTCCTGCGCGACCTTCTGTTGCGGGGAGCGCCAGTCCGCCACACCTGGCCGCGCTCTACCTGGAGGGGGCGGGGTCTCCTGCATTTCCCGGACCGCGGGGGTGCCCCACCCTGCTGCAAGGACGGGCCTCCTGGCGTCCGGGCTTCTGGGGTCCCGGGGTCCCGGGGTTCCTGGCTCCCGAGCCCCAGGTGAAGCCCCCTCCATCCCTGGGGTTCGCCCCTCTCCTCCCGGCGGGTGGACCTGGAGGCCCCGCCCCCGCGGGCCAGAACACCTGGCGGCGCGGCCCCGCCCCAGCTGTGCCCTCTTCCCCCCGCAGGGCACTTGGCGGCCCCACCCTGGCCCCTCCGCGGGCCGCGGTATCTGACACCCCCGGGCCCCCCCACCTCGCGCCTCGCCTTTACACTTGTAAATGGAGCCGCTTCCCGCCGCGGGGAAGTCGTTGAGAGGTGTGAGAATGGGCCCTGCCCCCTCCCCCCGCTCCGTGCCCACTTCCTCCTTCCTCCCGCTGGCCTTTGTGCTGGGCGGGGCCGCTCGGACCCGGGGCGGCGGGGGTCCAGCTAGACGCCGCCTCAAGCCAGCAGGGTCGCCGGCCCCTCTCCGGTCCGCGAGGCCCCGGCAAGGTAGGAGCCTCGAGACCACGCGGGACACCAGGTTGGCCCCCAGCCCGCACTCGAGGCTCAGAGCAGGGGCGGGGACCTGGTTGCACCAGGCCAGAGCCGCCTCCACCCCGCAGCGGTCGCGGACTCCGGGCACTCATGGGGACTCCTGGGGTCGTGGTGAGTGGTGAGGTTCGTTGATTGACTGCGCGATGGTGGCTGAGTTGCAAGCAAACGGTAAACAGCGGCATCATTTCCACTTGACCGGCTTGGGATCTCGTCTCCTGGGCAGTGTTTGGGGGTGACCACGGTTCTTGGATAACCTTCGAATCTGGGTGTTTTCCTTGTAGTACAAATAGCGCAGTGGCAGTTGCTGTGGGAAACAGCGAGGGCCACTGAGACCTTCAGCAGAACTCCACGTCGAGGACGAGTGACATTTGCGCGCCTCTGCTGCGTTCTCTGCTGTTCACCCCGGCGGCTCCCAACACCTGAAGCCTGGCGAGGCATGTGACTAGAGGTTGTCCGAGCGCAGAGTGGTAGGACGGTGCGATCTGGCCCGTTTCGTCTTGCCCTCGTCTTCTCCATGGAGGAATTTCTGTGTTCGCCTCTATGTTTTGCAGACTTAATTTGGTGCTCCAGAAACTTATGCAGCCATTCAAGTGCGCTCTACCTGTTATTCAAGTAACTAGAGAGCAACCATTTCTTGAGCACTTACTTAGTGTCTGGCACTAGCTCGCTGGGCCATTGTGTGTTGTTGCGTTGCCCTGACTCTTCATTGGTAAAACAGTGACTAACTATCACCTGTGCCTCTGCGAGGACAGCGCTGTGCTTGGCCAGGGCTGGAGAGCCGATCTCAAGGCAGGTGTCTGGCCTTTTCCTGGACATAGTGAGTCTGTGATCCAGAGTCTGACCCACGTATTCAACGGGGCCTGCCTCAGGCTTCCAAACAGGAGCCAGGCTGTTGTGAATATTCACTCCAAAAGTGCAGTGAATGTAAAACATCCTAGAGCAGGAAGTGAGGCAGGCCCCGTTGAATACGTGGGTCAGACTCTGGATCACAGACTCACTATGTCCGGGAAAAGGCCAGACACCTGCCTTGAGATCGGCTCTCCAGCCCTGGCCAAGCACAGCGCTGTCCTCGCAGAGGCACAGGTGATAGTTAGTCACTGTTTTACCAATGAAGAGTCAGGGCCAGGGAGCTTAGGTAATTAAGTCTGGCTAGTTACTACCAACTTCGCCTGGCTCTGGCTTCTCTGTGGCTGACCGAGGCTTCTTGTGGCCTTTGACTGGGACACGGGAATGTCTGGGGATGGCTTTGCCACACTAACCAAGACTAGACTCCTTCTTTCCTCCCAAGCTGTTTCTCCCTTGCCCTCATCTGTGTGTCTCTGATGCAGCACCACCCCACACTCCAAGAATGCATGGGCACACTCTCCTGGGGTTATGTGTGTAGCTTTCACAGTGCTTAGGGTTTCATGTGGTAAAATTGGATTTAGTGGCCAGGTATCATTTCATCAATAGGTAAGACCATGTTTGTGGTCTGGGATAGTGTGATCTCAGTTGCCCTCCACCCCCCATCTCCCTCGAGGGAGGGCTTGGGTCCATGGGATGCACCCCTCCCCAACTCTGGTTGCCTCTGGCATTCAACTGGAGCCATGTGCACACCTGAAATAGGATCTGGTTTGTGGGTTCCACGTTGGGGAGTTGGGGGTCAAGAGACAGGGAAGATGCTTAGGATTTCTCCTAACTGTGATAGTCTGTTTGCACCACTCCTGTGAAAACCAGGGAGAAACTAGGTTTTGCCGGGTGAACTTCCTTTGGGTCGCTCCCCTGCATCCGTGTGGTGTGGGCCTTAGAAAGGAATTTGAATTAATACTCCTGAACAAAGGGAACAGCCTTCTTTTCAAAGAGGCTATCAGAGAACTGACAGGGAATGGCACAGAGTTGGGTGTGTCTTCAAATCCAGAGACCAGCCCCGCTCCACCGGAAGAGTACCCGGAGCAGGTGATGCGGGAGCTCCCAGGTTGACCTTGGCTTTCCATAGAGGGTAAGGTCCCCACAAGGTGAAGGTTTTCCTGAAAAACAGGCTTTTCTTTATAAGATTACCTTCCTATTCTACAACCCTTCTCTTCTTTTTGTGAACACGTGTGTACACTTGTGAGCACATGTGTATTCTGGAAATCCTTGGTTTCCGCTGGGGCTCTGGTGGGGCCGGGGGTGGTGTGGATGTTGGGTGCCCCCCGCCTCCATCTTGGCCTTTGGATTCTGCTCTGTCTTGTGGATGACTCAAGGAAGTGCTGGGAGGAGTCTCTTGACAAATCAGTCATGTGAGTCCCGGTGTCCTGGCTCACCTCCAGCTTGGGTATGAATAGAGTCAGCCCATTTTAAGTGCCCCCTGCAGTTTTTAAACAGGTCTCCTTCCACTTCACTCCACCTGGAAGAGGGTGGTGGGGCCAGGATCATCCCTGGGCCAGCCCTCTCCTTTCTGTGGTGCCTCACTGGGACACTGAGAAGGGGGAAGCTGCTTTCTCAGAGGCTGTTGCTTGGAAAGTGGCATCTAAGCATGAGAATGACTGCGGCGTGCAGGTTCCCATGAATGGTCATTTCCTGTGAGCCGGGCCTTGTGAGTGGTCTTCCAGAGCCCATGTCGTGTCTATGGTGTGTCCCCTGTCCTGTTCCAGGTTTCAGGGATCCTTTGCGCTGGGCAGAAGATCCACTGAGCTGGCATCCAGGTTCCTCCAGCAGAACACGGCGCAGTGGTGGACCTGCCGCAGCTCTGAGGCCAGCGAGCCAGTTTTCCCCAGCACCCTGTTTCCCAGCCCTAGCATCTTCAGAGTGTCCATTCTCCTCGCTCCTCCACGGCGCATGCTTTTCACTCAGGGTTGAGGATTCTTTTTCCTCCACTTGCACACATCCTTCTCATTTCTCAGCTAAGCCTGGGATTAAGAATGAGGCTTCAAGTGACAAAAGCCAGGAGATTTCACAATTAAAGTTGGAATTGTGTCTGCAGTGATGTCTTCCTCAGCATTTAAGGAAGGCCTTGAATAGTGGGTAATATTTTTCTATCCTAAATTGGCCACATGGCTCCAAATAGTGGGCAAAGGAAGACACTCCTGTGGTAAATTCGAGAATGTCTTAGTTGAGGCTCTCATGTCCGTAGAGGATGAAGGGAGGGGGGTTATGACTCAACCCAGTTGTGCTTTTGGGTCCCTGGTTGTGTCCCAGTCAGGCCCGAGAGCTTAGAAGCAAATCCCGTATGTTACTTGGCCCCTCAGAGCAGTCTTTTAAAATATTTCTCAGCAAGGAAGCTTAAAAAGGAGTTTACTTTCCTAATTCTCTTTTGTTTTCTAGAGCAGCGGGCAAGGTGGGAGGGAGAGCCTGGGTTCGCTGTGGTTAGTGGGAAGGGGGCTGCAGCAGCACATGGACCACCTTTTTGGTCACGCCTGTAGCTGGGAGTTTTGCAACCTGGTGGTTACTTGGCATGTCAGGGTCCTGGCTCAGATCCAAAGTTTTGCTCTAGGGGCCCCGGCAGCGCACTTTGAAAGCACTGAGCTAACTGCTGTGCTCACTTTGGTGGCTGGTGACCAGAGAGGTCCCACTGGAAGGTCGTGAATGTCTTTCTTCCTTTCAAACACTGAGGCTCGGCCCAAGGAGAGATGGTCCTGCCCTCCTAGAGCTTAGTAGAGGCAAAACAAGGAAGTGTGGCAAAGAAGGGATGGAAAGAAATGCTGGACTTCTCTCCCACACTGGGAGGCCTTTGCAAAGGGCTTCGGTTTCTGAATCTGTAAAATGAGGGTAAGGAGAGGGTGTGTTGTAAGGATTCAATGAAGTAGTGTTTCTAAAGCCTTTAGAACTGGCCTGACGTACCGTATGTGTTTGTTAGAATTTTTTTTTTTCCCGAGATGGGGGTTTCACCGTGTCGCCGAGGCTTGGAGTGCAGTGGCGCAATCACGGCTGACTGCGGCCTCGACCTCCCGGGTTCAAGCAATTTTCCCATCTCAGCCTCCCAAGTAGGTGGGACTACAGGTACAGGGCACCACACCTGGCTAGTTTCTGTATTTTTTGTAGAGATGGGGTTTGCCATGTTGCCCGGACTGCTCATGAACTCCTGAGCTCAAGTAATCCTCCCTCCTTGGCCTCCCAAAAGTGTTAGGATTACAGGTGTGAGCTGCCAAGCCTGTCATGGTGCTATGTTAAAAATACCTGGAAGATGTCGTGCCCTGTGGTAGGGAAGGGGAGTGGCTGGTGGGGCTGGCTTAGTTTGGGAGCAGCCGTCTTCTTTCTCATTGATTCCTGGGGCCCAAAGCAATGAACTGAAAACTGTTCACGAGGTTAATTTTAGTCTGTGGGATGTTACTACGTATTAGGTCACTCCAAGAAACGCTCAGTAAAATATTTACTTTCTATTTAAGACCTACTTTCTCTTCCTGGAGAAGGAAGAAAAAAACTGCCTTGCCTGATGGGCAGCCAGGGTGGGGGCCCAGTGCTGCCCCAGCCACCCTGCCCAGGTGAAGCCTGTTGAGAAGGGTCGCTCAGGTTTGAATTCTCCTCTACTGAGGCCTCAGTACATAAACCACAGTGAACGTGGGCATGACAGGCCACATTCCGAGGAGCATATTTGTTGAGGAAAAGGAACTGTGTCTGCCCTTCCCTCTGTGCACACGTCATCATCATAGCTCCCTTCACCCTCCCAGGTCCCTGAGGAATGGGTGCGTTTGCCGGTCAGTGACCAGGGCTGTCGACTTGCTTGGTGGCATCCTGTTTGGTTTCTTGTGGGTGCTCAGTCAGCAGCAGCTGTGGTAACTGGACCAGGTGCAGCTGGGTGGCAGATCTGCTGTGATGTTTGAGCATGTTCCTGACCCCAGGCCCTGGCAATGGGGTGGTAATTAATCATGTCCTCCTAGGATATTCATTCACAGATACTGACTGAGCACCCACTAGGGGCCAGGCACAGTACGCATGTGCGTACAGCATCACCAAATGTCTTCTGATTGAAATGTTCAAATATCTTTTCTCCACCCAGCCAGTGTTAACTGCTCTGTGCTTCCTGTGGGGCTCCAGGTGTGAATAGTAGGTCATGTGCGTGAAATGGCAAGGTGGGGTAAGGAAGGTGCCTGTCCGGCAGTTAGTTTGTCACCTTCAGAGTGGGCTGGTCATTTCATGGACCAGCAGTTTCTTTGGATTCAACTCATGCTATTAAAAAATCTCACTTGGAGGCCAGGTGGGGTGGCTCATGCCTATAACCCCAGCACTTTGGGAGGCTGAGGCAGGTGGATCACCTAAGATCAGGAGTTTGAGACCAGCCTGGCCAACATGGCAAAAACCCTGTCTCTACTAAAAATACAAAAAATTAGCCATGCGTGGTGGCGCGCACCTGTAATCCTAGCTATTTGGGAGTCTGAGGCAGGAGAATTGCTTGAACTCTGGAGACAGAGGTTGCAGTAAGCCAAGATCGTGCCATTGCACTCCAGCCTGGGCAACAGAGCAAGACGCTGTCTCCAAAAAAAAAAAAAAATCTCACTTAGGGCCGGGCATGGTGGCTCACACCTATAATCCTAGCACTTTGAGAGGCCGAGGCAGGCCAGTCACCTGAGGTCAGGAGTTCAAGACCAGCCTGGCCAACATGGCAAAACCCTGTCTCTTCTAATTAGTTTTGGAGAAATTGATTTTGTAGATTATATTTTAGTCTCTTCTAGAAATACAAAAATTAGCCAGGTATGGTGGTTGGCACCTGTAATTCCAGCTAATCGGGAGGCTGAGGCAGGAGAATCACTTGAACCTGGGAGGCAGAGGTTGCAGTGAGTCGAGATCATCCCATTGCACTCCAGCGTGGGCAACAAAAGCAAAACTCTGTCTCAAATTAAAAAAAAAAAAAAATCTCACTTGGAAAAGCAAAATGGTCCTTGAAAATGCCCTTGGGAAACCACCCATGCTGGAATGCAAGGGCATCTCAGCTGGCCAGGGACCAGGGGTCTGGGGCCAGAATGTCATATTCTTCAATTGCAAATCCTGGAGAGTGTGCACAATGAATAAGATGTGGGAAGTGCTCCCACGCTAGCTGTTTGTTACCATTATTATTATTAGGGACGGTGGTGCTGGTGGTGGTGGTGGTGATAGTAGTAGGATTCATGGCAATCCCAGTAGTTATGGTGGCGTGAATGTCATTGAGAAAGACAAATCCTCCCGTCAACTGTGCCTTCTTCTTCCTAGCAGGGAGTGGCTGTTTGTGCCCTGTTTTATCAGGAGGGAGCAGATAAGTGCTAGCAACCTTCTCTGGCCCCCTGCCGTGCCCTGCCCTACCCTGCCCCAAGGGACAGCAGATACCTTTAATACTACGAAGCTTGGGTGGGCTTGGTGGTTTTCACGAGTGACTCAGTCAGTCCCCAGAGAGGCCCTGGTACCTGGGGTTGGGGGTGCTCAAAAGGTTGGCTTCTGGAGCAGGGGCGTCCCCAAGGCACCCCTGGCCAGGAGTCTCCTGAGGGCCCCACCCTTCGTCCCGATGGAGAAGCCCTAACATCTGTATTTTTAGCCACCTCCTCCAGGGGGTGCCTGATGCAGCCAGCCCGAAACTGCCAACAGCAGCACACAGACTGGCTTTCTTCAAAAACAAACCACTCCCCCAACACACACCCACACACTCGAGTCTAGTTATTGAACATTTGGCATGAAAAATGGTTGAAAGAAGATTTTATATAACTCAAATAACCCACTAAATTATTTGAAACTTGGAATATGGATTTCTGCTGTACTCATCCTCATTCTTTGAAGAGGGATTCTCCACCCTCCAACATTACCAGGCATTTCTAGGAAGGCAGAGGAAATTTCCTGGGTGTCTGATAAAATTGGAGCTAGTTCCGTATTCAGATGCACTTGACATTTCACTCTTGACCGGGCAGCAGTGTGTATTGAGATGAGGCTGGGCAGTGTCAGAGCATACCTGCTAGAAAAGAAATTGGTTTTGCAGATTATATTTTAGTAAAATCTGAACTGCTCAGTGAAGCACACTATTACTATCTATGTACACAAGTCAAAGATGGATGCCACAGAGTCGATGTTTTTAACATTGGCCCGTGTGAGCAAGAACATGGATCAGCAAAAGGTGCATTTACTTCCCACTGCAGGCAAATATGCTTAACCTTCAGGAGCGCCCCCGAGGCCCTCACTTGTGCCTCTAGCCTGTTTCATCATGATGCAAGCGGATTTGGGAGTGATACCTGCTGTTTTAGAACTGAGAGTGAACTCGTTTTGTGGCAAATCCTTTTTATCTTGATCGGGGAATTTATTAATTAGTAGGCTTCAGCGAGGCTGGTAACCTAGCTTGTTTCTGTTTGCAGAAGTACTTTGTTATACATTGGCTTATTTTATTTTTAGTAACAACCCTGTTGTGAGGCAGTGCGATTATTTCCCACTTGAGGAATTGGCAAGCCGCATAGGCTGGGCTCACAGTTAATTAATGATCGAGCGAGATCCGAACTGGTTCTCCTCCACCAATACCAGGCCGTCCAGAGAATGGTTGTGTATTCACATGACCCCATTCTAGGGATGAGCGGGTGGGTGCAAATTCGAAGGCCAGAAGGGAAGCAGGAGAATCCAGTTTCAAGAGTCTGGAGCCTTTGGTGGGAGTCCCCCGGGTTGAAAGGTGAACTTGAAAGAGCATCCACGGGTGTCCTTAGATGAAGAAGGATTTAAGGGACTCTGTTTGCCCCTTGATATGAGGTTTGTAACTGGGGTCTTGAGCAGAAAGGAATTGCTCTTCTTGGTTTGAGTGACTGCTTTCTGGGGAGCGTCTGGGTGCTTTTTGAGTTGCATGCAGAGCCATTTATGGTGAGAGAAATTATGACCTGACTAATTGGCCCAGGGCTAGGTGTTTTGGGGCTCTGCACTGAGGCCTCTGTGCAAGGAGCTTGTCTGCTTGAATATGGAAAGTGATAGTCTTTGGGGCCCTGGCAGTTTCTTTTGGGGCCGCTTTTGGACTTGAGTTAGCAAAGAAATGACTTTATGATTTATGGTGTTTATGAAGAATACCTATCTGTTTTCACATAGACATCTTAATAGAGATTAAATACAAAATAAAGTGGAATGCATGAACGGAGATATTCCCATAAGCAATATTGTAGTTTTAGGCAGTGTAATTATGTTTTGTACACTTCCCGATTAAGCAGTTATGCATTACTGGGGAAACTACCTTTTAGAGATTTAGAAAAGCTTTAGAATTTAGTAAATCAAATAAAAATAGGTATACAATATTTTAGACATAGGGTTTCAACATGTTACATGGTGTGATAATGCAGTGCCATTGAGGTGAATTTTTTCTTTTTTTGAAATGGAGGCTCACTCTGTAGCCCAGGCTGGAGTGCAGTGGCGAGTTCTCCGCTCACTGCAACCTCTGCCTCCCGGGTTCAAGCAGTTCTCCTTTCTCAGCCTCCTGAGTAGGTGGGATTACAGCACTCCCAGCTAATTTTTGTATTTTTTAGTAGAGACAGGTTTTCACCATGTTGGTCAGGCTGGTCTTGAACTCCTGACCTCAGGTGGTCGGCCTGCCTCAGCCTCCCAAAGTGCTGGGATTACAGGTGTGAGCCAACACACCCGGCCGGCTGAGGCGAATTTGCTTCTTCTGAACATTGCCTGTGGAATGAAGGTGCACCCCTACTGTGTGCGGGATGTCGTGGGGGGGCTGCCGGGCTACAGGGAAGAAGAGCAAGGAGGGTTTATCTGGAGTTCAGCAAAACAGTGGTGGATTTCCGCGAGCTGGGGTGGGCAGAGGTGGCCACATTAGGTTTGGAGTTAGGCTGAAGGGGGTGTGCTGAGGGTAAATGTGGGAGAGGGAACCCAAGGTAGGAGCCTTTCAAGCTCGCGTGTCCTTTCAGCTCCCATGTCCTGGCCACTAAACCACGGGAGGTAACGAAATGATTTTCCCTGAGTAAACCATCTGAAGCGGAGCTGCATCTCAGGCAGCCTCTGCGAGCATGTGCTTCACAGAATCCTTCCTCCTGGTGTCTTCTGGGTGTTGCTGATTTCAAGGAAGCCTGGTGGGGTGTGTGCTGGCTCAGCCACCCCTCAGTTGCAAAGCTCTTGGGGGCCGCAGAGGATTTCACAGTTCACTGCATAAAGCAAGTCATTTAATTTTATCATTTGCTTTTTGAGAAGGATCAAGTTTTCAAAATCCTATGTAGAAATAACTTATATACAGTAAAACACCCTTTAGCATGCAGTTCTGCAAGTCTTGACGATCTAGGCGTCGCCACCGGGTGGTTGCGGAACCATCCCATCACCGAGGAAAGTTCTCTGTGCTCCTATGGAGTTCCTGCCTCCCCGCCCTGACTCCCAGCCTCCAGCCACCACTAAGGAAATCACTCCTTTTTGATAGTAGAAGGGCCAGCCTAGGAAGTGCGAGGAGTTTGGTAGATGCTGGTGTGAGAGGCCAGTAATTTCCAGGACATTTGTAATATCCAAGGATTATGCATGAGCCCCAGGGGTGCTCTGGTCACAGCAGATGGACTTGGCTTGGATGACACCCCTCCTCTCCCCAGTGCCATCCTAGGGATGCCTGAGACTCCAGGAGCTTGGCTCGTCTGGACAGGTCGGACCAAAAGCCAGTCACTGCAGTCTTGAGTCGTGTCTGAAACCAGCAGATAACCACCTCCTCCGCAAAGTAGGCAAACCGCCCCCGTCCCCTGCAAACCCAAGAGTGGGCAGTTCTGGGCCACACCTGCAGGCCCTGGTGCATCTAAGGCCATGCTCCCTGGGCTCCCCAGGGACACTCACAACAGCTGCCTCTCCACACTGTGTCCCACCAGCCCCTCTTGGAAAGTGCCTGGGAACAGGTGCCTCTTCGTCCGCCATAGCCGCTGGCTCCAGGTCCAGAGGGACTGTGAGTGACTGCCAGGCCAGGGCCGCTTTCTCCTTTCTCTGTGGGGGAAGTGGCTTTGGAGGGAGCCGGGCAGTGTGCTAACCGTGTGCATGTCGTGTGTTTGCCGCGTGCTCACTGTGTACTTGCTGTGTGCTTGCTGTGTATTTACTGTGTGCTTGCCATGTGCTTACTGTGTGCTCGCTGTGTACCTGCTGTGCATTTGCCATGTACTTGCTGAGTGTTTACCGTGTGCTTACTGTGTGCTCGCTGTGTACCTGCTGTGTATTTGCCATGTACTTGCCGTGTGTTTACTGTGTGCTTGCCATGTGCTTACTGTGTGCTGTCTCCCTGCTTCCTGTTCCGTGCTCCTGTGACTTCTGGGTGGTCTGGGGTGGTTGAGCGCCCTCAGGTCCCCATTTGTTTTCCTGAAGGTAGAGACCAGTCAGGATGGCCACCTTTTTGTGGTCAAGAAGGGTGGTTTGTGGAAAGCCCAGAGGAATGAGAGCTTCTGAGGTGGGGAAGGTCAGCTGCCCCGAGGCTGGTGCCGGCCCCGAGGGTAGATGGCCATGCTTGCAGTCCTGGGCTCCACTTTCAACCCTGCCAGCTCCTTATGCGTCAAATAGGACGCTAGTCACTAGTTCCTCTCACAGGAGGAGGTAATGAGAAGGCGCTGGAGACTTGTGCCCAGGTGCCCAGCAGAGGAGATGCTTGGCAGGAAGTCCCTATTGCACTCTGGGATATAAGCTGCAACTGACTCATTGCCTCATGGTTTTTGTTTTTATTTTTATTTATTCTTTTTTTTTTTTTGACAGAGTCTCACTCTGTTACCCAGGCTGGAGTGCAGTGGTGTGATCTCAGCTCACTGCAGCCTCTCCTCTGCCTCCCAGGTTCAAGCGATTCTCCTGTCTCAGCCTCCCGAGTAGCCGGGATTACAGCCAGTCTGTCAGGCCTGGCTAATTTTTGTATTTTTAGTAGAGATGGGGTTTCACCATGTTGGCCAGGCTGGTCTCAAACTCCTGACCTCAAGTGATCTGCCTGTCTCGGCCTCCCAAAGTGCTGGGTATGCAGGTGTGAGCCACCATGCCCAGCCACGTCATGGTTTTTAATATTCTTTTTATTGTTTTTTTGACACAGGGTCACACTGTCACCCATGCTGCAGTGCAGTGGTGTGATCTTGGCTCACTGCAACCTCCACCTTCTGGGTTCAAGTGATTTTCCTGCCTCAGCCTCCTGAGTAGCTGAGATGATAGGCACCCACCACCATGTCCAGCTAATTTTTATATTTTTTGTAGAAATGGGCTTTTGCCATGTTAGCCAGGCTGGTCTCGAACTCCTGACCTCAGGTGATCCACCCACCTTGGCCTCCCAAAGTGCTGAGATTACAGGCGTGAGCCACTGCACCCGGCCCTTGATATTATTTTCTTTCAGTTGGGAGAAACTTGAAATGAGTCTTGGAATTTATAAAATTGTTAAGTGGGGATCACTGCATTTGCTAATTTTCTGGTCGTTGCCCGAAATGTCCTTTCGGAGCTCATTCTTTGTCCCCTTCCCTCATCACATCAGTCAGGCTGAGGGCAGGTTTAAGCGGCAGTCATCGTGATTGGCCAGCCCTGACTGGCATTCCCGTGATCTCGGTGCATCTTGTATGCGTGCATTTGCAGTATGAGAAAACCCTTTGATGCCTTTGAGCTCAGACTAAATGTGACCTTGATTCCTGGCCTGAAATTAATGTCTAAGCATTCTTGGCTTCTTCTGGGTGGTCGTCTGTGAACAAACTGCCATGCAGCGAGTGTGATGGAAACATACCCTCCAAAGACATACATAGCTTAGCAGATTTCAGCGGGGCTTCCCAGTGTAGTGTGAGGACACTTGGGTACATGGGGTTAGTAGCTGAAAGGTGGGTGGACACCCCATCGTGTCTTTATTAAGGGTTCAGGGACAGTTCAGCAAGGGTTGGGGAAGGGGTGTGCTAGACGCTGAGTGGAAGTTGCGAATGTGTGTGGCCACCGGTCTGCTTTCGGATGGTGAGAGCAAAGTTCTTTACTGTCTGGAAAGGTGATCTGGGGACCTTTTCACAGGTCACCAGCCACCTGTGCTCTGTGATGTGCAGCTGTGAGCACAGTAGGGTCGCAGTTCTAGGCAGCCACAAGGCCTCATGGTGTCCTGGATACAGGATGCTTTCCCAGAACCCTTCTGGGGCTCCACATCTATCTCCACACTTTGGGTGGGGAAGTTGCTTCCCTTGGGTGGATCCAAAAATTCCAGCTGACTTGGAGGGAAGTGAGTTGAGAGCCCCTCCAGCGGTGCTTGCTCAGGTGAGTAGCTTTTGCTATTACATGCCCAGGCCCAGCTGGCCTAGACTGGAAGCTCCCAGAGTCCAAAAAACAGGGGCTAATGAACAGTCGAGAAAAAAACAAGGCAGACAGTCTTTTAGGGGTGTGCAGTATTAAATCACTTTGAAAGGGGACCACTTAAGAAAATCCTCTGCCCTCATTCAAGAATATTAGAAATACATTAATTTGGTGGAATAATTATAATAGTAGCTACCATCTTTTTTTTTTTTTTTTTTTTTTGAGACAGTCTAGCTCTGTCACCCAGGCTGTACAGTGATTGTACAGTGGTGCAATCTCGGCTCACTGGAACCTCTGCCTCCTGGTTTGAAGCAATTCATGCCTCAACCTCCCATGTAGCTGGGATTACGGGTGTGCGCCACCACACCCGGCTAAATTTTGTATTTTAGTAGAGACAGGGCTTCACCATGTTGGCCAGGCTGCTCTCGAACTCCTGGCCTCAAGTAATCTCCCCACCTCAGCTTCCCAAAGTGCTGGGATTACAGGCGTGAGCCACCTCGCCTGGCTAATAGTATCTACTGTCTGTTGAGTGCCAGGAATGTGCCAAGCAGGGAAGATGGAGATGTATTTGGTAGATGCATAATAGTAATGGCTAATGCACCACTCACAGGCTAGAGACAAAGTAGACTCAGAGAAGCTCAGTGACTTTCCCAGGAACACACAGCTCTTTGGCAGCTGCTGTATGGAAACCACAGTGGGACTCATCAGAAGCCGGTTCCTTTGCACAGTTAGCCGAGTGAAGAGACGGACGGGCACAGGTATGTTTGGAGTTCTTAAGTTCGTCATCTTGCACCCAAGAATCAAGGTCGCAGGGTGAAACTCTGTAGTTCTGGAGCCTGAAAGGCATTTGACATCCTGGCTGGAAACATACATTTTTGTTTTACATTTATTCGGGTAGTGGTTTGCTGGTCTGTTTTTTTTTTTTTTTTTAACCATTTGGCTTGGAGAAATTTTCCCTTTGGTTATGGTAATTACCCTTTCCTGATATGTAAATTGATTACAGCGGCTCTTTCCAATCTTACACATTTGATTATCCACGAGCCTCCTTCTCTGCCTCTTAGTTAATCTTATTTTTAGCACAGTCCTTGAAACCTCAGCGTGAGACTGTCCATCTTCCGCTGTTTCTGAACTGCCGAAGGTCATTTTCACCAGCCCCACCAAACGCGGATGTGTTTCAAGTCAAACACAGCCATTTGAACCAGTTTCAAACAGTTGCCTTTCAAGTGTCAGCGTGGTGGGGACAGGACCTGCCGCATGAGGTCCGTGTTGCTTGGGATAGTCTCGAATCACCCAGCGTGACTCCGTTGGCTCCCTTGGTTCAGTCGGCTCCAGGATGAGTGCACTTGACCAGAAGCTCCGGCGACACTGAGATTATAAGGGAGCCAGGTGAGCGGAGGCTGCGTTGTGGACACCAGCCAAGTCTGGGTGGGAGGAGGCACCGGGACCTATCAGCAACCTGCCCTGGACTTTGTTTCCTCATGTGTGTGTCTAGGGCTTTGCGGATGATTTGCTCCAGATGGAATTAATGCTGCAGTTGTTAGAAGAGCATCTCTGGCTCCGCTTCTGAAGCTAATCACCACCTCTGTTTTTGTAAGTTAGTGAGAGGAGCGTGGCTGGCTATGAGGGTGCAGAGGTGCCCCTCCCGCGGTCCCCTGGGGTCTTCTCTGCATCTGAGTCTTCTCAGAGGCCACGTGAGTGAGTAGCCCCAGTGGACTCCGGATGTTTTGTGAGCCTTACCTCGATAAGAATAAAAACGTTTTGGTGTGTGATTTGATTTGTTTGCTAGAAGATTAGTACAAAAGCAGGAAGGAAAAAGAACGTGGTGGAGGTGATTGCTAGAGGCTGGCAGAAGGTTATTTACGGATTTTTGCTGACAGTCCTTGTTGAAAGGAATTCCCTGTGAGATTTATGAAGCCTTTCCAATTTATTGTCTTTCCAAGTAAGGTAAGCAAATAAATAAGTTATTCTATTTTATTATAAACACAGCCAATGTAAAATTAAAAATAAGAGGAAATGGGGCTCCATTTTTTCAGCCTAGTGTGTTTCAGGAAAGCATCTTGGAGAGGCTTTTTGTTTTGTTTTTGGCTCCAGCACATTGTGCATTTAAAAGATAAAGTCGGTGCCTTGATGTTGTATGTGCAGGTCACCATCCTTGGAGGGAACTGGTTGCAGCCTTGGTGGGGTTGACAAGATGGTGAGGACAGAGGAGCTGGGATATTCAGGACCAGCCCACCAGAGTCACCAGGGACTCCCAGGCCCCTTGGGAAATAAGGCTGAGGGGTTCCCGAGACTCTGCTCTGGGTTTGGCCACAGCCGCTGCCCCCAGAAGGGACTCTTGACTCCTGAGGCCCACGTCCTAGCAAACTGGTGACATCTTCCTGCATCCTTCTTCCTGTTGTCTTGATTTCTTTGTCTCTTCTCCTTAAACTCAGAAATTGTTGGTGCTTTCAGTATCTTGGCGAATTGTGATTTTGTTGATACAGATGTGTAAGGACCCACATGGGAAATTTAGATTTTTAGGTAAAGAACAAGCAGGAATATGAGACCTTGTCGTAAACAAACTTCTCGTTTTCGGCGGTGATGTCAGTGCTGAAGATTTGGGTGGGTCAGGTTTGGTGACCTGTGTCCCACCAAAGGCAGCTCCTGCTCCTGACACGAGCCCGGAGCCCATTTGAAATCGCTCCCGGCTCTTTCAAGGCCCTGGGCAACGCCATCAGGGAAACATCCTGTTACCATTTTGGGAGAATGTTTTACGTCTCTGCCCCTAGATGTCCCTGTGCTAGTGAAGCTGTTTTGGGGGGACTAATAGGCAGCGTTTGGACGGTGTCTTGTAACTGTCAACTGATGACTTCAAGTTCGTTGGCCCCTGCTGTGTAGTAGGTGCATGTTGAAGATAGAGTGAGTCACATTCTCTGCAAGGGTTTGTTTTAGGAGCAAAAGAGGCCTAAGTAGGGAGGCTTGGAAGGTGCTGAGGGCATAATTCCTGCAAGAATGGGCTCCATGGGGTTCATTTTCTTTCTTTCCCACATCCTCCACAGTACCTTGTCCCACTCCTATAGGCACACAAAAGAGGAGGGCCTTTCTTCAACTCAAGGCTAATGAGCTGGGCACCAGGGGTTAGGGTGGGGGAACAGTGTGGCCGATGCTTTTCTGGAGTGGTGGCCTGAACAAGCCTGACCTGCTCCTGCCTGCAAGGAGCTGACCACCCAACCAGAGAACACTGGGCAGGCGATCAAGCTGGGTGAGCCAGACAGGGGGATGTGTCTGGGGCCTGGGGAGCCCCACCCATGCACCCTGAGGTCAGGGCTGGCCTTTCACAGGAGGTAGGCTGTGAGCTGTGAGGGTGAGGGGCCAGCCTGGGCCTCCCTCCCAGCTCACCCTCCCCTAGGAGGCCGCCCCCTGCCTGGGTCCCTCCAGCCCCTTCGTTCTCATCCTTATCTGGATCTGAGAATCACCTGGAGAGCTTTGAAAAAAGATCCCAGCTTAATCCTACCCCCAGGTTCTGAGTGTGTGGTCCACAGTGGCATCTGCCTTGGTAATAAAAAGTTCCCAGGTGACTCTAATGAACAACCAGGTAGGGAACCACTGCCCAGCCAGCACTCCTCAGCTGAGGCCACTTGTCCTGTTCTGCTCGTGGGCCGGAAGGGATGGGCTGGAGAATCAGGTAAGTCCTAACTTCGCTGCCCCACAGACTGGGAGCAGGGTCAGAGGGCAGAAGGCTGCCCTGGGAGGCCGACTTCTTAAATGCACACCTGACTGACAGGTACGCTCCTGCTGTGGGGCCAGGCAGGAGAGCAGCACAGGGGCACCCAGGGCCACACACCGAGAAGTGTCCCGAGTGGTGAGCCCAGTGTGGCCTGGCTTCCCATCGGCAGGTGAGGGTCATCTTTCAGGGCTGTTTCACTTCCTCAAAAGAATGCAGTGGAATGAGCTCCATAGGGTGAGGTGCCTGTGTGCGTGGGGATGGAGAGGAGGGCTAGCTGCTGGGATGCCAGAAATGAAGGGAGGCTGGGATCTTCCTGCCTTGGTCCATGTGTAGCTGGAAGGAGAAAGCAGCCGTTGCCTAGGAGACAAAGCTGGAGGGCTTGACTCAGACTATGGACCTCTTGAGGCTTCCTGCCTGGGTGGGGGATCAGCCCAGGAACCCCACGAGGCGATGGGGGATGGGATGGGGACGGTCATATATGCATTTCTATAGAAAAAGAATCTGGCTTTCCAGTGTCTCAAGGGATTCCGGGACCTTACATTTTTTTCGGAGCCCTCAGATGGGAATCCTTGGCCTACAAAGGTGGGAGGCTGTCTTGTGGACAGTAGGGAGAGAGGGTGGTGGAGCGGGTGCTGCAGGGAACAAAGGACACCTGGAGGCATTCCTGGGCATTGGCTTCCTTCCTGGTGGTTGGGCTTTTGTAGAAGGCAGAGTCAGGGAGAGACTGGGGACTTGGTTTCCTCCCAGGGTGCAGGAGGAAGTAAACCTAACAGTGATACCTGGATCAAGAAGGGGCTCCCCTCTAGCCCAGCGCAGCGAGTGGGGGCGCACCAAGGCATCCATGCACAATGTAGCCTTGCCGCTGCCTATGACGGGAAGGTTTGAGGTTGTGAACGTCGGCTAAGGTCCCCGGGGGTTGGCTGTTGGGATGAACGTGGGTTCTAGTATTAACGTGGGTTTTAGTATTATTGAGGGTTGAGTATACCGGGGGCAGGGGGCAGGGGGCAGGAGGCAGGAGGAGCTAAGCAGCAGGGTAGGTGGAGTGGGGAGGGCTATGCCTGACTCCCTCTCCAGGCTGGGAGGGAAAGGCTGGGGGAAGATGGGAGGAGGCCTGGCCACACGCATCTGTACTGTTGGCTCCTTTCCCCAAGGACCCGCAGAGGTGGCCCAGGGTGCTGGGCGCTTCACCCTCCCTCATTGGTCAGGTTCTCTTCGTCCTCCCGCGCCGCGTGTCTGGGGCTGCTGTGGTGCGGGGGCAGAAAAGGAGGGGCCTGCCAGCCTGGTTCTCCAGCCTTTGTGGGCTTCGATTGGTCCTGCCTGGCAGAGTGCTCTTTGCTCAGAGGAGTCACCAGCAGTTGCTGGGAGCGGTAGGATTATGGTCCCTACCTGGGGTTCAGAACAAGAACTTTGCTGTGAACTCCCCTGGTTGAAGCAGAGGGCCAGGAAGCAGAGGGACCTGAATTCCCCACCAGGCGGTCCCTACAGAGTCATGGACCTTCCTTTCTCCCCGCTTCCTCCTGCCCTGTTGTCTCTGCTGAGCAAGGCACGGGGCGGGGGGGCTTCCGCTGGGTGGACTTGAGTTGGCCTAGATTTGAATCTGCTCTTACTGCCGTGGACTCTGGCATGAGACTCTAAGCCTCAGTCTCTCCACCTCTGAGTTGGGAATGATAACAGAATTACTTGATGTTGGTCATGTTGGCTGTTGGTGATGGGCTTGTTAAATCTGGTCGTTGGGGCTGCTCAATATTTGCATTTTCAGAACAGCATGCAGCGAGTAACTAGCGCTCCAGGACAGGACTTCGGAATGTTTCCATTTGTTCCTTCTGATCGTGTCCTTTTCAAATCTGATCTGTAGTTTGTTTCTTGCCTGATATCCTACCTGCTAAGTTTTACATGCCTTTATGTGCGTTTCTTTTTGGACACATTTTATCACCCATGCAGAAAGAAGCTGCTCCAGTCTTCCAGCCGTGGTTAGGAAGTGCCTGCCATTCAGAAGTCAGTTGTAGTTTTCCACATGGTCGGCTGAATAGGAATGAGGCACTTCCCTGTCCCTAAAGAGCTCACAGTGTGGAGGAGAGATGGTATACTTCTGCTTTAGGCTTTGAGACTCTTTGTAAATACAACTTTGATTAAATTTGTTCATGGTGGCTTATTATTTCCAAGGCAAAAACAGTCATTTCAAAAGACTAGACTAGCCTCTTTAAAGTGATTTAGAGTTTATAGTTGTGTTCAAATGCGTTCTAATTACACCCTCCAAACAACAAGCCTCTGTTTTCAGATGGAGAAAACAAAGGATTCAGATTGAAGGACTGCTCAGACACCCTCCGAAGAGGTGGCCCTGCCTGCGCTCCTCCTGGCTGCAGAGTACCCCACCAGCGCGTGAGCCTGTTTCCCTATCCCCTGGTTTTGAGTTTCTGGCCTGATCGTTGCATGCTTGGCTTCACTGCTACTTTGTGAAACTCTTTGCTGAGATTTTAACCTGGGCTCTACTTTCAGGGCACGATGGGATTGAGACACATCTTGGGGGATGGGTAGGCAGGTGAGCAGGTCTGAGGAGGAGGCTGGGTCTGCCTTGACCTGTCCTCTCCCATCTCTACATACTTACCAGTAATCAGTGCTTGATGCTGAAGGTCATACTGAGATGGAGGCTATGGGCAAGAGTTTGAATCTGTGTGGTCTTCTGTGGGTGCTCACTGACCTGCTGTATGTGGATTTCCATGCACCAGACACATGCTCTTAGAATGTGCCTGGCAGCTTGAGCAGGATTGAGGGATCTAGAGCTTTCTTCTGGCTGCTTCCCCCACAATCAAGGAGATTTAGCAAGCAGGTGCAGGGCCAAGTTCAGGGATGTGGGCCACAGGCAGGCCCTTTAAATCCAGTCATCCATTTTGATTCTTCTCTCCTTGTGGTATCTGTCACTTGTCAAAAAAGACTTCATCTTCTGGGGCTGTCATTCTAAGCGTCATTTTGCCATACTGTTAAAATTTTCTGAGTGTTTGCTTGATTTGTGTTTATTGAAACTAAATTCATTAGGATGATGTGAAAATAGCACTCTGCTGTTTACCAAATCGGATTCTTGTTGTTGATATTTCAGTACATCATCTGTTCTCACTTGAATGTCGTGGAATTTGTTGGTAAAGTGCTGTGCAGATGAAAACCCATATTTTAGTGGAGTTTTTTTTATTCAAATAAGTTTATAAGTATTATATACCCAAGGTGCTTGATTTGCCATTTGATGCAGTCTGTACGGATGTGCGAATACTGGTGCTTGGCTTGGGCTTTGAGAGTTTGGGGGTGTGCTGGGAGACAGCTGCAGGGATTAGGACTCTACCAGGTGCTGAGTCAGAGGCTGGTTGGAAATCCTCCTCCTCCAACTCCGCCCCTCGCCAGCTGTTTGACTGCTGCCAAGTCCCCCAACTGTGGGAACCCCAGGCCTTCATCTGTGAAATGGCCATTCCTGTGTTTCTGACAAGGCTGTTGGAAGACTTCATTGAAGACACTGTATTGGTTTTTCAGCACTTTAACATCTCTGGACTCAAGTTGTGTCATAAAATTGATCACAAGCCATAGTTTAATTGACGGCATTTTTTTTTTTCTCCCTTAGTGGTTTATAAAATGATGCTGGTCTAAGGTTTGATGATGTCTTAGACTTGAAGAACATGAACCTGTTTTTGCAAAAGTTTTAGAGTTTGGCATTTTCCAACAAAAAGGCAGTTGCTGGACTTTTGAATTGGTCAACGAAATTCCACTTGTTACCAGAAGATTTACTAGTTGCATTTCTAGAGTTGTTGGCCTCTCTTTTCTGATTTGATTCAGTGGTCAGATCATCCAGGGTTCTTGTGTTCAGAGACCCAGAGTGCTATAATGCTTCCGAAATAAGCCTGACCTAAGACTGAGACAGAAGGTGAGTATGGCAGAGACCACCAGCTGTCCACCAAAGGGCCCTGCTTCCCTTCCACCACCTCAAGTATCTGTCGGAGGCTCCATGATAGTTCCCACATGGAATGTGGGTGGCAATGTGTGTCGCTTCCCGGCAGCACTAATTAAGAAACAAGTGTGCCTTGCTCAGTTTTTCTCCTGTTGACTGTCAGCTGGATGTGGAAAATCCAGCAGAGAATGCCTAGGTGCTAGGGGAGGATTCTGAGTGCCTGAATCACTCTGTGGAGCAGAGTTGCCCATTAGGAACATGAGCCTGATGTTCTTGTGATTTAGAAATCAAATTCTAATGTGTTGAGCTGATACACAATTTTAGGCTTGTTTGTTAAAGCAGACAATGTGAACGTAAGTAGTACAGTGAGTTGGGTAGTTCCAACCCGCCGCTGCCCCCTCCCTGTCCTACACTTGCTTGGGTTAGATAGAAAGCAGCGCCGTCTCCCATTCACCAGCCTAAATGAACCTCATGGCTTCACTTCACTCATTCTTGCTCATTTATTCACTGAGTCCTGTAGATTCTGCCCCTCCCTTCTGCCCTTGTTTGGGGGCCTCACACCTACCCAAATGGCATCCACCTAAACACTTTGGGTTCGGCTAGGTGCCCTTAAAGCCTGATTTTCAAACGTTGGAGAAGTTTAGAAGCAAGTCGGGCTGTAAAATTGCAGCAATGACCTGGCATGGTGTGGCAGCCATGAAGACGCTCCTGATCTTCTGCTTCTGGGAATGTGAGTGACTGGTGGCCCCAGCTGCTACGTTCTGAATCCCGCAGTGGAAATCCAGCATGGCGTTCCCAGACAGCCTGCACTCTGCGGGCTGCTCCCAGCCGGGGACAGCAGGTGAAGACTCCTCCTCCCCAGCCTCCTGCCTTCCCTGCCATCTCATCTGCATCTGCTGTCAGACTTGCGTCTCCCTCTGCCTCCCCGCCTGTCTGCCTCCCCAAGAAGTCTCTTCCAGAGCTGATCGTGTCTTGGCTTCGGTTTTTGGAAGAGCCGAGCCAACACACATCGTATTTGAGATACAGTGGGTCGGAGGCGATACCCAGGGATTTTCTCCAGCTTGGACAGCGAGCCCTTTGCCCTCTCTGGGTGGCAGGGTGCCTCCCTCTAAAATGAGGGGGCGATGCTTGGCAGTTTCTAGAACCTGTTCAGATCAAGGCAACCTGGGAGTTAGAGTTCCGCTAGTCTTGTCTGGCAGTACAGTCGGTCTCTAAATATGCTTTTATTGTACCTTCCCCACCATCTGGGTGAAGCATCAGTAATGAAAATGGAGTGGAGGCTGCATTGACCTTTTCCAGTGTCCACGCACTATATTTTAACTGGGAAGTTGCATGTATTTTCTATACTTAATACTTTAAAAGCTTCTTGGGCCTCTTGAGAGGCTTGTAAGTGCAGCCCACGTGTGACTTGAGCTGGGAACGCAACTTCAGATTGAGAAGTCCCACTTTTATAGGACACAGCATTTAACAGCAGCTGCGTCCAAGTCGTGTGGCATTTGGCAGCGTGTTTCCAAGTGGACCTGTGGTAATCACTTTGCTCTTGGGGAACCGTGGCCAAGGGCTGCCCTGCCTCCAAAGAGGCTCAGCAAGGGAAGGCTAGAAGTCCTGTGGGCTGGCCAGGCATGGTGGCTCACACCTGTAATCCCTGCATTTTTGGGTGGCAGAGGTGCGTGGATCACCTGAGGTCAGGAGTTCGAGACCAGCCTGACCAATATGATGAAACCCCATCTGTACTAAAAATACAAAAATTAGCTGGGCATGGTGGTGTGCGTCTGTAATCCCACCTACTTGGGAGACTGAGGCAGGAGAATCACTTGAACCTGGGAGGCAGAGGTTGCAGTGAGCCGAGATCATGCTATTACACTCCAGCCTGGGCAACAAGAGTGAAACTCTGTCTCAAAAGAAGAAAAAAAAAAAAAAAGAGAGAAATCCTGTGGGCTATACCTGGGGGTTCTTTGCCCTGCTTCCAAGCCCTGTACAGCCAGCATGTTGCACATGTCATTGTCCTGGGGTTTTCTTCCCAGAGGGCCCTTTTCGGTGCAGGGTCCTCTGTTTCATCAGCCTGCGTTAGCACAAACAACCCTGACCGTGTCCTGGACCTCCTTGAGCTCACGGGCAGAGGTTGCTGCTCTGTCGTGTGCTGTTTGCAGACTTGGACTTGGAGTAGTTATTCTCCCTGTGCCTCCAGGGCCTTGGTCCTCACAGGTGTTTCTGTGCTCCTCCTTCCAGAGACAGGCCTCCTGTGAATCGCTCTGAATAAAATGTTCCCAGCTGAGGTTTTGGAGTCTCCTTTGGAAGGTTGTCTTGGTATTGTTTTCAGTCTCTTGTTAGGAAAACCGGACAGGTGGGTCTGATCATCTACAATGAATGTGCACACCACCCCCGGGTTCGGCAGGACACACTGTGCCCCCAGCCCTGGTCATCTTCTGTTTGACCACATTTCTTGGCTGAATTTCAGATCTTCACCTGGAGCACGGGTCTCATGACCTAAGGTCAACCTGTTTGTGGTTCTTTCTGTTTTTTCTTTGAGGTAAAACTTAGAGGAAGTGTTGGGAGGGAAGTGGGGATTGGTGGGGAAGGGGCATGAGGTCAAATGAAATGCATGACCTTAAGTGTGCCATTTGGTTAGTTCTAACACACGCACATACCTGCGTACCCCCCAAAGCCCTACCAAGAGCTACAGTCACTCCGGAAAGTCCCCTTGGGGCCCTGCCAGGCTGTCCCCACCCTCACCTCCCTGATCATCTCAGGCCACCACTGTTTTGGTTTCTTTTCCTTCAACAGAGGTAGTTTTGCCTGTTCTAGAATTTCATGTAATACTACATAATACATGTATGTACATTATACACAGCATATACATGTATACATACAATTTAATATGTATGTATATTATGACACATGTACCTTTTTGCATGAAGCTTTTTTCATGCCACACACATGATGTATTTGAGATTTTTAAGACATTTTGGGCCAGATTATTCTCTTGTTCCTTTTTACTTCTGAGTAGTATTCCACTGAATGACTCGACCGCAGTTTCTTTACCCGCTCAC
Organism: Homo sapiens; assembly: GCF_000001405.40. NCBI lineage: Eukaryota > Metazoa > Chordata > Mammalia > Primates > Hominidae > Homo > Homo sapiens. The sequence continues at coordinate 125,128,912 of NC_000010.11, read as the reverse complement.
CCATTAATGGACACTTGGGCTGTTTCCAGCTTTTCGCTATTCTGAGCAAGTAGCTATGAACCATTCTCATGCATGTCTTTTTGTGGACATATGATTTCATTTCTCTTGGGTAAGTTCCTAGAAATGGAATTGCTGGGTCATGGAGTAGGTGTATGTTTAGTCTTACAAAGTGGTTATAACATTTTATGCTTCCACTGATCATGTATGGAAGTCAGCTATTTTTTAAACCACCCTACAGAACGTTGGCTTTCTGCTTGGGTGGTGGAGTGGGATGGGAGGGTGAGTGGGTAGGGCCCCCTCCTCTCCCTTGACCCCCACCTCCCTACTAGCAGGATGGGGGCAGGGGTCTGCACCGTTGGCTCTGCTGGGCGTGGGCTGTGGAGTTCACATGCTCTGGAAGATGTAGCTGTGTCCTCTATATTAGGGTGGGGCCTGTTTCTCTTGCTTTTCCTGGCTATTCTGAACAATTCTTGTTCCTTCATTCCTTCCCCCCGCCTCCCAATGTCTCTCCCTTCCCCTGCTTCCTCTTGTCCCCAAAATACCATGCTCTCTGATGAAGCTCCAGGCTAGTAAGTCAAGAATGAAGGTCGTGGCCTTTGGTACCTGGTGTGTTCCTGGTTCTTTCTGACATCTGTGCCCACTGTTTTGCATTCATGACTGACAGAAGTGGACTTTTGGAGCCTACTGATGGTCACATGGTAGCACATGCTGTCCTAGTTTGCTTCCGTGTGAGGATGGACACTTGGCTAAGTAGGTATTCTAGACAGCTGCTCCCAGAGCAGCCTCACCATGAGCTGGGCCACCCCAGAACCCGGCATCTGGGTGTGCTAGCCTCATGGGCCTCAGGAAGCTGCAGCCAGCTCTTCCAAGTCTCTGGGGTCATTACTTTTAGAAGCATGTTTTATAGGGTTACTAGAATGTTCTCTTAAGTGGATTCCATTTTATGTATTTATATCCTACCTCTTTCAGGAAAGTTCTTTGAGGACTCAAAAAATAGGATGCCGTAATAGGGGTTGAGATTGGGGGAGGGCCAAAATTGATTTTAAAATGCAAATACAGCAACCAAAAATTTCACGACAGTTGCTGTAACAGATAACTTAAGTTGGGCAGCTCTCTCTGAGTTTAGGGAGGGATGACGTGTGTCCTTCAGGGAAACAGCTTGCCACAGGGAGGTGCGTATAGGGCATAGTGATGGCTGTAAAGTGCTCTACCACCAACCATGGGCTGCCAACAGATGCCAGGCCTGGGTTCCCACAACTGCTTCTTGTGCTTGAGATTGCTGGAAAGAGTCAGAAGTACAACATGGAGGGATGTTTAGAGGAGGCCATTCCATGTGGGTCCTTCTAGGGATACCCTTTGATTTAGGATCAAATTTACAATACCTCACCAAACACCGAGCCAATTGGTACAGGTCTGTTCTCCCAAAAAATTATTGATCTCAGCTGGGCTTTTGATAGGCGTTTGAGAGAAGATGATTCACATTCTACTTTCTTCCCAGGAACTGACGTGCACGGCTAGCCCCGGTGACCTGCCAGCCTCTCAGATGTGCAGGTGGACAGTGGTTGAGGCAGGCCTGTTGGTTCCAGTGACACAGACATGAGATCAGGGCAGGATTGGGCTTGTTTGGGTTGTTGATGAGCACTGCAAGGGGTGAGGCAGTGATGTCAGTGGTTGCGGGTGAGCAGAGTTGGAGGGGTTGATGGAACATGCAGTTGGACAGAAGTATCTAGAAGGCAGGTGGTAAGGAGCCTCTGGAGTGCCTTTGATTTGAGAGCATGTGCATGGGGCTGAGGCAGAGTTGCCATCCCTCCTTCGTCCGTGCCTACTTCGTGTAACACTCGGCTGTTTCTTGTTTGAACTCCTTGAGGACAAAGTTATGTCTCATTTAATTTCCAGCCTTCCTTACTTAATAGTACCTGGCTTGTTCACAGTTGATGCAGTATTGGGATGGACAGAGTAGAGTAGAGAGAGAGAGAGAGAGAGAGAGAATGTGTGTGTGTATGCACGTGTGTGGTGCAGCAGGCAAGACAGATGGCAGCTGAGAATGGGCTATAGGCTTTGACCATCAGAAGTGCACGCAGCTCTTTTGGATGTGTGTGTATGTGGAAGATGTGAATGTGGTGTGGAAATGTGGAAATAGCTATAGATGTGTATATGTGTGTCTGTATAGCGGGGGGTGGTGATCAGAATAAAAGCTTGATGGCAAGGATCAAATAAGGAATGTTGGCGCCTAGGGGAGCAGATAGTAGCTTCTCTGGGGCCGAGGCCGGGAGGTGCGAGCACATCTGCCCTAACAGGGAAGGAACAAGTACGTGGCTTGTCCTGATTGACGGGCCTGGCCCTGCCATGTATTTCGGTTCATCTGTGGCTTTCTGCCTTTGCCATCCCCATCCTCAGCTGTACCACACGTCAGTTTGTGGGGCCTGGCCTTGCGGATGGCATTTTCTGGTGCTTCCTATCCATACGCTAGGAACGGAGTTCAGCACCCAAGGAAGAGAATTCTAGCCTGAACCCAAAGAGAGAAGCCCCTTAACTCTTGATGTCTTTTAAGTCCCAGTGACTTTTGAGTTTGGCTTTGGTCGTTAAGTTTCATGACTGCCTATTTTTAAGTGGAATTAGAACTTAAGTTACCGAGAATCACAGCGTCTTGCTAGGTAGCATTCCTCTCGACCCTGCCAGGTGAGCTTCTGAGAGGCTAAGTGACTTGCCTGAGGTCACATAGTTGGACAAGGCAGGAAAGCACCAGCAGCTGAACTGGCCCATTGCGAAGTGTGTCCAGCGGGCCTCTCCCAGGCCACCGCTGCACTGCGGTCTAGTGGTACAGGCCAGAGCCCTGGGCTCCTCCTTGCCTTCCCGCAACCTCAGTCCACTCCTGCTTCTTAGGTGGACGGCACTGGCTTTGGCTTGAGACTGGGTTAGGCATGTCATCTATTTGGTTTCTCGAATGCTCAGCCCTGACACTTCTTCCGATGTTCTTAGCATCACCCTTGAACAAACGTTGGTTGGGGATCCGGGGACCGACTTGTTTACACTTCTTCTGATTTGAGTGAAATACCAAGAGGCTGGCAGAGGGACAGCCCCTGAGCTATGGCTCCCTTTCTTAGCCCAGATCTCAAGAGCTTTCTGCTGTTTTTGCTGTCATCTCTGCTGGATGTCGTCTCTGCTACCGAGGTACAGCAGTTAGGAAACATTCGCGTCCCCATCACTCTGGTCACTCTGCTGACTGGTTTTTGGACACTGAGTGTCCCATTCACTCTATCACTGTTGACTGGTTTTGGGACAGTGAGTATGTGACATGCATATGACCCATGCTTAACTCACTCGGAGCCATTATCTGAGCACTATTTGTCAGGTGCTAAGAAGGCAAGCTTCAATTGACTTAAGTTCCAGCGGGGATGTTTGCTTTTTATGAAAATGATGCTTAGTACCTCCTTACTAAGACAATGGCAGAATAGACCAGACTGTTGTCTTCAGAGATTCCCAAACACCGGATATTGACAAGGTTTGCTTTCCTAAAGTTGAGAAGAGGGCTGAAATATAAGGCTTATATCTGTCTCTCTGAGCATTTTAGAAGAAAGATATATCTAAGCTCTGTGTTTAAATATAGCATGGTGTTTGCTACTCGGATGGCAAATAAGCAATTGAATATGTAGGTCATTGACTTATGAGAATGAGTTTGGAGGTTTTTTTGCATGTGATTAACGCTGTCTTACGATTGGGCTGTTGATGCTCCGCCAACATTGGGTTACACAGAGTTCAGCAAGCCATCTGGGAAGAAAACTGGAAGAATCATGAGAGGATACCTCTGTCCCCTTAAGGTGTTAGGAGTGTGACTTGGTGTTGAGCCCTGTGGCTACAGCCAGTGGCAGTGGCACCAACCGCTCCCAAGTTACACTGGGGAGAAACACATCTGAGTGCCGTGCGTCTGTACATATCTATCAGGAGGGAGGGGGCAGAGGGCGATACTTCATCGAGATAAATGCCAGCGGTGTATTTTAATACATTCTTGATTCAGAAGGCACTGTTTGGAATTGCATATTTAAAAGGAAACTGCCATCCCCTTTTGAAGGTATGTGACATTTAAAAGATCTGTAGCAGAAGATTGGTTTGACAGCTTTGAATTATAATTGAAAGAGTTTTTGTTTTAAAAAAGAAAATGATTACTTCTATTTTAAATGTCATCACAAAGACATAAATATGTTTAATCAAATTATATATTTAATGTATGTAGAATATAATTTTTGTTTGTGTGGAAGAGTCACTGGTTTGTGTGTGTTTTAAGCAGCTTTAAAGCTAAGCAATGTTGATGATTTGAAAGTGATTCAGCTTTTTTGGTAAATGACTGTTTAAGGGTTTATAGAATTTCAAAAAATAGTATTATTAAAATCTGCTTATTTTTTATCTATACACGTGTACCTAGTGGCACATTTTGGGAGATGGAGGTACTTTTATTGTTGCTGACAGATAGTAAATTGTCGAATGAACTGAAAAAACGTGGAACCTTGAAGATAATAAAGGCGGAAACAGCAAAGACGCTCCTGCAGTTTTCTTTTGGATTCTTTGAACCAGCGGGGAGTTACCGGGAGTGCTAGCGTCGAGTATGCCAGCCCTTCCTAAAAGGGAGGCAGCAGGGGAGGCCCAGGAAAAGACACAGAGTGCCACAAAGACCTTTCGGGTGATACAAAAGGCTGGTGTGGCATTTGAGGGCACCAGCAAGGTCCCCAGGCTCGAGAAGCAGGGGCGTAGCTCTGGGTCTCCCCTGACCCTGGCTATCTGCTAGCACACTCCAGCTCTAGAACTTTCTTTGAGCAAGCTGGGTGTTGGAAGCCGGCCAGCCCAGCGTACAACTGTGTATGTCAGCTGGGGACAGTCTTGGCCTGTTCCAGCCTGCTCTGTAGTTTCGATTTAGCCAGACTGGGTCAGGGAGTCCTGAAGTTGTTACCCACCAGAGAGGCACTTGCCCAGCACAGAGCTGCCCCGGGGGCTGGTTTTCTCTGCTGGTCTGTCCTCCAGGGCTGCTCTGTCAGGGAACGTGCCCTCTGTTGGGTGTGGCCCTGGGAGGCCTGGGCAGCTGGCAGCACCTGGGAGAGAACAATGAGTCAGTCATGCCCGCTCCCAGGAAAGAATTGACGTAGCACGAGCATCTCTGCCAGCTCCAGTGAGAGAAGGTCAGGGTTCAGGAATTGTGAGCTCTGGCTTCTCGAGAGACAGGATGCACCCCGGGGCCCCTGGGGAGCCGGAGGACACAGATCCCAGTTGAGTGCGTAAGCAGTGTCAACAGGGCCAGCTCCTCATGGCCCCTCCTTGTAAGCGCTGATCCCCTAAAGAAAGGAATTGCCCTACTTAGTGCCCAGCATGAGCTAAACCACATAAACCAAAAAATGACAAATCTGTTATTTTAAAAATTAAACTTATTTTGAAGTAATTGCAGATTCACATACAGAATGAATTCACAGGGTAGGAGAAGGTAATACAGGAGGTCCCTTAAACCCTTTCCCTGGTGCCCTCCAGTTGTAACATTGTGCAGAGTTCTGGTAACAGCAACACAGCGGAGAAATTGACGTGGATAGAATCCATGGATACTATTCAGAAATCCCTAGTGTAACATGCACTCATTTGGCTGTGTATTTAGTCTGTGCAATTTTAGCACGGGTAGGTCTCTATTTGTACCAGCCCAAGAATCCCCCCGTTGCCCTTTTATAGTCATATCCACTTGAGGTGGCCAGGACGGTCCCCAGCTGAAGCACATGGTCGACACACATGGGTAGACACAGCTGACCAGCTTCTAAGACCCAGTTTGCTCAAAGAAAGTTCTGGAGTTGGCGTGTCCTACCTACTTCCTGGTCTCTAAGCCTGGCAACCACTAATCCGTTCACCATCTCTCCAGTGTCATTTAAGAATGTTATATAAATGGAACCTTACAGCATTGCCGCCTTTGAGGATTGGGATTTTTCACTTGGCTTAATTCCCTTTGAGATTCATTCAAGTTGTTGTATGTATGGCTGGTTGGTTTCTGTGTATTGACTGGAAGATTTTTGACCCAGCCTTAGACCAGAACACTGCGGAAGAGGAAATCCATCATGGAAACCCGAGAGTGACAGGACCCTTGCTTGGTGACAAGTAGAGCTGGTCATGTCGACAGCCCCCTCTTACCTCGTCGCGTCTCAGCAGATGTCCATGGGGTCGTATTGGGAGTGACTTTTGTACCAGTTGGCTTGGCTGATTTTGGAAAGAGTGGAAGAACCCCCTTCACCTTGTGAGTTTTGTTCATCTGTGTTGCATGTGTTTGCACAGTGTACATTGACTGAAACATGAAGAAACAGCCCTTGGGCTTTTGAGTCTCGGTTTTCTTTCTTGGCGCTCATGCTCTCAGAATAATAATACGTGTGGTGCAGGCCCGGTGCACCAGGCAAGTGAGGGCTGTGCTGGCATGGTTTCTTTAGGAGGAAGGCCTGTTGCACCTATGTGGCTTTGGCATGCTTCAGTGAAAACTGTAAAATTACAAGTCCCAAGAATCTAATCTCACAGTGAAAATGTTGAGTTGTTCATTCAGAAAGCACGCTTGCCCTGCATTTTGAACATACATACTTGTGTGTATTTATATGTTCATCATGTGAGAACAGCATTTGTGAATTGCTACCCTCATGAACATCCATGCTGAAAGGTTGTCCATTCTTTCCAAACTGCAGAAATGCGGCTGAGCAGTTACATACGTGTGTAAGTTAGTTCAGGATTCCCAGTGTTAGTGACTTGATGCGCATGAATCAATAGATAATATTTCTATGTCCTTTAGGGGCTCTGCAGTTATTTTTTTTCCTGAATCAAGACTAAAGCCAGCCCTGCTGCTGATTGTAGGCAAGTGCCCTTTGCTTTTTGGGGAGCCAGGACTGGAAGGTCTCTTGGTTCACAGGCCTGGGTTAGGGTGGGCCGCAGGTTGGTCTGGAGTTTGGCTTTTCTCTCCCATCCCAGATTCCCCTGGTAAGAGGCTGCGTCACCTGCATCGAGGACCATCAGAGTTGGGTGGTCGGAACTCACTTTGGCTGAATGTGAAGGGGCTGCTGTTTGGGAGGTTTCACCTCCGTGATGTGTTTCTTGAGCCTGGGTGACAGCGTGGTGTGGCGCAAGGTGGAAAGGAGTTTGTTGCTGATGGTCTGGGGGACGCAGGCCTTTTTCCCCATTTCTAGATGTTGTTGTATTCGTTTGGCACTGTGATTAATTCTTAAAAATAGAATGAGTTGCTTCTAGAGGGAATATATTTTGGACCCGGGAATTCAGTTCTGTCTTTGGGTGCTTCCTTCATGGCTGTGTTTGCAGAGTTTCTTCATATGCTATTTTCTGTGATATACATAGCCTTGAAATGGATTTTTTAAAGTACAGAGTCTGAAAAGTGAGTAGTTTGTACATGGTGGGTTTAGCTGCTGCTCCATTCCACAGCAAGGATACTCTTCATTTTCAATTGAAATCTCCCCCAACCTTGAGGTTTGGGTTCATAATTCAGTTTAAAATTAAATAGAACCCGGTTTCCTTCAGGCCTCTTTTCTTTCCAGGACTGTGGATTCTCGAATTCACCAAGCCGTGTGAGTAAAGCATTTGGTATATGATACAGCTAACACTTGGGTGCCTCTGGCGTGCCAGGCGCCACGCTGAGCGCTGTGCATTGGTATTGCCTGTGCTTCCCGCTGTGGCCCCATGAGGGAGGTACAGGTGACCACACCTGGGCTCCTGGGGGAAGAAGAGAAAGCAGAGGGAGAGAACACTCTCCTGGGGTGACTCACAGCCTCACCCAAGGGCTCCTTACCATTTGGTTGGTCTCTGAGCTTTGCAGGATAAAACTTGGATTCTGTCTCTGCTCTCATGGATCTGCCCATCTAAACCAGTTACAGAACAGGCAGCCCATTTATGTAATGCCTTTTGCAATAGATAAAGGGTTGAGGGTGAGGTCATTGTCAGGGGAAGGCAATGTGAGAGAGTCAGGGTCAAGGAACCGATATCTGGCCACCTTAATTTTACTAACTTCACTTTCCCAGTCAGTATTGCACATGTAGTCCATTGATCAATAGTGTTGACATGGGCAGGGCAATTAGCTGGGCTTGGGGGCCCGTGCCTGTACAGGAGGCTGAGCCCAGAAGAATACTTGAGCCCGAGAGGTAGAGGCTGTAGTGAACTATGATCATGCCACTGCACTCCAGCCTGAGAGACAGAGTGAGACCCTTTCTCTAAAGAAATGTTGTTGGCTGGTGGCTCACAACTGTAATCCCAGAACATTGGGAGGCCAAGGCGGGCAGATCACCTGAGTTCAGGAGTTTGAGAGCAGCCTGGCCAACGTGGCGAAACCCTGTCTCTGCAGAAAATAGAAAAATTAGCTGGGCGTGGTGGTGCATGCCTATAATCCCAGCTACTCAGGAGGCTGAGGCAAGAGAATCACTTGAACCTGGGAGGTGCAAGTTGCAGTAAGCCGAGATTGCACCACTGCACTCCAACCTGGGCAACAGGGTGAGACTCCGTCTCAAAAAAGAAAAAAAGAAATGGTGTTGATATGTAAAGCTGGTCACGCTTGTAAGTAATTTTTCAGGGACTGTGGACTTTGAGCCATTTGGTTCTCACTTCATTTGTTTTTAAATGCCACTTCCTGCTCATCTTCCTGCTCATCCTGCTGGAGTCTAATCTGTGGTCAAGGACTTGGCTGGAGCCCACTGGGAAGTCTCCTTTGGCTGAGCCCTGACAAGGCTTTGGCTGTGCCTCTTTCCCGGCATCAGTCGGGGTCCTAGATCCTCGCTGGGGCAAGGGATTCTCGCTGTGTCTCTCCAGCCCACCAATTCTCTCCCAGGTTGATTGGCTATTGGAATTGAGACATCTGCATTGAAATCCCCAAGAGAACATCCTTTTCTGTATCGAACTTGCATGAGGGTGGAGGGACACTTGGCTTTTTTCAAAACCCACCTTTGTAGTACAGCAGCCACGCAGGGACTTACATCCTAAATGGGGCCACTTTACAATGTTGGTGTGGCCCGAAAACCTGCAAGGCAAAGCAGCCCAGGCAGCAGCTCACTTTCTGCACCCCAGCTTCAGAGCCCTCCTGACAGGAGCTCACAGCTCACATTTTTCCATATTATAGGAAATCATGCTCTTTGCAGAAAATAGAAAAATACAGGAAAGTATAAGAAATAAGTAAATGATAGTTATGTTACACATTGTAAAAATCCTTTTTAATCTTAGCATGGAGAATAACACTTTGGATCTATTCTGTCTCTTATGCATATACGTATATACTAAAAATGAGATTCACTGAAGAATGTTTTAAAATATGTGAGATTTGAATACATGTTTCATAGTTTATTTTCCATTTGACCTATAAGTATTTTTCCTATGTCTTTGAAGTATTTTGAAATACTTTTAGTAAATACATAATTGTTGAGATGGATAGTGTCTGACATATCCCTGTACAGCTCTATCAGGAGAAAATTTATCCTACTCTGGTTTCCAGCATGGTCTGGTACATCTTGACCACTTTTCTAAGGATTCCCTAGGGGGAGAGTGGAGTGGGGCATGGAATCTCAAGTTTACAGAAAAGATGCCCACTCCTTCCACCGCAGTGGGAGTGGGGGTCACACCCTCGCTGACTCCTCAGAGCAGCCAGCATCCTGCTTTTGGTCAGGGGATCTTGCATTAAAACCTGCCAGCTTTAGAGGTTCCATCTCTCGCTGTGGTATGGGTGTGTGCTCTGAATGTCTGAAGACCCCTCTGCTCACCTTCTGGCCCTGTGTAGGGCCTATAGTAAATATATAGTCTGGCCCTTGTTAGATCAGGTGTCCTTGGGATACCCTGTGGAAAGGAGCTCAGAAAACCCCTCTTGGTCACCCTATCAGGGAGAAAGCAAGACCGGAGCCTGACACCAGGATGCCCCAGCTGGTTAGTAGTGGCCACCAGTTGGAGTGAGCCATCTCCTATGTCCGCTCCTTCTGGCAGGTTCCTGACCATCTCACAGGGGTGTGTGCACCTCCACCAGCAGCCGCCTTGTCCACTTACAGTGTGGAACCATGGAAGACTAGAGACGGATACCTTCAAGTGCTTCTGAGTTGGGATGTGTTTTCTACTTGTCTTTCGGAGCTGCGCGCCTTTGCGGGGACCTCAGGGCCAGGCTTCCCTCTGAGCCAGGCTGATTTTAAGCGTTCCCCATCCCCCCCTCCCACCCCCCAGCGCCTCCACTGCACTGGTCTCTTTCAAGTTCAGGTGATTTCCTGGCTTGTCTGTAAGTAGGACTGTCGTGCCCCACTCAGGTACAGGTGTGTGGGGGTGCAGCCAGGCCCCATGAGCCTCAGGTCCAGTTGCTCACACCGGCTGCCTCTGCTTCCATGGCCCACGGGCAGCTTTGGGTGTGGGAATGCAGCTTGAATTCACAAAATGACGTCGTTGTGTGGGCTGCTTGCTCGTGGATCCACTTTTCTTCCCCCCTTTCAAAACTTGGCCCATGGCAGCCCCGATCAGCAGCACCCGTTTATCAATTTGTTCCTTGTTCCTTTCTCCAGTTGTTGCCAGGACTCCCATCTGGCATTCTCCCATCTCACGCCCTTGTTTATTTCTCCGTCCTGGAGCCACTTCGGATGGGGCACTTCTAGAAGCCTAGCTAATGCCGCAAGGGCTTCAAGTTCCTCCTTGTCACCCAGCTCGTCTCAAGTCCGTTGGCCCTGTCATCTAGAAAAGCTGAAAGCTGAAAGAGCAGGGGAATGGTCACATTAATTGACTACATCTGAGACAACACTGGAAACATATCCTATTTTATTTTTCTTTAAAAAGTGGCAGGATTCCAAGACTTCCCTTCCAGTTTTCCACTGGTTGGCCTTCTATTGGAAGACGAGTTCTAAAATCTTGGCTGTTGGGCCTTTTTACATTCTTAAAACCAGCTGAATATATTTAATATTGTAAAATTTCCATAAACACTCTCTGACAAAGACTGTGTATGTAAAGTTTCTGCCTAGAGGGCATTTTTCTTCTCAGAGTTGAGACTCTTGGGCATCAGGGGGTCATAATGAAGTGTTGATTTCACCTGAAGTGCCTCTGTGCCAACGTGGCTGTATAGGGACATGGAAAGAATTAGCTTTCGGGGTTGTTGTTTTTTCCTTCCCTGAATAAAGGATAATTGTTTCCAAGCTAATTAATATGGTTTATTTATTACTAGGCAATAGTTGGTGGAATTGAATCTCGGGAAGGAATAATCCAGCAATGCTAAAGTGACAACCTCTCGGGTACACCCTGTTCATTCCTGTCCAGTGTGTATCTGACACTCAGCCCTTTGGTAGACGTTGTCATTTTATTGTATTTCTTTTCCCCATGTGCCAACCAAACTTGGACTCCACACTGCTTCATGCCCAGTGAGCTTGGCCTTTCTCAGGGTGGGTTTGTCCTTAAAGGCTGGCCAGGCGCGTAATTAATATGGTGGGCTTGGGGGGTGCCGTCCCAGGCAACGTTGAGCTGTGCTGTCATGGTAGCAGCCTGAAGTCCTTGTTAGAGGGCATGGGTCACACGTGTACCCCACTGTGTGGTGCTCGGTGGCAGAGTTGAGAAGTGAGGAGAGGTGGCATCTCCCACTGCCGTTTGCTCAGGGATGCCTGTCTTTACCCCCAGCAGCCCCCAGGACTGCACATGACCTCTTCCTGCAGAGCCAGCTGGCGGCCATCCCAGTGCCACCCCCCACTGCCCCCGTTACAATGCGTTGTACTGCGCGTCCTCACTGCAACTGAAGAGAGTCGGGGCAGAGGAGGGTTGGGAAGGCCAGGGAGCGGGATGTCGCCTTGTGGGAGAGCACAGGTGTGGCCCGTGTTCACACACAGGTGGCCAGAGACTGCACTGAGGGTGGCTGGGGGTGTGTGAACCAGGAGCCACTGTGGTACGCAGGAAAGGAGGCGGGCAGCTGAGTGCCTGTCCCTGGTCCTTCAGGGAACCCATGGGTCCTCTGGGCTGCTTCTCATGGCCTCGAGTCAAGGGCCACCATCCTGCCTCATGCTGCTGTAGGCAGGTCAGTTTTGGGGCAGAGCATTTGGCTTCTTGACAAGATTTTGCCCGAGGCTTTTCCTTGACCGCTGCCCTTGAACTTGAAATCGTTGGGAGGATCTGCTATGGGATGTGTGGGGAAAGCCCCTGGCACCACTTTCCATGCCATCCGCTCAGGGACTGGGAAACAGCTACATGTCTTCCTTGTGGTCCTACCATTGAGAGTCCTCCCCTTCCCACATACTGACTGATACCCCGAGGCAGTGCCGTGGTGCTCTAGGGAGTGTCAGGCTAGGAGAGGGGGCTTGCCCTGGGGTATCTGAGCTGTGTCTGGATGCCTCCGAGGGGTGGGCGTGATCCCCAGGGCTGTGGCTTTAGCTCGGCTTCTGATACAGCTCGGCTTCTGTGGGTCCCACTTTTAGCACCCCCATGGTAAGTCACCCCTTCTGAAGGGGGCCAGAGTGTTGGGAGGAGGGGCAGAGTGTGGGGAGAAGGGTGGGACATTTCCTGGGTACCCATGTGACGGGCCCATTTTGAGAAGGCCGTCAGCATGGGTGCCGAGGGAGTGTCTGTGAGGCAGAGGGCGTTCACTCGTCCTAACAGACACCATGCTTCCAGAAACCTCAGGCCAGCTGTGGGGCACTGTGACCTGCACACTACCCGTCTCTACGTGAGGCGTGGGTACAGGCCTTGGCCCCAGAGTTTGCTTGGGACCTTGTGGCACAGTCATTCGGTGGTTTGGGCAACAGTGGGGCGGGGGCTGAGTGCTGGGTTCGGGCCTGGAGTCGGTGGCCCCTCCTGAGTCCCTGGGGCAGGGACCAGGTTTCTGTTTTGCTCCTGTGCCTCTGGGGCTTGGCACAGTCCTGGCACTGAGTAGGTGCTCAGGAAATCCCTGTTGAAAGGATCCAGGAGTTTGAGGTCATAGTTGATGTTGCATCTAGTCCAGAGAGGTCTCTGAGGAAGCCTGGATGTTTGTGGTGGGCAGGGGTGTGGAGTATAGGGGGCGAAGACTGTAGACTACTCTGACCTGCTACCATGCCCTGTGCTTGGGGCAGAAGTGCAGAATTCTGGATGGTTCTTTACGCAATCCCTCTTTTCTGAGCACAGCCATACCACAGGATGGCAGTGAGGCCACCTTTCAAGGGAGGGGAACGCTTGGGATGCCTAACCATTAACCATCAATGACCTGATTAGGACTATTGGATTCTTGTGCTGAATGTCAACTGTTTATCTCATGAGTTAGGCAGAGATGAGTTTCTTAGAAGAGGTGGATAACGGCCTCAGCCTGGAGACATGTCTGGAGTCTGATGATGACACACAGTTATTGAGTGCTTGCTGTATGCAGGCCTTGGGACGAACCTTCCATGGGTTCTCTCTTTCAAAGGGCCTGACCACCTGTGAAGGTAGATGCTGTTACCTCCAAATCACAGGCAGGATACTACTTCTCAGCCACCGATGCTGGCCTGCGGAACTTGGGATTAATTCTTGCTAACTCCTTGTTCTTTCCCTTGTCCCTTCCCAGAGTCCATTACCTGTGGGAAACTTTTGATCGCCTAAGGGATGGTTTTGTGGACACATTCCAGTTTTCTCTTTTTAGCAGTAAACGTGAACGGTGCTTCCTGGAGTGTGAGGAACACAGCGCACAGTGGTGCTCCGTTCAGCCAGACCCGTGGAAACCATGAGTCAGTTTCAGATAAGGCTTTCCAGGGTGCAAGGGCCCCTTTAGGATCAGTCTTTCTTCTCCCCTAATATATGCCCACGCTGAGCTGAAGTTCTGCTCTCTGGCTGGTGTGACCCAGCCGCAGGGCCAGCCTCAAGAGGAGGCAGCAGGAGGTGCCCCACCTTGAAGCAGGGGTGATGAATCCTTCGCCATCCACGGCGGGACAGTAGTAGGAGGAGGAGCCTAGACAGCCAAAATGTGAGTTCAAGCAGAAAGCCTCAAGTCCTAACGAGAGCTGGCACATGTGAGCTTCAGATGGCAGAAATATCACTAGAAATCCCTCCTGCAGAGAAAGCGTAGGTAAGCGGGCACTTGGTTAGATGAATGCTGCTCACAGCAGGCGGCATGGGGGGGCCAGGCCAGGTTGAGCTGCTCGCCTGGCCTCTGTTATCTCTGCATTTGGGTGGGTGGGTGGGCACCCCTTCCATGCCATGCAGAGTACAGAAGCTGTTCTGAAAGAACGCTATGAGTTCAAGTGAAGGCAGGCCCAGTCCTCCTGGAAGGAGCCACACCAGAGTTTCTCAGACGCCCCCATCAAGACCTTTTTAGGGCTCATTGAAGGCTTCTAAAGGTTCTAGTCTCATTTAGTTTCTAAGAAAAGGATTTATTCACTACAGACCTAAAACGTAATTTTTGTATGCCTGACTTAGTATAAGAACAAAACACCCAAGCAGTGGCGGTGGGGTAGGGGGTCCTGTCTAGGTACTGCAGCCTCAGTTGTGAGTTTCCTATATGTGGAAGGTGCAGGAACTAGCTGACCACAGTCTGGTTGGGACTCCCACCCCCAAATCCATCTCTGGGTGCTGCGGTTCTCTTCTGGGATGTGTGAGAGTACACACCCCCCTGTCATCAGCTGTAGGCAGATCACATTTGCCGCGGGATGTTTAATAAGTTCACGCAGGTTGATGGTACAGGCCAGAAATAGGACCCCTGTCTGGCCCGAAGCAGCCACGTGAACTTGGAGGGGGTGGGCATGCTGACCGGCAGTTACACGCTGAGGCCACTTCAGCTCCTGCGGTTGCTGGTTCAGAAGTAGTGGTGATTTTAATCAGCTAAGTCATTTCTGCGTCTCGTTGTATACTCCTGGAAGTTCTTAGAGAAATCCTGCCAAGAAAATATCCCCTGGTGAATCCTCGGGGCACTAGTCCACGCCGCACTGTCAGCAAGTATCTGCTGAAACAAGTATTTTTGAATCTTTAGCTTTTCTGTAGCTCCAGTCTTTTTAAAGTACTTCTTTTGACCTTCAAGTAACAACGAGCACTTGCTTTAAAATTCTGACAGTCTTCCAAGCCTTTTAACATTCTTATTCCACTAAATAAGCTGTCGCCGTTCACTGGGACAGGCAGCACAGTTGCTTGAACGCCCGGCTTGAAATTCCACGAAATGTCACCTCCTCTGTGAAGCCTTCTACAAGGCAGACTTGTCTATTTCCTACTTAATTTTACTATGAAATATCTCAAATTAGAACCTGTACCCACCATCAAGATTAGGTAGATGTTAACATGTTGCTACGTTTGTCTTCAGACATTGTTCAAAAACAAGTAATGTTATAGTCATTGCTAAGGTGCACCTCCCCAGTTCCTTTTCCATCCCTCCTTCCTTTCCAAAAGGGACTACTTCCTGAAAATAGATACAATCCCTTTATATTTTTGGAAATTCTGTGTAAACCATTGGAAATGGAAGGAGAAAGCCTGTGACATACGAAGACAAGCAACACTAATCAGGAGTATAAATTCTGTTTTGCAGTTAATTAAATATTTGATTCCCTACTATGTTTCAAAGATAAATAAAATGTGATTAAGTAAAAGGCATTTAACCTTTAGAGACTTGGAGATGGGCAGGGTATATAGTAGCCTGCCAGCTAGAGTAGGGAAGATGTTAAAGAAGATAACCTGTGAGATGGGTTTTGAAGGGTGGATAGGAGTTTGCCAGGCAAGCTCTGCCACCTCAAAAAAATAGTTCCTTGGCTGTTAGATGCTTGTGTCACTATAGGCTTGGGATTACTGAAAAGCTATGCTTGTCCCTCCCTTCCTAACACTTCTGAGGCTGGAATGTCTGTCTCCCATCTACTTCCTTAAGAGGTGTGGGTTACAGTGTGGTGTACAGTTGGGAGTGAATTACTACTTGACCTTGGGTACATGATAACCTTGACTGTAGAGTCCATGCTTTTCCTGAGTAGTTCTTCAGAGTCCTTCCTGCCAGTGACTTGGTTCTAGGTGTGGAGCAGGAGCTGGCTGTCGGAGGACTCATTGAATTCAGTGGAAACAGCAGGGAGCATGGTTTTCTTTTGAATGGAAACCATGAGTGTAGCAGTTCTTCTTTATGACTTGCTACATAATCATGCAGGAAAATGCCTGTCACGGGATTGGATCCTAGGAGATTAGCCCCATTGCTAATTAAAAGCCCCATTAAAAGAGGGGAAGTTCTTTTAGGTATCTACAGCTTCCTAAGATTTGAATGGTTTACAAAGCAGAATGTTGGCTGGGCATGGTGGCTCATGCCTGTATCCCAGCACTTTGGGAGGCCAAGGCAGACAGATCAGAAGGTCAGGAGTTTGATACCAGCCTGACCAACATGGTGAAACCTCGTCTATACTAAAAATACAAAAATTATCCGGGCATGGTGGCATGCGCCTGTAATCCCAGCTACTAGGGAGGCTGGGGCAGGAGAATCCCTTGGACCTGGGAGGCGGAGGTTGCAGTGAGCCGAGACGGCGCCATTGCACTCCAGCCTGGGTGACAGAGTGAGACTACGTCTCAAAAAAAAAAAAAAAACGAAAAAGGTAGAATGATGGCTGGGCGCGGTGGCTCACGCCTGTAATCCCAGCACTTTGGGAGGCCCAGGCCAGTGGATCACTTGAGGTCAGAAGTTCAAGACCAGCCTGACCAACGTGGTGAAACCCCATCTCTACTAAAAATACAAAAATTAGCCAGGTGTGGTGGCAGGCGCCTGTAGTCCCAGCTATTCAGGAGGCCGAGGCAGGAGAATTGCCTGAACTCAGGAGGCGGAGCTTGCAGTGAGCCGAGATCGCGCCATTGCACTCCAGCCTGGGTGACAGAGTGAGACTCTTTCTCCCAAAAAAAAAAAAAAAAAAAAAGTCAAATGCAGCTGGGAATGTGGTTCGTGCCTTTTTGTATATTAACCATTTGAAACTTGGTTGTAAGGTGGGGTTGGCAATGTCAGGCCTGGCTGCAGCAGCTCATGTCTTTAGAGTGTGCCTCTTCCCTCTCTCGTGGGGCTCGAGCAAGACTACCTTCATACATGGGCTCTCCAGTTACATAGCAACTCCAGTGTTAAATTCCATCTTTTCTTCCTGGAAAAGCCGTAGAAAGGACACCTGGACATGCCTGCTGCACAGGTTGTCTGCCTTCCCCATCAGCCGCAGAAGGAGGAACTTTGCTCTCTTCTCTCACAGCTGTGTGTGCATAGGAAGTAGTTCGGATGATGTGGGTCCCACCATGTATTCCTTCTCTGTTCCATGTAGAGTAAAATAAATGGGAGTTCTGTTTAATGCATCACCTCGGTTCATATTGCATTTGCCAAGAAAGTGCAATTTTATTGAACATTAGGATTGAATTCTTAACTGAGTAATCAATTTCAGTAGTAAGTTAAAATGCCTTCTATTAATGGACAACTGCAACCGTTAATCAGAGTTACAGTAGATTAACAGTTGTCAGCATTTATGCTAATAGCACTTATAAACCGTGGGCTCATGATTTGCACTTTATAATTCCATATTTCTCAAAACAGTTGGTAATACTTTTTGCTTGAAGGTATTGATTCTTTTGTCCCTTTGCTTGCTACTTGGAGATGTAGAGAAAGCTAAATGACATTTTCACGGTGATGACACAATATCACCTTCTGCTTTTGCACACTTGGCTTTGTGTCAAAATAGATGGAAAGGGTTCATTTGTTCTGGTGCTCTACTGTTTAATTTGATCTGGTGTGTGACTAAAGCAAGACAAATAGTATTTTTAATGAAACCATTTAATAACCTCTGGTAGCTTAGAGTCGAAGGCATTGGAAAAATGCAATTAAAGGATGCCTAGATGTAAACAAAAAAAAAAAATCTCTACTTCATCTTCACTGACTCCATTCATTTTGCTTTCAGGGTTTCATCACCTTAAATGGTTTTGAACCAATGAAGGTGTATTCCCTTAAAAAGACGGACAGCCCATCGTGTGAACTATAGAGTTTGTGGACAGATTTATATTGGTGAGTTATTGTGAAATATCTCCAGGTAAAAGTTCAGTTTTCTAGAATCCCCTTTGCAATGTGTGTTCAATTAGTTGATGAGTATGGATTGCCTGCAGCCTCTGGCTGTTTCATTGGGATGTCTAATCGTGGGATCATATTGATTGTCTTTCAATTAATTGCATCTAGTATTTTCATTTATCAAAAGCAAAATACATGTAATTAACTCTGAAGCAATATAGTTCAGTGTAAAGTGATTTTTGCTGCTGCTGCTGCTATAGAGATAAGTCAACGGAAATTATGCTACAAGGAAACTCAAGTCAGAATGGAAATAGTGTTAGGATTTCTCGATGTATTAATTAAAAAGAATAAAAATGAATTAGAGAAACCATCTCATGACACCCCGAGTCAGTCATAAGTGATAGATGGATGTCTTTAGGAAGAAGGCGGCTTGTGGATACTGGCACCTCTTCAGTCAGCTTAGGCTTTTAGTGTTACCAGCCTCTAGGATGTCTTGAACATACCATGATTTTTCTGGCGGAGTAGATTGGGAATGTGGGTGCAGGCTGAGATGAGCATTCAATCCCTACCACACTCATTGATGGATGGAGTTCAATCCTGTGCCCGTAGCAGGGTTTTGGGATTCTAAGTTTCATTTCGGCATGTCTTTAGCCATTTTTCACAAAACCTGGATCTTTCTTAAAGTCTCAAAGTGGCAACTTCTCTGATGGAATTGATTTTAATCTTGCTTTTTAAAAAAAAATGTTTTCCCCGTGAGGTAACAACATCATTCAAAAGCAAGGGAAACCGCTAGCCAATTGTGTCCTGTCTCTCTCACCTGTCACACTCCTAGCAGAGCCTTGAGGGGACTAGCTTTGGTTCCCAGAGAGGTTTAAGTTTGTGACCAGGCCCTCAGGCCTGGCTTCCTGAGTTGCTGGAGGCAGTTAGAGACTTGGAGCCCAGGGGCACACATGGGTGACCACCTGAGGGGGCCAAGCTGAATCTCTGCCTGAACCTAAGCAGCACAGTGGGTTGTAGGATCAGGAAAGGATCTCTGTGTGTCCCTTCCTTTTCTCCATAAAGTAGATCTAGCTGGGGAAACTGAGGTAGCTGACCCAGACCTAGACCTCCAAATATTGCTTACCAGCTTGGTGACTGAGCAAGTGGTCTCTGCTGGCACTCGGAAGCCTTATCTGTGAATCGAACAGGTGGATTGGGCTGGTACCCAGGACCCTCCCCACCCTTTAAGCTTGAATTTGATGTAGAAATTCAGAACCCTTTCCTGGGAGTGCTCTGACAGGGCTTTGCTGGGCCAAAGGCCATAGCAGAGCGTGAAGCTCGAGTTGAGTTGTGTATGAGAGGGGCCCCTCAGTCATCTTTGAACACTTAAGGCTCTTAGCATTGAGGAGGATGAGGAACTGGAAGTCTGATGGAATGTTCTTTGGTGGAAACCTGAGGGAGGTCAGGACCGCCACTCGCAACCTTATTCAGTTCAGCCTTTCAGGACAAACGTTGCTTACTTTTCTGGCTCTCACTCTCAGACCTGTGTGCTAGAATCTGCCCGGGTTTCTCAGGCAGAGACAAAGTCACCTTGGGCCTGGGGTTGGCAAAGATAGTTCCAGTGTTGGGTGCTGGGTCCAAAGATGTTTTCAGTGGGTTGGGTCATGGTGATGTTTCCAGTTGGACACCATGGAACTGGCCATGTTGGACATCCACGCTCTTTCACCCAGACAAGTACCAGGCCCTGCCTGCCTGGGAGCATCTCCGCTGGATGGACCATCATTACGTTTCATAGATGCTCATTTCAGTGTTGGAAATCATTTTCTCTAAACAGAAGGATGTGGGAACTTGGTGTATAAGGATGAAATGGACTTTTTAAATATCAAAAATGGTTGAATGAGGACACTTTCATTTGACTCAGTCTAATAACCAGAGCCACTCTGGGATCCTGTTTAGCAGTGATCTCCCTCTCAGACAGATGAGTTAACATTCTCCAAATGCATCCAGAACCAGAATGAAATTGTGACACGCTTCCTGTTAACAAATGTTTCCTGAGTGCTAAGCAGACTCAAGACACTTACCCTTATGTGGGGTTCCCACCATTCCTGTATTTTTGGCATCCTTTTGGGTAAGAGTTTTTTATAGCACTTTGGAAGAGCTTAAGAGACTTGGTGTGGTACTGGAGCTGGCCATCACTGGAGCATGGTCACTGTGCTGTGACAACAGCTCATGGTGTCCACGGCCCACGCACACACTGAGTGTGGCCCCACTGGCCCACCTGCTCCCCGCCCAGCCCACCCCAGAAGCAGGATAAAACTTCTCCCCTGACCACTTGCAGATGCTCTCATGGTGGAATTCTCACATGGCCCCAGAAGGCGTGTGTTTGCTCTCAGACCCTTTCTGCTCTGTGGAACGTCACCATGCCCAGGGAGTTGTATCCAGCTCTGCCTGCTGTCTACATGCAGCAACACAAGGAGGTCATGTGGGATTGTAACCAAAGTAAGGACCACGTATGGATTTCAACCAGAGCCCACCTGTTGAGATCTCTGGTCTAGACACATCTTTTAAAATGTGGGCACAGAAGAAGGAGGTAGATGAAAATCACGTGACACCATCAGAGGTAATGGTGAATCCGTGAGGCCCTAGAGCCATTTATACATCGTTTTTGCCCTCTTAGTATTTTCTTTAGCATGTCCTAATTTTAAAAGCATCCCATTCCTGTTGTGCTAGACTTAATATTTTGGTTTATGGCCGTCTTTTTTAGTAACTTGACGTCAAACACTTCAGCCTTCTCCTGACAAGAGGCTCGTTCTCTCAGTAATGAATAGTGACGTGCTAAATTTAGATCGGATGCATGTTCTGCTTTTACTATCTGTTCTGTATGTTGCTATTTGTCAGAATGAAAGCTCAATGTGCCAGATGGCTTTGCTGGCTTCTCCTGGAAAAAGACTTCGTTCTCCATCACTTCAGTTGGGTCATGGTTTTTTAGTACTATTTTGTTGTTAAGCATTAATATTTGCAGCAGTACCCAATTATCTTTTTTTAACAAAAGTGTCACAGAAAAAGTGTTTTTGGTTAAATGCTCATAAATGAGGGGGAATGCAAATCAAATCCCTTAACTTTTATTATATTACGTAAAATGGTGGTAGAATAGTTGCAGCTGTGGTTTTGCAAAGATAGGACTGTTTCCGGCTGCCATGCATGCTGTATTATGTATTTTGACAGATCTCCAGGATGATGTAGAAGCTTGGCCTGCCGACCAGGGCCTCTGGGAAAGACAGTCTGAGGTGACACAGTGCTGGAAACTCAGTGTGCTTGGTGGTGGAAGAGGGGTTTGCCTTGATCTGCTGTGGGAACTAGGCTGGATTTCCATCTGAGTTGTGGCTGTAGCAGGCCACCTAGTTGAGGTCATCTTCCTGATCATTGGTCCTCTAGCCTGCTTCTGGCAGGACAGATATCTTTTTTCCATGAAAAACAGAAGGAAAGTATTGAATTACTCTGGAAACACATACCTAAACCTTGGGGTCCGATTGTCAATGGTTGTGAAGTGGTGGAGGTGTTGGCGCCATGGCCACTGTGCCACTCTGGTCCCAGTGTGTGGCCCCCAGAGTCCTTCGGGCCCTTGGCCTCCTGAGCTCCTGGCCTGCATGCATCCGTGGGGCCTTTGCTAGGGCCGTGTGATCCTGCTCCAGTGTTTGGGCCAGAAGCAAGACTGCCAACATCCGAAACCACAAACCAGAGGAAGATCCACAGGGCCTTTCATCTCTGGGGTTCTCTAGGTGAGAAACAGTCAGGAGGCTGAGATGGGGCAGTGGGGAAGATGCCAGCGAAGCTTTAGCCAGCCTTCGGAGTAGGGGAGGAGGGGCCCCCGCTGAAGCTCTTGGTTCTTGCTTGGATTTTATTCCTGTGCCTTCTGGATGTGAGTTATGCTTCGGAATCCCAGCCTCCCTCCACCCCCCAAGGATAAATGGGAGGCATTGATTCAGTGTTTGTTCTTCTCTCCTGAGCATCTCAGCAACCTAGTGTGGCCTCCCAAGTAGGGATGGAGAGATCACCCCGTCCATTCCCCTTCTTTTTGCTTTAGCATCTACATGGGTCCAGGGTCACACAGGGGTCACGCCCTCCATTCTCCTGGTGAGTCTGGCTTTCTGCTGTTACTGTTGTTTTCCGCTTCCTGCGCCACCCTGGCTGCTGGTTCTCATCAGAGTGGATTTGCAAAGTAGGGAGGAAGAGACCAGGCAGAAGGCCTGAATTTTCCCACTGTGACCCATGTGTCAACACTGTGTGGCCGGCCTGGGTGGGTTCCTGCTGAGTTGCTCCTTCGCTGGAGGGGTACCTCCGAGCAGGGCATCTGCAGGATGGTGGGCACACTTGCCTCTCACTCTTGGCGGGGCCAGGAGTCTCTGTTGCCACTGAGTGACGTTATGCTGGGAAATGGAGGCGTGGTGTCCGCTTCTCTTTCCGTGATCCTCATACCCTTCCCAAGACCCCCATTTTGTTAGTGAAGAACTTGACGCCCAGATCCACCTGCCAGCATGTGTGGCCTTAGGTATATCTGGCATTCAGGAGCCGATGAAGCAACCCCAAACTCAGGTCGCCCCGCGTCCCTTGCTGGTGGAAGCCTTTCCGGAAACACTGTGGTAGTGAGCCTGGCTTCCCATACACTGCAGGGTCCCTTTACAGTGAAGATGGCTTCCCGGGGGCTTTGATATTCCTGGAAGCTTTCTCAGGTTTGTCATGGTACCGTCCCCACACCCAGGGTTGTGGGAGGAAGAGCACTTGGTCCATGTGAAGTGGGGCCGCACATGGGGTGCATCTTTCCGCTGAGAGTGTGGCAGTGTGCAGAGAATGGGCCTCTGCTACCCCTCATCAGCCAACCCTGGTGGAGACCCCCTTGTGCCCTAGACAGGCCTGGCCACTGAACTGAGGGATGGCAGCCCTGTTGTGTGGGACAGCCAGAGACACGGGTCAGCGGCTGATTTCTCTGAGGCTTGGAGCGTGTGTTTGTTAAAGGCAAGAAGAGTGGGAAGGAGTGGATGGAGTGAGCGGCAGGGCCAGAGCCTCACTTGTTGAAGGGAGTGGTGGTGCATTGTGTTTACTGTCAAGTTTCAGGCTGGGGCGTAGATGCCGATGTGCAAATGAGTAGGCAGGGAAGTGAGCTTTCTCTTATTAAAATGTTGGCTTACTAATCAAGTGTTGCTGGGTGTGATTAGTGGCAGAGGAAAAGGTTATTTCTTTCTGTAAATATTTTTGCTTAACATTTATGCGTTACCATTGCTGATTGTATTAATACTCTTAGAATGCATTAGACCAATAACTTGTTTTTTTTTAAAAAAATGTCTTGGTTTTAAGCAGTTTCAGTTGGTCTTTATGGAAGGACACACAGCATTTCACTGAAGCTTGAGGGATCTGCCAGGTTCAAGTGTAAAGGGGCATTAGTTTCAACTTAGAGCAGCTCCCCCAGCTACAAATGCTGATAAAATAGCTCAGAAGTGCAAGAGCCTGGTTACTTTCAGTAATTTTAGGATTTAGTATCTGGATCTGAATTTTGACCATTGTTGAAGGAGCAGATAATTGGATGCATTTTCTAAAGTAATGATTTAGGCCAAGGAGGGCAGATCCTTTGAGCCCAGGAGTTTGAGACCAGCCTGGGCAACATAGCAAGACCCCATCTCTATAAAAAAATTTTTTTAAAAAATCAGCCAGGTGGTGGTGTGTATCTGTGGTCCTCAGGTTCCAGAGTAGCTGGGTGGGAGGATTGTGTGAGCCTGGGAGGTCAAGGCTGCAGTAAGCCATGATTGCACCACTGCACTCAGCCTTGGGTGACAGAGGGAGACCCCATCTCCAGAAAATGTTTTTAAAACTCGGCCAGGTGGCGGCGCCTGCCTATGCCTGGGTGGCCAGATTGTGTGAGCCTGGGAGCTCACGTCTGCAGTGCACTGTGATCACACCCCTCTACTTAGCCTGAGTGACAGAGGCAGACCCTGTCTCAAATAAATTAATAAATAAATAAAAGTAACGATTTAGGAAATGGCTGAGAATTCCCATGACCCTCGTGTCCTCGGGCCTGGTGTTTTCACAGGGGTGGGGGCGGGAGAAGGGGAGAAAGAAGGACGTGCTGTCTGTGGCTTCCTTCTTCCCAGGCATTCATTTAACACCAGCTGAACACATTTGCTTTATTGATTGGTTGATTCATTTATTTTTGGCAAACTTGGCAACTTCCACCTGGCCCCATGCTGTTAAAAATAAAGTCTTCTTGGTCGACTGAATGCTTTTGCAATTCATTCTTTCCATGTAGCAATTAAGATGATTCCCCTAGCCTTGTACCAGTTAAGGATAAATAGGAGGTTTTCAAAGAAAATGCTGCGTAATTCATCGGCATTTGTGTGTGAGCACACGGGTAATACATGCGAGTAGCCTCCGTGAGTGGACTCCTGTGTAAGGAGGTAAAATGGAACGTTTTTCTGCACTTATCCTGAGAAGCAGCCCGAACAGTGACATTTATACATATTTCATAATGTGGTTTCTTCAGGCACGCGGAGCAAACAAATCAATTTCTCAGCAGTATACTGTTTAAAAGAAACAGCAACAACCTGTGGGGAAGTTGCAGAAGCTGTTAAAATTAATTATATATGGCAAAAAGATAGAACATTAGGGGGAAATGTTAATGTGGGAGGATGAAAAAACACAGCCGTGGATGAGCAGCAGTGCAGAGCATCTGATGACAGTGTTTAATTTCCGTTTCTTTATAAATGTATACTGATGAACAACAATGGCGCCCGCACAGGGTCCTCCTGTTCCGTCCTTTCTCCAGGCCGCTGGGATCGAATGTCCCCGTGAGCATCCAGTCAGCTCCACGTGGTGTGAGCCTTGATTTCTGGGAACGGTACCGTGCTGTCTTTTAATAGGGATTTGTGGAAAACGAGAATTGGTGGTGAAGGTATCGAATTCCTGAGCCTTGTAATGCAACACCTTTCCCGTGGTCACCTTCCCTCTTCCGGTTCAGCTATACGTTGTTTAACTCAAAGGAAACCTTTGTTGTCGTGGGTAGGGTGTAACCTGCAACTCCTTGAAAAATTCAGCTTGGGTGATCAGTTTCCTCAGGGATGTAGGGGGAGAGGCTCTTCAGCAGGGGTGGGAGGGTGCTTACAGGAGGGTCCCAGAGCTGTGGGACAGGCTTGCCCCCTTTCCTGGGGGAAGCTCGCCTCTTTCCCGGACACTGCAGGTTTGTAGGATATACCCCTTGGTTCAGCTGGTCATGGCAAGTGAGTCCTCCCTATCACCCACTTCCGCGGTGGTGGGACGCCTGGGGGGCATGGATGGGGCCTGCGTCCTAGGAGACCTTGGCTCCAGCTGCTCGAGGCCACTTTGTCTCTTCTGCATGTCGCAGAAGCGTCTGTACCTCCTGGGGTTGGCTTTCCTGTGAGCATTTGGGCTCCCTCTGCCTGGGTGGCCTGTTGTCTGGAGGGAGTCTTCAGTCCCTCTTAGTGCAGCAGCCAAGGGTGTCTCTTCTCACTCCCTGAGCCTTCTGATTCCTGTATCAGGGGAAGTTAAAAAGTGTTGTAAATGGACTTGGACCAAGGAGCAGGACTCTGACTACGAACTTAGAACCTTCCAGAGTGATTTCCGCAGCTCCCTGAAGCAGAGCTAGCTCCTTGAGCTCATTGTCCCCTTAATTCTGTGCATGGCCTGCATATTGTAGATGCCCCAGAAGTAATTTTTTGAATGAATGAATCCAGGCTGCAGTGGGGCCAGGGGGGTGTGGAGTGGGCTGGGCACATGTAGGAGCGCATCGCAGCAGCTGTCTGGAAGGCTGGGTTGGTTCTGTGTTAGCTGGGAGTGTTTTCTGCAGACAGAAGGCAACCCAGCATGTTATACTACCTGTTCAGGGGAGGTGTGCATGTTCTGAGATAATCACGCCGTGTTCTTGAGCTTTCCACCGCAGGGAAGTGAAGTCATGCCCCCGCCTCTCCTTTGTGCAAGTAGGGCGGGGAGTCTAAACCCATGCAGGTAGGGTGTGGGGACCCAGCTGTACTCTCCCGCCACCTGTGGGTGCTGCTCTTGCGGCAGCCTCGTAGGTGAGGGATAATGTGGTTCAGCCAACCTGACTACATCCAAGCTGGGATGATGAGGACAGCAAGAAGGCCCACTGGCTCTGCAAGTCCTGTAGGCCTGGGTCCCTCGAGACAAAGCTCAGATGGCTTCTGTATCAAATTCAAGGACCCAGCATGGTGGCTGCTGCTTTGCTCACCTTCAGAGGCCTGGAAGCTGGTGTTTCCTGCATGTGTAACTGACGGCCCCAGTCCCACATTTGTTAAAAAAAACCTTCACTTTGATGAGAGTACAGTACTCCTGGCTTTTTGTAATTCAATTGAAACTCACTGCCACTCCCTCATTACAGCAGAAGATGACCTCTAAACCATGACACAGGGCGACAGCTTCCTCTGGGAAGGAGGACTCAACATTGATTTGTGCTCTGATCCCCACCCCCCTGCAAACCCTGGGCTTAAGTGGCAGCACTGCAGAGGCCTGCTGAAGGCCGGAAAGCCCTCTCTGCCTGTGTGTTTAAACAGAGCAGATTGATGCAGAGTTTGATGTGGCCAGGAAGAATTCTTTAGCATGGAATTGCATCATAACAGTCACTCCCTCCAGGAGCCCCAGCGGCTCTGGCACTTCCTCCTGATGTTTGCAAGGGGAAGGTAATGATTCTAATTGCACAGGACTTGGTCCTGGCCTTGGTGATGGCAGGAGGGCAGAGTCCTCATGGTATGGCCAAAAAATGTTTACAACTTGACCTTGTCCTCCTCTGATGGTGTTGACCTTGGACAAACTATGCCCCTCTGAGCCTAGTGCCTCAGTTTCCCCCTCTTGCAAATGCAGCAGGTAGTAGTGCTTAATCTCAGAGTTGTGGGGATTCAATGAAACAGTACTGAACGGGGCTTAACAGATACCTGGTACATGTTAAGAGCTTAGTCAAGAATGACTGCTGAGTCTGGAATGACATTATGGGGACTGACGAGGGAGGCTGATGAGAGGTGGCTTGGTGGGTACAATGTGCATTGTTTCAGCGATCGAGGCACTGAAGGCCCTGACTTCACCACAATGCAATGTATGGATGTAGAAAATTGCACTTGTACCCCATGAATATATGTACACACACAAAGATGATTGCTGCAGTAGCAGCAGTAAATGCACACAGCCAAAGGCTTAGCATGTGGGAGATGCCCTGCTCGCCTGGCTGGGCTGGAGGGGAAGGTAGTACAGGTTGCATCTCTCCAAGCCGGTACCTGTGGTCTATGTTGCAATGAACATTTCGATGCAAGACGAACGGAACTCAAACCTTTCTTGGTCGTGAAGGTCTGCTGTGTTCCTGAAGGTTCTGTCTTCCACCTGGCACTTGGGATGTGGGTTGCTCACTCCTTGCCCATCGACCTGGTAATAATGTTTTCCTATCAAGCAGTGAAAGGTTTGGGGTTTCCATGAAGCCTTTCCCAAATGTCACGCATTGGGGTTTTAGTTGTGAGGGTGTGCTGATCCCAGCCGCAGCCAAGGCGAGGTGCTGGCACCATGCTGCTGCACCCGCTCCTATGCCCACCTGGACATCTGTTTCGTAATGGACATCCTTCCCTGGGAACATGTCTCTACTCCTTTAAATGGCTTGAGGTCTCTGCAATTTGCCTGAACATTAAGTGTGACCAAAGAGCCTGAGGCCAGCCATGGAGAGGACGAAGACATGAGGCTTTCTCTCGAGAGCCACACTGGGAGAGGCCGGGAACACGGCCACTTCACATGAAAGGCGGTTAGATTCAGGTCACTGGGTCTGGACTCCTGCATTTTATGGCAAAGTCTAAAAATGCCGATTTGTAACAACCAATGTTAATGAATTCAGACTGTTTGAATTTCACACTGAATAATGGCTGGAATTATCAGAGCCCACAGCTTATAAGATCCCTGGATCGTGTAATCTTTTCTCAAGATTTAATTGATAGAATGATGTAATATCACATTACTTTTATTAAAAGTTCTGGCCATAAAAGAGAAACACCTATTAGGATAGAAGAATTTAGTAAAAATAGTAGTAATAACAAGACAGTTTGGAATATGTCATATATTCAGTAAATTTCAAAAGTCTTCATCTCATTTAAAATACAGTATTGTGCCCATAGATCCTGAATGCAATACCTTTGTACCCTAGGGCTTCCTCTTTCCTACACTAAAAACATTCTATTTAAATGCAGATTTTGATTTGCAATCTAGGAAGAGGATTCTGGAAGAATGGGAAGAAGGACAACTCTGCATCTATTAATTTTAGTTTTATGTTATTCGCGTTTTTCCTCTCATCCTTATCTCCTCCAGCCCTTCCTTCCTGTAAAAGGATCCTTTCTAAACATACAAATAAAGACATGCTTAGAATTTCAGCACATAAGAATGTTGTTACGCCTTCTTTTATTTTTGTTTAAAAATTAAATTAAAAAATTTTTTTTCCAAAAATGTTTGTTCCTTTGATTTGTGTACGTGTGTGCACGTGTATTTGCCCCTGGGTTGTAGCCTTGTCTTGCTTTTCCACACATGCTCCCAGTATCTTACCTAGGAAATGAGCGGAACAGTGGAATTACCAAGTGCAGATGGTAGAACTTCCCTTACCAGAGCCCAAGTGACTTGTGTGATATTGAGCTTTGGTTACTAAATAAATGGATTTCTGGCTTTTGACATTGTACTCTGAGAATTGGGTGGCCAATCATCAAATACCATTTTTTTCACTGTTGTCTGCATTTAATACAGCATCTTCTGCCATACGCACTTGTCAATTCAAACATGAGCGTTACATTTTGGTCTTTATGATCTGTCAAGGGAAAATGGAAGTAAATTCTTTATAATATGCTAATTGATGTATTTGGGAATTTTTAGATGTAGACAACATCTGTGCATGCCGT
Source organism: Homo sapiens (assembly GCF_000001405.40). NCBI lineage: Eukaryota > Metazoa > Chordata > Mammalia > Primates > Hominidae > Homo > Homo sapiens. The sequence continues at coordinate 125,100,076 of NC_000010.11, read as the reverse complement.
TAACACAGTTAATAGCTCCCGTTCTTCAATATGAGAAGGTTTTCAGAGTCTATGTGTGATCTAGATGAGACCTTCTGTGTCCGCCCCCCCAGGACTTGGCAGTGTCAAATTTAAGGCTGTTTTTTCTGGTGCCTTAGGACTGAATCTGAGCCTGCGCAAAGTCCTGTTTTGAGGATGCTTCTGGCCACAGTGTGCTGGGATTGTGTTGGTTCTGGGAAGAGCCTGGCTGGCCAGACCTGGTCTTATCTATCACCCCCATCCCTACTCCGTCCTAGCCTGGACCAGACTGGCTGGAGTGATGGGTCCAGAGAAAGAGACCGTGGACCTGAACAGTCCTTGGGACCCTTCTGCCACTCTTGGAGGTGCCACCTCCCCTGGTAGCTTGGCACCATTTGGGTTCTCCTTTAGCCATGGGTTTTTGACAACTCAAGAGCTTATTTTCCATACAAACTTGTTGATGGTTTTCTAAGGCAGGAAGCATTGCTTTATTGAGAGTGAGGAATTGTACCCTTTGAAAGCTGCCCCCTGAAAAGGGAGTGGAGAGAGATGGCTCCAGTTGGAGTTCAGGATGGGGGTATCTTTCAGTGAACTTGGGGGGAGGGCTGAGTGGTGGAGCTTGGGGCTCATGTCCCAGGCCTTCTCTGGTCAGGAAAGCAGAGTTGAAAAGGGCCCTTTTAATCTGGAGGGCCCAGAATGGTCCAGCCAGTTGCCCCGGAAAGGAAGCCTCATGTGGCATGCGTGCCAGACGCTGCACAGCTTGAGTTGGTCCTATGTGTGTGGCACAGCCTTACAAGGTTGAGGTATTTACCTTTATTCCTATAAATTGATGGATAAGGGGGGTTAATTGATTTCTCTTGGCACTTGGCAAGAACAGACGTCAGATTTGAACCTAGGTCTAGGTTTCAGTTGCACACCCAGCATGTTCTGCTCCACAGCCTTTTCCTAAAATAGTTTAGATGTTGGTATAAACCTGTGCGTACTGAACGTGCCTGACCGTGTGCTAGTATGATGGCTTTTCTACAGTGTCTCCCTAGACTCCATGCTTGCAGACCGACAGCGCGTGGAAAGGAGGCTTTCTGGCTTGGTAAATGCTCAGTCAGGTGAGCTTGCTGAGTTTATTGTAAGCTTTGCAGTTCCATTCCCCACACACCCAGTGGTGGGGATGGAGGGGGCGCAGGGAGGAGGTGGCCCCAGAGCAGATTGAGCCCCTTGGTCTTTGCTGTAGCCAGGACTCCAGGCTAAAGTAGCACAGGGTGGGCAGCTCCGAGGCCTGGGTGTCTCTCTGTCTCTCTCTCTGTCTCTCTCTCTCTCTCTCTCTCTCTCTCTGTCTCTCTCTCTCTCTCTCTCTCTCTGTCTCTCTCTCTCTCTGTCTCTCTCTCTCTCTCTCTCTCTCTCTCTCTCTCTCTCTCTCTCTCTCTCCCCCTCCCCCATTTCTCTCTCTGTTCACCCGCAGCAGCCCCAGGCTGCGTCATTGGCACTGTGAAGGTGCAGGGCACAGGTACAAATAGGGGGGTCTTCTGGCCATCTTTGGACATAAACCCCCATCCTCGGAAGCATGGCCCGCTCATCCCCAGGTCCTGGCCTTCCTAAGGGCTGTTAAACACACATCAACCAAGTGATGCCTTACGGACCACGCATATACCAGACGCAGCTGGGTACCGTGTATTCTCTTGATATTACTATATTCTCAGCCACCAGGGCTAGTGTATGTGGGTGTCATTGTCATTAGCAGCCTAGGGAGGGAATGGAATTTGGGGAGTAGTCTGCCTAAGTTCCATTCCGTTCACTCCAAGAGCTGAACACGTGCTGGGTCCACACACCTGTGGACTGATGGCTGGGACCGTCTCAGTGCTTGGCAAAAAAGAAAACGGGGATAGCAGGCACTTTTTGAACATTGATTACTGACTGCTGCTGCTGTTACTGGTATTGTTGGCATTTTTTGTTCGTTTGGTTTTTGAGACAGAGTCTCGCTCTGTCGCCCAGACTGGAGTGCAGTGGTGCGATCTCGGTTCACTGCGATCTCCGCCTCCTGGGTTCAAGCAGTTCTCCTGCCTCAGCCTCCCTAGTAGCTGGGACTACAGGCGCCCGCCGCCACACCCAGCTACTTTTAGTAGAGATGGGGTTTCACCATGTTGGCCAGGCTGATCTCAAACTCCTGACCTCAAGTGATCCACCTGCATGATCCACCTGCCTTGGCCTCCCAAGGTGCTGTGCTGGGATTACAGGCGTGAGCCACTGCTCCCAGCCTCGTCGGCCTTTTTTGCCTTCTGCTTGTACCTCAACCCTTTGGCAAAAAGTAGGAACTACAGAGGGCCTGTCATTGAGACTTCAAGTTGCCAATGCCCCTCACCTATTCATCTGAACTCAGGCACATGTACATGCTCACACGTGTGCATGCTCACACGTGTGCACACATACATCTGACATGGACACACTGATATGCACACGTGTACAAATTGTGAATGGTATGGACCCCACGTGAGGCATGCACCTAAGGCGCGCCTGTAGCAGCGGGACAGAGAACAGGCTTCCTTGTACCCTGTACTCATCACGGGGGTTGCGCTGGCTTCCTTGGGTTGGCTTTGAGGAGTGCGGCTTGTGACTTCTCCACGGTAGAGAACTGAGGCCTTAGACAAATAGTCATCCATTGTAACTGTTCCCTGCAGTGTTGATAGAAATGGTGTTGGGATAATTAGACTGTGCTGCTGCTTTCTCCTTTTCTCCCAGGTTGATGAGTAGGAGCAGTTTAATTTGAGACTAGTAAATTTTGTAATTGGATTTAAAAGACTGAAATGAGCGGACCTGGTTTCCATATTACCTTTATACCCCAGCGAGGGGAAATGCTTGAGTCAGGTGTGGATCAGATTATTTTATTGTGCCAACATTAATATTGGGAGCACACACATAATCTGGAGTCAGCAGGTTCATCCACTACTATCTCATTAAATTTTCAGGCAAAAGCTGCAAAAATTAATTGGAGGCATGTAATAGTTTAGAATGTGTGCCAGCTTATGGTAATATAAATTATGTGAAGAGAAGACAGTTTTATATACTGAGAGAGGGAAAACTGGTTTACTTTAATGAGAAGAGATAGAAATGTAGAGCTATTTTTTCATTACAGATACACTCTAAAATGTTTGGACTTAGTTGATGAATAGAGTTAATTCGCTGCTACAGTTCCAATAATTCATGTTGCACAGTTTAATGACTTCTAGATAAAAACAGGATTGAAATGTTAATTTCTCGGAAGAAATTGGGGCACTCTTGTATATCAGACATCTCCCCCCCACCCCCCCATTAAACCACTAGTTAATTCCACCAAACAAGTCTCTTTGAGCTATTTCATGCCGTGTAGACTTTTGTATTTCTTACCTGGGCTGGCTGGCTTTTTTTTAAACCTTAATGTATATGATAATCTTAGGTGACAGAATGTGTTAGAGCTGTGTCTAGGCAACCTGACTCAGCAGAGAGTTTCATACCTTTTAGTTTTGTAAATGACCACGTGCTATAACCTGCATTCTCCTGTCCAGTAACTGTTTCGGCAGGGAGGGGGTTTACTGGGTTGTGGTTAGCCATCTGTTTAGTCGAGTAGCGATGTTGTCCCACTTCTGAGCTGGGAAATAGGAAGTATTGATCAGTCAGCTTTAGATTCATGAGGCGATAGTCTCAAATCATGCAGAGATTTTATCACTATGTTATTTTGCATCTTTGTTTTCTTTTTCACTTTTCATAACTTGGAGACATTTTTTCCCCATGGGGTAGGTTCAGCAAAGTTCACTGTCTTCTTTCTCTTTAACCTACTCTCAGAAAAAAAGACGAAAAGGAAATACGAAGTATAGTAATGAAGTGTTAACTAATAGTGGGGCTACATAATTGAGTACTCGGATTTTGTTGCCAGAGTTCTTAGAACAAGAATGCAAACATGTCTTATTTCAACCATGTGCGTGCTGTGTTTTGCTTTTTTTGTGTTTGACAAAGGGGACAAAAGAATAACCCCCTAAGTATTAAGGAGTGGAGGGAAAGGAGATGAGCCCCCACTCCCTGCGCTCCCTTCCTGGTTTGCCTTTGGGTGTACAGTTCATAGGGCTTCCTAGAAACGGCTGCGTTAGGGCCGAGGGGGTGAAGACTTGGCAGGACTTCCTGGCAGAGGCAAGGACTCCCCTGCCTCCCACCTCATGACCATTGGGCCTTAGCAAGGCTTAGTGAATCCTGAGTGGGGTCATCTTTAGCCTAAACCTGGAGTCACCACAGAGCTTTTGTAAACAGTGAGAAACCTACTACTTCCTACAGAAACTGTGCTGTCTGCAAAGCTCAGCGTCTGCTCCAGCCTGAATCCCCAGGCCCTGTCCCTGTACACACCTAGTTTTGAGGTCAGGACATCACAAAACATCTGCCAACATCGAAAAGTCATCAGGAGCCACCCAGACGTGGGGTGTATTGGTGGGAAGAAGGAGCATCTTAGTCTGCTTCCTTCTGAGGCCCACAGTTCCAGAAGGACTAGCGTCCTCAGAGCATGTGGTAGTGGCTGTTCTTGTCTTTTCCTGGTGGTGGGGCCTGGTGACCCCTAACACCAACGGAGCTGTTCCCAGGTTCATTTCGTCCCTTTTTCTGTGGTGAGATGAGGCTCCTCCTGCCCTCCTTGCTGGGTGGTCTTTCTGTTTTGACCACATCCCTTGGAAGCGTGGCTGGGCTGCGTAACTCCAGAGCAGCCTGGTGGTAGCTGGGGCTGCCTTCTGAGTTTGGGCTGGTGGATGCTGAGTATTTGCATTCAGAGCCTTAGGCATTGACCTTGGCTTTCTGGGACCCTACGCCCCTCTGTTTGCCTTTGTCAGTAGAGACCTTCTCACATTTAGGGATTCATTTTTTCCAAGATCTGTTTGCTAGGTGTGTGTCAAACTTCCTCCCAGAGCAGTGACATGGATGGGAATTGTGAGTGTGTTGAGAGACCTACCCTAAAAGATGGGGCTGCAGTCATCCTCAGGGGACCTCCTGTTCTCAGCTCCACCTCAGCCACACTTGGCTGTGGGTCAGCTTCTTCTGAATCAGCATCCGCAGGACAGCGCCACCCAGCCCTGCCACACTTGCTTCCTCCGCGCTTCTTCAGAGGCTGGAGCCCACCCCCATGCTCGTCGTCTGTTCTGCTTTTTTGATGCACTTACTTGTCCCTTTCAGCGTATTGCTTATGTCCTATGTTGGTTAAAAAAAAAAAAAAAATTGCCGGTAATCAGCCCCAGCCATTTCTCAGCATTTCTAGTTTGGAACTTCAGAGACTTCAACTTACGATTCCTTTAAGGCAGGAGTTTCTACTTTGGCACTGTTGACATTTTGGGTCTGGTGGTTCTTCATTGTGGGGGGCTGTCCTGTGCATCATACAATGTTCAACAGCATCCCTGGCCTCTCCCCACCCGATGCCAGTGTTGCCTCCCTCCCCACCCCGGCATGACCAGAGATGTCGCCAGATAGGGCCCAGTGTCCCCTGCTTGAGAGCCCCTGGTGAAGGGGTAGAAGTTGATTCCATGGCCCTTGTCACACTGTACTTGAGCCATACCGTGCTTGGCACGGAAACCACCCTGTAGCCGTTGTCAGAGGTGGAGCGTCCTCCCTGAGGTGCGTAACCCCCACATCATCGTTGCTTCCTTGGGCTGTGTTCTAGCGATTGCGTCCGTCCCTTTTTCTCCTTGATTGCAGATGGAAGGGCCCTGCTCTGAGCCGTCGCCACATGCCTGGTGCTTGGCTCCATGATGCTCACATGGGTGTTCATGACAGTGCATTTGACAGACAGATTTATTTGTCACCTTGTCAGGGTGACATGTTGGGATGGCTCCACCACTTGTGTGCCATTGACACTTGGCTGTCTGAAATCAGGACAAAGCATCCCTGAGACTGATCCGAATGAGGCTTATCAGCACCAGGCGTAACTTACCGCCTGCTTTCCTCTGTTTCTTTAACTTTTAATTGAAACCATTTAGTTACCACCCCTGCTGCTAGGAATCTGGGGACAATTAGGAAAGTCCCATCTGTCCTTTGAACCACATTATATTGCGTTTCTCCTCGCAATCTCAAGAAGACGGCACATTCTAGCAGCAGTGTCTTTGCCTTGCCGTCTCGCCTCCCACTGGATGGTTTTTATCTCACTTGAATGAGTTATAGCAACTCTTTAATTCAATTATTTTCTCCAGTGCAGGCTTTGAGATGATTTAGTTGAATCAAACACCCGGGTTTTCCAATGCAGAGCAGTGACTCCCAGCGAGGCCGTGGGAGGGTTTTTACATTTTCACTTCCAGCCACGGTTGCGCGCGTTCTGTGCTGCCCCCTGAGCGTCCTGGCACAAGCCCCTACTTACCATTCCGAGGAGTAGATTGGAAATGGCAGATGCCGTGGGCTTTGCCAGTCTTTCCCCAAGGCAAGGAATTATCTGTCCAGTGATATTAGGTCACTGCATTCCCACCCAGCTGTGTCGAAAGAAGGGAGGGGGTGGGGCAGCCTGGGTGATGGGCAGGAAGGCCATTTATAAATTCAAGTGTGGTAAACAGTCGACTCTCCTGCTTTGGTATTTGAGTTTGAATTAAACAAAGTGTCGTGGGTGGGAGGTGTATCATACGATCATTTTAACCATTGTGCCTTTTAATGTGGAAAATCTGCCCAAAATAGGACCTGCTGCAGTGGTTTTCACATATACAAAGAAGTGGCTAGAATGTTCTCTCAGAACAGCACACAGGATTAGAAAGGACATTTGGCCGCTGGAATTCTTCAGTGAGAATTCAGTGATTAAGCCTGCCTTCTGTTTTCCTTGTGGGCCGCAGGGTTCCTGTGGATGTCCCCACCCTCAGATTGCTGGAGTAGAAAACTTAACTTTCCAAAACACTGAGTTGTTTTCAGCCCAGCATTAGAGGTTAAAGATGCTCATGTAGAAAGCACGCAGGATGGATCTGACGAAGGAAACAGCTTCTGATACTTGAGCAGGCTTTGGACAGTGCAGATGAAGGGGGCTGAGATACTGAGGCAGTAAAGAGAACGGTCAGCTTGGGGTCTGGAGTCGCTGGGCACTGAGTGCGCGTTCTGAGTGCCATTCAAGCACCACGTAACGGTTGGGGCTGGTGTTGGGTCCTGAGATGGGCCATGGGCCACCGTTAAACTCAGGAAGCACGTGCTGCCCCCCCCCACTCTAGAAGGCGGGCTGTTTTCCTGGCGCTGTGTGTGCCATGCTTTGTGTGAACATCTCACTGGGTGTCGCTCTCATGTGGTAACTGGGCATGTTGTAGAAGTCGTTGCTCCTAAACGTAAGCCAGTGCCCACATTGGGTACGTTCTGGAAGAAACAGTGTGGCCCAACATGGGCTTATCCAGAGACAGGACACCTGCTGCCTGGTGACGTCACCACCTCCCGATGGCACCACTCTGTTCTACTCCACTGCCCCCGGGGCCTGACTTGCTACTATGGAACTAACCCTGTAGGATGAGGCCGCCATGCCCGTGTGTGTGTCTGTCCAGATCTGTCCCCACATACTTGCTGGTGGCGGGTGGGAAGAAGGTTAGATAAGTTACTGTCATAGATTGTGACTATGAAGTAATCCATTAGAATCTTCAGACAAGGAATGCTGGGAGTGGTGGCTCATGCCTGTAATCCCAGCACTTTGGGAGGTGGAGGCAGGATGGATCACTTGAGGTCAGGAGTTCGAGACCAACGTGGTGAAACCCATCTCTACTAAAAATACAAAAATGAGCTGGGTGTGATGGCACGTGACTGCAGTCCCAGCTACTAGGGAGGCTGAGGCAGGAGAATCTCTTGACCCCAGAAGGCAGAGGTTGCAGTGAGCAGAGATCATAGAGATCATGCCACTGTACTCCAGCCTGGGCAACAAAGGGAAACTTCATCTCAAAAAAAAAAAAAAAAAAAAAAAGAATCTTCAGACAAGGAAACCATGCTCTTTGACCTAGTAATCTCCCTTCCCCACCCAATGCCAAGAAAGCTCTAATGCACCAAGATTTTAGTTATGGTGTTACTTGACAGCAAAAAGACAGATGACTCAAGCATCCAACAGTGGGAAAACAGCTAATTCTTTTTCAAATGATGCCTTCACAGTTTGAAATAAGTAGAATGCTTGTCTTAAAATGAAAAGCTTCAATATCAAATGTTGAACATTTATGAATAGAACCATAAAAATAATCATGGGGGAAAGCTGATGAGGAGCAGTTCATAGTGATTATCTTTAGTTGGTAGAATTTTGGGTGATTTTTTTTTCCATACCCACTCCTCCTCCCCAAATGTTCTGTAATGAATATATGTTTGGGTTTTTTTGTTTTTTTCCAAGACAGGGTCTCACTCTGTCACCCAGGCTGTAGTGCAGTGGCACAGTCACAGCTCACAGCAGTCTTGACCTCCGGGCTCAAGCAGTCCTGCCTCAGCTCCCCACATAGCTGGGACCACAGGCATGCATCACGATGCCCAGCTAATTTTTTGTTTGTTTGTAGAGATGGGGTCTCCCTGTGTTGCCCAGACTGGTCTCAAACTCCCGGGCTCATGTGATCCTCCTGCCTTGGCCTCCCAAAGTGCTGGGATTACAGGTGTGAGCCACTGCACCTGGCCTATGTTACTTTTTAAATAGGGAATAAAATAGCTGGTCACCCTGATGCTTCCAAAGGAATCATGCATTTGTTGAAGAGGGGAACAGTGCAATGCAAGATTTACGAAGACAGAGCTGATTACCTTCCCTCCCCAGTCCTCAGATACTGTCTTTCTCCTTGCCTTTACCAGGACGTACAAGTGCATCTGAGCATACGGAGGGTGTCTGTGTTGGCTTACCGAAAGGAGTCCTGTTACTCCTGCATTCCCATTCGATATGGCAGATTGTGCATAGATACCTCTGCAGACCAGTAGGCCTCTCCAATACTTTTCTTTCCCTCTTACTGCCTTTGGGCATGTGTGCACACCCAGGATTTTACCTAAGTGGAATCTGTACTTACTATGGTTTTGGTTTGTGTTAAGTCATATCCTTTGTTTTTTCAATTGTCTCTTTTGGCAGAACCATGTATGCTAGCATCCAGCTGCCTGGGCTCAATTCCTGCCTCTGCCTTTGGTAGCTGTGTGGCATTGGGAAAATGGCTGATCTTTTCTTTGCGCCAATTTCCTCCTTAAATATAAGTAATAATAGTACCTGTTTTATAAGCTTGTAAAGGATAAATGACTTAGTACCTGCAAATTACATGGACCAGTGCTTGGAGACGTAAGCACTTTGCCAACTTGCTGTCAGTGTGGTTGGTTATTTTCCCCCATCTCCCCAGTTTTGTTTTGTTTTGTTTTGTTATTTATTTATTTTTTTTTTTGAGACAAGATCTTGCTCTGTCGTCCAGGGTGAGTGCCAGCACAGCTTACTACAGCCTCGACGTCCTGGGCTCAAGCAGTCCTCCCACCTCAGCCTCCCAAATAGCTGAGACTGCAGGCATATGCCACCATGCCCAGCTAATCTTTAAACTTTTGGTAGAGGTCGGGTCTCACTATGTTGCCCAAGCTGGTGTCAAACTCCTGGCCTCAAGTGATCCTTCCACCTTGGCCTCCCAAAGTGCTGGGATTACAGGTGTGAGCCACCACGCTGGCCCTCCTCAGCTTTTTTTTTTTTTTTTAAATAACCATTATTATTCCATATTTTTTCTATGAAATCATTTATAAACATAAAATATCTTAAGTCTGTAATTCAGTTTATGATACATATTCAGTTATGATACATTCTTTGCATTTCACTGTTTCATGTTTCAGCCAAATCCCATCCCCCCAACCTTTTTTTTTTTTTTTTTGAGCCAGGGACTCTCTGTCGCCCAGACTGTAGTACAGTGGCATGATCTCGGCTCACCGCAGCCTCTTCCTATTAAAGTACTGGGATTATAGGTGTGAGCCACCGTGTCTGGCCCCTATCCCTCTATTAAGTGCCTTTCAGCAATTCTGTTTTTAGAGGAAAATTCCTTTTTGCTTCTGCTTGCTCCTTTTACCACCCCTGCCCATGAAAGGGGGAGTTACCTGTCCAGAGCAAGTATAGCTTTGGCCGTGATCTTCAAGGACTATTGCATTGGTGCTGACTGCTGGGGCCCCTTGGCCCCCAGGTTCCCACCAGTGGAGCAAACACGAAGGGTGCAGCCTAGTCGGAAGTGTTCCCAAGGACAACATCAGTGTGCAGACTTCCAGGGGAGGGGCATATGAAACTGAGCCAACAGAGGCCAAGATGAGAACCCTCCTGTGACATGGTCCCACCCATTAGGCCATTCCCTTGGTCAGCTGGATGGCAAATACTAGTAGTGTATGCTATGGAGCAGACATTTATTAAGTCCCTGCTGTGTGTCAAGGATTGAGCTAGGACTCTGCAGGAAATGCATGTGTAGTTCAGTCCTGGAAGCTGCCCAGCTTCCGCCTCCTGGAAGCATCCTTTTCTCCCCAGCTGCTCTCGCCTGCACATCTTACATTCTCTGGCTGGTCCTTCTGGGTGTGTTCAGCCACTTTGAGCTGTGCCTGCCTGATCTGCACACTTTGCAAATGTGTAGACTCAGAAAGAGAAACAGCCCAAACAGTGGCCAGAAACTGTTCTTGGAGGCTCTAGGTTGACAAAAGGGTCCTTTAATAGCTCCAGGTTGACCCCTCCCCTAGACACCTGTGCTCCCCCTGAGCCACACCGTGACTTCGGAAGTTCAACTGTCATCCAGTTTGGTCGGCTCTTTCACAAAATAATTTCACTGATTCTGTCAGGCATTTTCATTACTTTGATTTAAAGTTTTTGTGTCAACCTCTGGTACTTTAGAATCTCCAGATGTTGAAAAACAAAATCCCATTGGTAATGTTTGTTTTCCTTTACACTTATGAAAAAAGCAACTTTTATTCTCGCCTAAAATTTATTGTCGAGAGCACGTCTTTTAAAGTAAAAAAATGTTTGCAGCATGTCATACGGCTCTGAAATACTATGTAGGTCGCAGCTTGTTTTGAGGCATAAGTGACAAATATACTTGTGAGAGATGTTATTCTTACCCTATTAAAGAAATTAGAACATGGCTTTTGTGTCTCTGATACTGATTTTATATCTTCGCAACCGAATTTGTGAATCCCAGCTAGAGTAAAAGACACACGTGATGCATGAAGAAAGTGAAATGGTTCTGTTTGGTATTTATCTCATCTTGATCTTTGGCTTGGAAGAACTGATAATGAAACTCTCTTTGGGAGGACAGAGAGCTCTGGGGCATTCATCTCCCAACTAGGTCTCCGAATTTGGTGCAGTTCTTGAAGGCAGGTGGGTTTACACAGTGGTGAGAAGTGGGAAGTATGAAGGGTGTGATCTTCGCCCTCTTTTTGTATGCCCGTTAACAAAACTCAATTGTTAGGCGTTGAGTAGGGCTATTGATTTCTAGCCAACGGAAACACTTACTGTGTAATTTCCAGGAGAGAGACATTTTCAGGTGATGTGGACTCATTCCCTGCAGTTCAGAAGGTAATGAGCAATAGTGATCAATCCTGAGGTTATCCGGGGTGATTTCAGCTTGTCCATTGCATTGATTGATAAATGGCATGCTCTGAGGCTGATTGAGTGATGACCAGCAGCATCAAAGAAAACCCTCAGTTTGCATGGCGGGTATTAGAAGTGGCTGCCTTGATGCCTCCTGTCATCGTTTGAGTGGTAAAGAGACATTCTTTGTATGTTTATAACTCTTGATTTGGGGTCATGGTTATCATCTGTACTAACTGCACAGGTCATCCCGCTCCCATCCCTTTTTCATTCTTTAGAATCCCCCACAGCGGTCCACGCCCCTTGCCAACTTCCTTCCACTATCCTGGTTCTGTTGTTACTCCTGCCGACTGCAGTGCTGTTCCGTGAGCTTCTTGAATGACATCGTACAGTATCTCCGACGCACAGTACGTACCAGTTACAGTTGTCTTGACAGGATCTCCTGTGATCTTTTGTCCCTTTTCAGTTTAGCTCTTGGTGGCTCCATAGGCTCTCAAGCATCCTGGACAGTTCTCTGTGGGCTGGCGTCCTGGGTCAGATTCCAGGGCCGGATGTGAGCTGTGCCTTGACCATTTGAAGAGCTCACCGAAGGAGGTGGGAATGGACGGTGCAGGAAAGTAACTCAGGCACCCGAGGCTGCTGAGCCCAGAGAAGAAGCACCTGTCCTTGGAGTATTGTTCCAGGAAATGGGGAGGCAACCGGTTCCAGAGGGCAGAACTGGGTTGGGAGACAAGGAAGCACAGTTCTTGTAAATCAAGAAAATTTGTAAAGCCACATAAGCTGTCCACCAGTGAGAGAGAGCATGTACATGCTGTGAGCTGCAGTCAGGCCGCCTGGCCACAAGGCATGTTGTGGCATGCTGTGGGAGTCGGCGTTGAAGCATCCCAGAGACCTCTTGTGCTTAAACAAAGCTGAGTTATTCAGCACACTCCTAGATGTGGGGTCTGATTGTTGGTCAAACTGAAGGACTCGAGAAAATGAGGACTAAGTGGGGGGATGAGAGACATGTGAGTGGGTGTTGGGCCAGTAGAATGACAAAAGGAGCAGGCCCAGGCTCTTTGGAAGACAGACCTTTGCCCTTCAGGGGGACTGGGGGAGTGTTTCCTGGCAGGTGTGGACATTCGTCCTCATGGATGTCTTCTTTATAATAACCTGTGGAGGACGGCCCAGCGCATCATGCCACTGACCTTCACTGATGCTTCTGTACTTAAGAAGTAATGTCCCTTGGCTGGGCGCGGTGGCTCATGCTTGTAATCCCAGCACTTTGGGAGCTGGAGGTGGGCGAATCACCTGAGGTCAGGAGTTCAAGACCAGCCTGGGCAACATGGCGAAACCCCGTCTCTACTAAAAATACAAAAATTAACCGGGCATGGTGGCAGGCTATAATCCCAGGTACTCGGGAGGCTGAGGCGGGAGACTCGCTTGAACCCAGGAGTTGGAAGTTGCAGGGAGCTGAGATCACACCACTGCACTCTAGCCTGGGTGACAGAACGAGACTCTGTCTCAAAAAAAAAAAAAAAAAGAAAGAAATTGCCCAAATTTTCCTTTCAAGGTTGAAGTTAGGGCTGAAGAATCAGGGCTGGCTCATGATCTCTTCAGACTCAGTCATCCATCCATTCAGAGATCGTGTGTGTGGGCGCACGTGTGTGTCGTGGACTGTTCCTCAGGATCCGCAGGTGCAGTGGCCGCGCTCCCACTGAACTTGTGTTCTAGAGGCGGAGCCCCCTCCCTGAGGGCCTGGCTTTCTCAGTGTCAAGTGGAGAGCATGTTGTCTTAGTCTGCTTTGGCTACTATAACAAAATTCCATAAGCAGGTGGCTCATAGCAACAGAAATTTAATTCTCACAATTCTTGGGAAATCCAAGACCAAGATGCCAGCAGATTCGATGTCTGATGAGGGCCCAAGTTCTGGTTCAGAGACGGTACTCTCTCGCTATGTGGAAGGGTCAAATGAGATCTTCCTTTTTTTTTTTTTTTTTTTTTTTAAATAAAATTTTGCTCGATTGCCCAGGCTGGAGTGCAGTGGTGTGATCTCGGCTCACCGCAACCTCCACCTCCCAGGTTCAAGCGATTCTCCTGCCTCATCCTCCCAAGTAGCTGGGATTACAGCCGATTACCAGCACACTTGGCAAATTTTTGTATTTTCTCCTGCCTCAGTCTCCCGGGTAGCTGAGATTACAGGGATTGCTGGATCAAAGTTTACCACGCTCGACAAATTTTTGTATTTTTAGTAGAGATGAGGTTTCGCTGTGTTGGCCAGGCTGGTCTCGAACTCCTGACCTCAGGTGATCCACTTACCTCGGCCTCCCAAAGTGCTAGGATTACAGGCATTAGCCACCGAGCCTTGGCCAAAAGAGCTCTTTCATCAGGCACTAATCCCGTTCATGAGTGCTCCACCCTCATCATCTAATTACCACTCAAAGGCCTCACCCTCTAATACCACCACCTTGGGGATGAGGCTTTCAGCATAGGAATTTGCAGGGGGACACAAACATTAAGACCAGAGAGATACTTTGGACTGAGGGGACCCTTTGGTGAGAACACAGGGAGTGGTTCTCTGTGGGGAGGCTGAGATTGGCGTGGCAGGAGGAGGCCAGCCATGGGGCATCTGGGGAAAGGTCTGGAGGCCGAGGGGCTGTACCCAGGGCAGGAGCCAGTGCGGTTGTGGCCCTGTGAGGGCAGACCCGGATCTTGACCACGAAGGCACTGGGCGTTGCTGGAGAGCTTCCAGACACTGGGCTAGGATCACATTTCAGTTTCCAGTGAGAATCCTCCTGGGTGTCTCTGGAAAATGGCTTGGAAGGCATAAGAGCAGAAACAAGGGGATCATTTGAGTGAACTCATATAGTAGCAGAGCTGTGCATTGAGATTACCCACACCCCAGCTGCGAGAGTCCCTGTTAATGCAAGGTGGCCAGTTTAAAGCTGACAGGACTAGATTTCCCCATGGAGTGATTTGCTGAAGGCTTTGGGCTGGAAGTTCCAGCGCCCGCAGAAAACTTACTGTTGGAGGTTCTTCGCCCTCGTTTCTGAAGGAAAGCTCCCAGCTCTGCCTGGAGCCTGGGATGGAAATTGTCTCTGGTTAATAGGATCTTTAAGACAGCTAAATCCTGCACTAAAGACTTGATGCAACTGCTGTTGCACACGGAGGTGGCTCCCCTGCCATATGCCCGCAGAGCTTTCTTTCATTGTCATTACAGAGAGTCAGGCGTGTGTACAGGAAGGAGACGGGATCCTGCCGTAATGACTTTGTCTTCACCATCTTTTCTCAGCTGCTTAAATTGCTGTCAGGGCAGCGTAGGAATCTTAAAGGAGGGAGTTTTCTCTCATATAATTATGCTGTTGGTAAAAATGTTGGCGGCTTTTCTCTACTTTTCCCCTTAGCCACCAAAATAAAACTCTTTATCTTGGAACTCGGCAGCTGTTTGCAATCCGCCTCATTTCTCCTGCTGATGTATTGGTGTCGCAGCTTGGGTGATGGGTGGTGACGTGAGGGTTGAAGGTAATTTCTGTCGCAGTCCCATGGTCATGAGCCAAGACCTGGAGTGCTGGAGGTGCGCCAGGTCGGGTCATCTTTGGGTTTTGCCCAGTGAGCTGTTGCTAAGGAGAGGGCTTTGTTTGCCTAGAGCTGGGGGAAATGTTCAAGGGCAGGCACACATTGGCAGAGATCTGCTGACGTGGCGACGGCGGAACTCATGGCTGTGTGTCAAGCCTGGGCAGTAACAGGTGGCGAAGGCCAAACCTTTGGGGGCAGACTTGGGGCAGCAGTGGAGACGTGTTTTGGGGATCTCAAGGCGTCTTGGTGGGAAAGAGTGCCGGTGGGTCAGGAAGGCGGGGGTGCTGGGACACTGCTGCTGCTTGGGTGGGGTCAGGACCTGCTACACAGATACCAGACCCACCCTCTGCCAGGGGACACAGAACGGGCAAGGAGAAGGGCTGTGCTTCTGAGTGCTTCACTGGTCTGGAAACCCATGTTTTAACTGGGGCCACCCCCGGACCCCTGAGACTGAGGTGGTGTGAACCTCAGGGCTGGGGAGGTGGCTTCCAGGGGACCACCTCCTCACGCCCTCCCTTCCCAGAGAGGATGGGGAAGGTTTGGGCGGGAGCCTCCGGACTGGTAGGGACTCCACCTAGAGGCCAGCCCCTCCTGGGGTAGGCACAGAGGCCTCCAGAGCGCCTCCCTCTGAGTCACATTCCTTCTCATTTAGTCACCTTTCCTTCCACGGGGCTGCTGTTGGCTCGAAATAGAAGGATGACTGGACCGTTCTCCGTGCAGCTTCTTCCCTGAGATGTTCCCCAAGCCCCTCAAGGCATCCTTTGTGATGCACTTCTAAACAGCAGCCGGCTGGGCTCACAGTGGCTCACACCTGTAATCCCACGACTTTGGGAGGCCAAGGCAGGAGGATTGCTTGAGCTCAGAAGTTCAAGACCAGCATGGGCAACATACATAACATCTCTACAAAAAATAAAATAACATAGTGGGCTCTCTTCTCTACAAAAAATCAAAAAACGTAGCTGGGGCCAGGCGCCGTGGCTCACACCTGTAATCCTAGCACTTTGGGAGGCCAAGGCGGGCAGATCATTTGAGATTAGGAGTTCTAGACCAGCCTGGCCAACATAGTGAAACCCCATATCTACTAAAGAATACAAAAATCAGCTGGGCGTGGTGGCGCATGCCTCTAATCCCAGCTACTCGGGAAGCTGAGGCAGGAAAAATGCTTAAACCAGGGAACGGAGGTTGCAGTGAGCCCAGATCGCACCACTGCACTCCAGCTGGATGACAGAGCAAGACTCCGTCTCAAAAAAACAAAACAAAAAAAACTTTAGCTGGGTGTGATGGTGCGTGCCTACAGTCACAGCTACTTGAGAAGCTGACGTGGCAGGACGGCTGGAGTCCAGGAGGTCAAGACTGCACTCCAGCCTGGGAGGCAGAGTGAGATCCTGCCTTAAAACAAACAAACAAACAACAGCGAGTGTATCCTGGGTGCTTGTTCGGACTAAGGTGCAAACAGAGGGCTTTGCGTTATGGTCTTTGATCCTGGTGGCATTTTCATTAGACTAGATGGTCACGGTAATGTGGTATCTTTTCCTTTTTTGTAGACAGGCGACTGAGTCTCAGAGGGCGGTATCCTCGCCCAGGTCGGGGGTCTGCACATGGCTGTCAGTGTTGTGTCCTCGGACAGCCCTGTCCTGGGAACTCAGAGGCTCAGCAGTGGTGCCTGTGGAATGGGCCTCTGTTTTCACCGAGTAGTTGACCCCATCTGGCACGACAGGGAGACTCTTTTTTATCCAGAAGCCAAATCAAGAGAGGCTTTTCTGAGTGACTTGGCTGTGCTTTTTTCCAGCTTTGGAAAGTATGTTGAGAATGCGTGCTGGCCCTGGTGGTCTTACGTTGTTGGTGTCAGATGTAAACTTGCGACGTGAAGGCAGAATTTAAGTCTAGCTTTATTTAGTCCAACACGTGTTCTGCAGCAGCCGCTGGCTGCAGAGCCAAGGGGATAACCATCCCCTCCCAGTACTTGCAGTCTGGTGGGGACCAACCCCCCAGAGAGATGGACCCTGTGCTGGCTCAGAGAGAGAGGGCACTTAAATCTTGCTTGGTGTGCTCTGGGAAACCCTCTCCTGGAGCATTGGCTTCTGAGCTGAATTTTCTGGAGTAGAAGGTAATGCCGAGGCCTGCTGGACATATGTCCTGTGAAAATTCTCAGAAAGGCTGGGTGCAGGGGCTCACGCCTATAATCCCAGCACTTCAGGAGGCCGAGGCGAGCGGATCATTTGAGGTCTGGCATTCGAGACCACCCTGGCCAACATGGTGAAACCCCGTCTCTACCAAAAATACAAAAAGTTAGCCAGGTGTGGTGGCGTGCACCTGTGGTCGCAGCTACTCAGGAGGCTAAGGCACGAAAATCACTTGATCCCACGAGGCGGAGGTTGCAGTGAGCTGAGATCATGCCACTTCACTCTAGCCTGGGCGACAGAGCAAGACTGTTTCAAAAAAAAAAAAAAAAAAGAGGAAAGCTGGCAGAATGATCATGGATACAGTGTGCAAACGTGACTTGTGCAGCCACCATACTCTCCTCATGGGGGAGTAAAAATTAGCTGGAAATGATACCTGAGGCAAGAGGCCTATTAAATCTTATTAATAATTGATTTTAGTGGGAAGTACAAGTTCAGTACATAAAGCAGGAGCTTTTTGGGGAAGTTACTGAGTTTTTTGTCTTCTCCAGAGAGAGGCCAGAAGGGCAGCATCTCCAAGGTGAATCTGCCCATTGGCTGTAAGGAGCATGGACGAGGACTTAAGAGGCAGCCCATCTGGCCACATCTCCAAGGCGAGGCTGTCCACTGGCTGTAAGGAGCATGGATGGGGATTTTGAAGACAGTGTGTCCCGGAGCCGGCCTGCAGAGACAGGCTGCCTGGGGGGAGGAGGGCAGCCCCCAGCTCCGGCGTGGCCAGCCCTGACCTTGGGCCATCAGGGAGGGCACGCCAAGCTTTGTGACTTTCAGGTCTGTTCCCTTGCCCACGGGCTGGTTCTGGCTGGTTTCTGGACTGTACTGTGGCCGTGTGGAATTCTCTGGCACACAGCAGCAGGTACAGAGCCTGCCCCTGGGCAGCGCTGACCATGCTGGCCTGGGGTTTGGATACTTGAGCCTGGGTAGAGACAGGGTGGGTTCTCGGTGGCCACTTCCTCTGCAGCAGCCAACAGCAGAGACAGAAGGAGGCCTGGGACCTTGCCCTGCCTGACCCGCCTGTCTTTCCATCTGAAGCGCCCCTGACATGCTGTGACTCTTACTTTATTTTTGGTAGTTTACCTTAAAGAGTAATGAAATCACATTGCAAAAATTTGGGTTCTCTGGGAAAATATCAGTCAATCTTGATTCTAAAACTTGAACACAATCACTGTGGCCATTCATGTCTATTTTTTTTTTCCCTTTAACTTTTTCTTTTGACATAATTACAGACTTACAGAAGAGTTGTAAGAATGGAACAAAGAATTTCTAATTACCCTTTACCTAGCCTCTCCAAATGACATTTTACCACATTTGCTTGTGTTTCTCTCATATACAGAAACACACGCACAGAGTATATAATCTTCAGATCCCTCTGAGATATTTGCAAATATATAAGGCTAAAGTATTTAGGGATGGAGGAGTTAATTTTTCCTAAACACAGTGCCCATTCTTTCACATAAGACAAGTATCAAGGTCAGGAAATTAACATTGATAATCATATCTAATATTCAGATCTTACTGATTTTGCCAGTAGTCCCAATAAGATCCTTTATAGCAAAAGAAACTTCGGATTCTGCGTTGCCTCTGGTTTCCTTGTCTCTTTAGTCATCTTTAATCTGGAACCGTTTCTTGTCCTCCTTTGTACCATGACATTGATGTTTTTGAAGAGAGCAGATGAGTCATTTTGTAGAATGGCCCTCAGTTCAGTTTGTCCTGTGTTTTTTCCTGATTGGAGTTGGGCACTTTGGGCGGGAATGCTCAGGACCCACTGTTGTTGTCAGCACAGCGGATTAGGAGGGCACATCATGTGAATTTATCTTATTATTGGTGGGGTTAACTTTGATCACTTGGCTAAGATCGAGTCCGTCTTTCTCCACTGTAAAGCTATTATCTCAATCTCCTTTTTTTTTTTTTTAAGTCCTGTACATGATTTTGTGCATCGTAACATACCAGGTCTGGGTATGGGATGTGGGAGGCAGCGCTGTGCCCTTAATTTGTGGAGGTGACGCATGTGCAGTTGCCTCCACTGAACGTTAAAAGTGCACTCCTGTGACCCTGAGTTGAGTTCAGAGACTCCTATCAGGTCAGAAGAGCTCCTGCTGTTGACCTGCAGGGCACAGCTTGAGACCTAAGTCTGGCCCTTCCAGATGGGCCATGGCTAAGGTTCCCTCATTCAATAAATAATTGATGACTTCAGCTGCTGTATGCATGGATTTCTTGCGTGACTATTTTTCCCCCTTTTTAAATTTCTTATGTGCGTCTGGAGACCCTTTGGCAGTGGGGCCTGGAGCTCCTTTTAGAAAAGATCCACAGGAGATTGTGTTTCCAATGATGACAGCCAAGATGGCACAGGTGGCAGCCCTCCCATGCTAGGGGTGTTGTCAGGTCGACAGCGCTCAATCCCCATTGTTCCAGAACGGCCAGAGGACAGTGACCAGGGGCAGAGGAGAGTGCACTCTCATGGCCCAGCCCCTCACTTAGCCCACCTGCCCTGGGCTGGGTGCACTGGTGGCTACCACTGCTTGGTAAGAGGTACGGGTGACAGATGTCTTGGTTGACGGTGTGGGTGTGTGTTTTTTTTTTACCCCTAATCCAAGGAAACTGGGTGTATTTCTCTTTGTGAGTTTTGACTGCTGTTCCCCTAAGTCAAGTTATATGGAAGCATGATTTATCTTCTCCAAAAAATATGGGCCCCTCAGTGAAGTTAAACAGAGTATAAAATGCCTTCATGGTAGTTAAATTTATACTCTGTTAAAATGATTTGTGCACTTTGCAGTAAGCTGTGATATTAAGTGCATAAATATACAGCGGAGTTAACTTGGAGGAACGTTTTATTTGACAGGATCACTTAAATGCTCAGGTACAGTATCGAAACCATTTAGCATGGTTACCAGGAATGGAGGGTGAGCCGACTCTGTTTAAAATCTGCAGAAAACATTCAGAATCCAAAGGAAAGCTTGTAAGTAAGTACTTCTCCATGGAGTGCTTAATCGTGGAAGTGGTTTTCATCACAGGAGAGAGGATTGCAATTTCTAAATCAGTCTCCCTGCATCATGTGAGAAAATGCCTTGTAAATAAACTCTCCATTGGAATAGTCACTTGTCCTAAGCGTGGAACTGATTCTATTCAAATTAGCAACCATTATAGATATTTTGGTCTTCTATTGTCAATGACAATACATTTTCCTGTGGGAATAGGTTATTTAGTCCATATTGGGACATTACAGGAGAATTAATAATTAATGACATGCTAGTGCTCGGCCCACCCTTCTGTTTTTGTAGCCAAGGCTTGATTGGATTTTCTGTATGTATAATGGGCTGTTTCAAAATGGTCTTGCCTCATTGTTTCTTCATATCTTATTGAAACCAACCCACTGTTGATCTCAATCTGTGTAAGGAGAATGCGGAGTATGGCATTCGCAGGACTGAATCCCTAGATTTTAAGTTTGGAAGGAGATCCAACCGGGCAGATGAATTGACCGGTGGTGAATATTCTGTAGCATTTTCCTCCCTGGAGAGGAATGCCGCCACCGCTGGGAACCGTGGACTGGCATGTGAGCCAGTGGCTGTGAAAGGCGCTGTGCCCTGTGTCCTCCGTGTACTTTAGAGCAGGAGCGTCACACATGGTGGAGCCGGGTGATATCCCGGGCAGGCTCCCGAAAGCTCCTGGTGGCCCATCAGGGGCTGGTTTTTCCACCTTTTTTTTTTTTTTTTTTTTTTCCTCGAGACAAGGTCTCACTCTGTCACCCAGGCAGGAGTGCAGTGGCATGATCTTGACTCACTGCAACCTTTGCCTCCTGGGTTCAAGCAATTCTCGTTCCTTAGCCTCCCGAGTAGCTGGCATTACAGGCACTCGTCACCATGCCCGGCTCGTTTTTTTTTTTTTGTATTTTTAGTAGAGACAGGGTTTCACCATGTTGGCCAGGCTGGTCTTGAACTCCTGACCCCAAAATGATCTGCCCGCCTCAGCCTCCCAGAATGCTGGGATTACAAGCACGAGCCACCGTGCCAGGCCTGGTTATTCCAAATTTTTTGATTGGTCTAAAATTTGTAATGAATGGTAGGAAAACACAGCAGGAAAAAGAAAGAACATTATTATTGGTAAGGGTCAGATTAAGCCCTGGGTGAGAGTCATGAGTCCCTAGAGGTATCTGAAGAAGTCCTCCTGGCTTTGGCCATCTCTACAGGATCCGGTGATTGCTCCGCCTCCAGAGCTGTCCCCAACCATCGCAGCTTGGCTTGTCTGTGACCTCGTGTCAACTCAAAACAGCACTTTCCCCCCGACACTTTGAAGTCAACCCTGGTAGAATTTGTGAGGAAATGGCCAGTGTGTGTTGGGTTTAAAAAAAAAAAAAGGCTGTGGAAGTAGAACAATCTTGGGGTTGCCACAGAACAGGCAGTTTGAGGTGACGAAGTGGCTTTGTAATCAATAATAATTGATAAGACCTTGTTTCTAGCAGGCTGTAGACAAAAATAATCTTCTTGGACCTATCTTCGCCTAGGAAATATGTCCTAGAACCTCCCTCCTCTGTTGATCTCAACGCCCAAGCCCATCCTCCCATGAGAAAGGTTTTTTTTTTTTTTTTTTTTTGAGACGGAGTCTCGCTCTGTCGCCCAGGCTGGAGTGCAGAGGCGCGATCTCGGCTCACTACAAGCTCCGCCTGCCAGGTTCATGCCATTCTCCTGCCTCAGCCTCCAGAGTAACTGGGACTACAGGCGCCTGCCACCATGCCTGGCTAATTTTTTGTATTTTTAGTAGAGACGGGGTTTCACCGTGTTAGCCAGGATGGTGTCGATCTCCTGACCTCGTGATCTGCCCGTCTTGGCCTCCCAAAGTGCTGGGATTACAGGCGTGAGCCACCGCGCCCGGCCTGAGAAAGGTTCTTATGGGAATTGTGATGAAGGGGTCAGAGCAGCCCCCACCTCCCCCCATCAGCACCACCCAGGGCTGAATCTGAAGTCAGACTTGGCTGCTTAAGCCACAACCTAAGATAACTTTGAATACCAGGTGCTGAAATCACAGAACAGACTCCAAATGGTGGCCCCGTTTGGACTAAATGAGAGGTGAGCTGAGGTTGAACACGGGAGGCAGAGGGCCAGGGGTCCCGTGGGCATCAGCTGGGGTGGGCATCACCACGGTGCCCCCAGCTTTTTCATGGGTGATTTCTTCAGCTGACCTGGGTTTTCAGGGTTCTTTTAGGCAGGCTCCCAGTTGTTTGTGTCAGAGAGCCCTTTTTGTTGGTAATCCCAAGCCCAGAACTTTCCAGAATGTGCTGTTGGATGTGGCTTTATTCTTTGATCCCTTCAAAAAATGAACCACACCGATTACTATTGGCTGCCAGGCCTGGTGAGGGGGTGAGTGAGCCCTTTCTGCGAGCCCGGGGAGTTTGGAGCCAGATGGGGGTTCTTCCTTCCCCGTCTCCAGTCCTGTTGCTCTAAGAACACAGATAAGGGAGTCACTCCATCCCCAACAGGTGCCGCCTTATCCCTGCTGATGTCAGAAACCAACTCTGCAGAAACCAACTCTTCCCCAGCTCACACATGCTGGAAACGCTGAATGTGTCTTATACCCTGCATCTCATTACATGTGTCTTGAAAATGTGGCTTTTCTTTATGTATATAAACCTACATTCACAGCTCTGCACAATCAGTGGCTTGTTTTCCGCTTACAATAGCGACATTTTGGTGGTAGCGGTGCCTGACACGCATTTCATTTTTATTTAACTTATAAAACCTTGGGGTGAGTGCTTCTGGACACACAAAAGCTTTCATGGAGTGCAAGAGTGGTGAATTTTTTCTCTTTTCAAAATGGAGGCGTGGCGCATCTGGACACACACATCAGTTGGCCTGACCTGTGCGTTCGCTACAGGAAGTAAAAGTTTGGATGACATCACTGCAGGGTTATTTCTTGTTATTGTAATTAATGGACCAGCAGGAAGTAGCGAGACAGATGATTCTTGGCAGAAATGACCATTTAAAGGGGGAAGGATGAAGAGGGTCTGGGAAGGAAGAAACCTTTCTGGACATTTAAACTCTCCAGGGATGAAATAGGGAAATACGTAGACAGTGCACAAGGAACGAGCCATCTCTTGCCAGAGTGGATATAAAATTGTTAACCCCTGCTACAACTCAGTTTCTGTTTTTCTCTCTGCCTTCTCAGAACAACGCCGACCTGACTGGCACTGGGTTTTGTCTGGTCCTTTTGTGCCAAGTGTGTCTTCCACGTCAGGTCGGTGGCAGGAGAACTCGGAAAGTGAAGTCTGTGCTGCGTGGAGAGGCGCGCTGCCTCTCAAGTCCCAGGTGCTCTTTTGTGTGAGTGGAAGGAGCTGGAAGGAGTGTGGGGCTGTGATGAAAGAAGGGAGGTGGCCGAGTTCCTGGGGAAAGAGCTGAGTGGTGACAGTGTTCCTGGACAGAACTGAACCTAGAGGAGATCTTCTGGACCCAGAGGAGATCTTGACCCTCCTTGAAGTTGAGCCTCCCATGGTGTGTAGGGGCCAGAGCTGACTGGGCGATGGCCGTGCTCCCAAAGTGGTTGAGCTGGGGCTAGAACCCAGCTGCTGCCTGGACCAGCCTTCCAGGGCCAGTGTCACACCCCAGCCCACCTGAGTGGAGTTGACAGGGTTGGAGCCTTAAGCCACGTTTGCTCAGGGTCGTCTTCTGTGGCCCAGAGGTGGATGCTGCCTGTGGTGTTAAGGGATGATAGTGGGGTAATGGGGGTCTGGAGCTTGGGAAAAGAAAGGAATAGAGGAGGCTCCTCATGGGAGGGAGGGAGGGAGTAGTTCATTTCTGTGTACGGTTCCATTGTGTGATGATAGCACAGATTATACACCCATTCTGTGCGTGGTCATTTGGGATTTGTAGCTTTGAGCTGTTAGGGATGCTGCTGCCATGATCATGTCATTTGGTGCACATGTGCTACACGCATGTCTGTTGAGCACATACCTAGAAGAAGATTGCTGGCCCATTGGGATACACATGCTCAGCTTTGGTAGAAACCGCCTGGTGGTTTTCTAGAAGAGTTGTACCGATTTCCACTCCTGCCAGCTGCGCATGGGAGTTGTGTTCCACAGCTTTGGCAATTCTTAGCATTATCCTCTGCATTTGGCAATTCTGGTGCATTTGTAGTAGAACCTCAGCACGTTTTAATCTATATTTTCCTGGTGCATATTAGATACCTTTTCATTGGCTATTTGGGTATTCTCTTAAGTTCCTGTCAAGTCTTTTGCCTGTTCTAAAAATTGCTTTGTCTGGATTTTTTTCTTACCGTGTCTTAGTCCATTTTGTGCTGCTGTAACAGAATACCACAGAATGAGTAATTTATAATGAATAGAAATTGGCTTGCAGTTTTTGAGGTTGGGAAGTCCAAGATCACAAGGTTGGCATCTGGCGAGGGTCTTCTTGGTGTGTCATTCCCTGACCAAGGGGCAAAGAGAGAGGAGAAAGAGAAAAGGGAATAAAATTCACCTTTTTATAAGGAACCCACTCGCACGATAACAGCATTGATTCATTAATGGGGGTAGAGCCTCATGGCCTAATCACCTCATTAACGCCCCACCTCCCAGAATGATGGGGGATTAAGTTTCCAGCATACTCTTCTTGGGGGCCATATGCGAACTGTGGTATACTGGAACTGTAGAAATTCTTGATATATTCTAGATGGAAGACCATTGTTGCATATTTTTACTGAAATATGTTCTTACTTTGTATTGTCACTCTATAATCTTTTTGATGAGCAGAAGCTTTTTATGATGGCTAGTCTTAGATTTTATGGTTGATGCATTTGTGTCTTAGATCACCGTTGTCTACCCAAGATCCTTAGGACATTCTCCTTTGTTTTCTTTTAAAAGTTTGGTTTACTTTATTGAGTCTGCCTGGCGTCAGTTAGGAGTCCAGGTTCCCACCTATTATTGTTTTCTCGGCTCCGCCTGTGGAAGTCGTAGTCAAGGTAGGACTCATGGTTCCACAGGTGGCTCCAGTGTCACTGTGCCATTGAGCTGCCATCTCAGCTCATTGTACTTCTCTGCCAGGTTAAACCTGTAGCTGATGAGGAACAGCCCTGAGTGATGTGTGGGGTCCAAGTTGTTGAGAAGGGCCAAGGAAACGGAAGTACTACACAGAGTGCTTCAAGGTAAGAAAGAAGTTACTGGAGAACAACACTGAATACATGCTGTGCACTCTGAAACGTACACCCAGTCACACTTACTTCAATGTGAAAAGGACAGTGTTCGCCAGGCACTGTGGCTCATGCCTGTAACCCAGCACTTTGGGAGGCCGAGGCGGGCGGATCACCTGAAGTCAGGAGTTTGAGACCAGCCACGGTGAAACCCCGTCTCTACCAAAAATACAAAAATTGCTGGGTGTGATGGCGGGCGCCTGTGATCCCAGCTACTCAGGAGGCTGAGGCAGGAGAATCGCTTGAACCCGCGAGGCAGAGGTTGCAGTGAGCAGAGAATGCACCACTGCACTCCAGCCTGGGTGAAAAGTGCAAAACTCTGTCTCAAAGAAAAAGAAAGAAAAAAAGACAGTGTTCACTGCAGAGGGTGCATCCCAGCTAGGTCTTCATGGTGCACCAGACAGGTCATTGCCTACAGCCAATTGTCTGCAGGGGATCCTTGTTGCCCTGAGCTATTTTGTTACATTCTTCCTTATGTTCACTATATTCTCTGAGACCTTCATGTAGCTGCTGCTTTCAGGAGACTTTGCCTTGAGGGACTGATTATCATATTCAGAGAGGGGGAATGCTGCTGGTATCTAGAGGGTAGAGGCCAGGCTTATGAACATACCACAATGCACAGGAAGGCCCCCCACCACAAATAATTGTTAAGCCTAAAATACCAACAGTGCTGAGGGGGAGAGATACAGCTGAACAGGTACTGAGAACATCCCCAGCATTCTGTGGTGCTGGGTGGGATTGAAGATCAGGGTTCACGGTTTCCACGCCTGGGCCGTGGGAGTAAGAACAGACCGTCCTGGGAAAGATGACATCAGACAGACTCCAACCAGCACCAGACCCTGATTGGGAGGAGTTTTCCCTCTCATATGTCGCCATGTCCGGACCCTTTCCGGGGGGCAGCACGCAGAGATGCTGGCCATTTTATGTGTCCAGTCCTGGTGAACTTCACTATGTTCTAAGAGAAATTTACTTGTATCTTTCTTTTTGGTGAAACTTAGCTGCTATAGCCATAACAATTTGTATAAATGCCTATATGAATCAAGGCAGTTGACTTTCCACCTAAAAATTGTTTGCCACGTACAAATCGGTTTCCAATTTTATTAACATGTTTATCTTACTTTAAAAAATAAATCCCATTTGAAAGAGGTGCAGAAACCAGCCATGCATGATGGCTCACGCCTGTAATCCCAGCACTTTGGGGGGCCAAGGCGGGCGGATCACTTGAGGTCAAGAGTTGACCAGCCTGGCCAACATGGTGAAGCCCTGTCTCTACTAAAAATACAAAATATAGCTGGGTGTGGTGGTGCACGCTTGTAATTCCAGTTACTCAGGAGCCTGAGGCAGGAGAATCGCTTGAACCTGGTCAATTGAACTCGGGAGGCTGCGGTGAGCCAAGATGGCGTCACTGCACTCCAGCCTGGCGACAGAGGGAGACTCCATCTCAAAAAAAAGAGAGATGCAGAAGCCATTGAAGAAATCTCATCGTGTTTTTGAGCTTCTAAGTGGACATCATCAACATTGAGATTAAGAAAGAAAGATGATGTAAAATGTAAGAGAGTGGCCCTTGCCATTGCAGACACTGATTTATTGGGCAGGGCCACATCTGAAGACTTGGGCGAGCCGGCGTGGAACTGCTGTGGCTGTTAGCTTTCTCTGACACTGTGTTCTTGGGCTCTGGAGGTGGGATCTCAGCTGTTTGCCATTCTGTCATCTCTATTTATTGCATCCAACCGTTAGTAATGACTTAAATGATGATTGCCAAAACTGTAGTCAACAGTTTTGTTAGTGATTTGGGGCCTTGTAAAATAATTAGTCCTGAGACATGTATCAAGGGGAACATACTGAATATCTGAGACTAGCTTTTACTTGATTTGAGCCTGCAGGTCCTGCTACAAGATCCTGTGTGTGCTCCAGGGACCTGCAGGCAGTTACTTGGGGAATCAGCCATGCCAGTGGTAGGTGGTAGTTCCTCCCCAGCTACCATGAGGGCCCCAAGCAATTGGCATCTGTTTCTTTGTTTTGGCCTTCTTGTCAGTTTCCTTTTTTTTTTTTTTTTTTTTTTTCTTTTCTTTTTTGAGACAGAGTCTCACTCTGCACTCTGTTGTCCAGGCTGGAGTGCAGTGGTGCAATCCTGGCTCACTGCAGCCTCCGCTTCCCAGGTTAGAGCAATTCTCTTGCCTCAGTCTCCCGAGGACCTGGGATTACAGGCGCCTGCCATCACACCTGACTAATTGTTTTTGTTTTTAGTAGAGATGAGGTTTCACCATGTTGGCAAGGCTGGTGTCAAACTCCTGACCTCAGGTAATTCACCCACCTTGGCCTCTCAAAATGCTGGAATTACAGACGTGAGTCACTGCACCCAGCTTCGTCAATTTCCTTTTCTTGCAGGACAGATAGGAGCTGTACGTGGATTCCTTTTTCTTTTTTGAGACGGAGTCTCTCCAGGCTGGAGTGCAGTGGCGCCATCTTGGCTCACTGCAACCACAGCCTCCCGAGTAGCTGGAACTACAGGCGCACGCCACCATGCCTGGCTAATTTTTGTATTTTTAGTAGAGATGGGGTTTCACCATATTGGCCAGGCTGGTCTCGAACTCCTGACCTCGTGAGCCACCGTGCCCGGCCATGTATGTGGATTATGTTCTGGCCAGAAAAGCCCATGTCCAGGTCTCAGGGTTTGTCCATGGTGTGGATGTCTAGGGCCCAGACTGGCCACCCTCAGCCCAGAGGAAGTGCCTGTCTTGACCTCTTGTCTTCCACCAAGTACCCTGCGGGCAGCTGACTGTTCCGGCCCATTCCCCTCAACAACAGTTGCCAGATTCCGTTTCCTGCTTGCATCCTCTGTTTCTTAATCTGCAGCATTTGCAAAGGTGCAGGGTCTGCTTTGGGAATGTTTGGGGGTGGTGGTACGCATTTCACGGTATCTGGGAATTTGGTTTTGTGATGGAAGGAAGAACCATTGGACCATTAACTATGGTTTTAGAGAGTTACTGTCTTTCTTCTAAGCGTTTTATTCTTCACTGGCTCTAGTCAGCCTTGCTTTCTAAAAAAGCTCTTCAAAACCTGGCGGACTGGTCCATTCTCCTGTTCCTTGGCCAGCTGTCATCACCATTAGCTCTGTTTTAATTTGCATCTTGTAAGTTTTTACTGCCATCTTTCAGGTCTTACTTCACTTTTGGGGTGGGACCCCTTCGCCTTGTTCCAGCAGTTGGAACTCAGGTCTTCAGCATGTTGGATTAATTTCCTGTCCCACTTGGGCTCAGGCTCACTGTACCAATGACCAATTTGTTAGCCGGCTTTGCTGCTTCCTCCATCAGGAGCACACAGCAAGTGTTCTGCATTTTATTAATATTTCCTGGTTTTTCCATCATCCCTGAATCCCTGGCTGGCCCCCTAGTCCAGTGCCAAGGGCCGTCCAGTGGCCTTCAACCAGGCTCTCATGTTCTTGGGCCTTCCCGCAAATGCTCCTTCCCTTCCCAGAGCAGGGAGCCTGCCCCTCGCTGCCTCTGTTTCCCCTCTCAGCAGGCGGTGGTTGCATGGGTGAGTGGGGCACAGATACGAGGTCGTGGCAGCCCTGGCACACGGCTCGGGAGCATCTGGATGTGCCTGGAATATGCTTCCATGCAACAGAGAGCAGCATCTGCTCAGAATTGGGGAGGGAAGCAATCACCGCATACGGGGCATTTTGTCTTTGCAGGAATGCAGTGTGAGGGAAGTGGGTGATTTTCTTTTTTTCTTTGGTTAAAAAGTTTTTATTTTAGAAAAATTTTAGGCCAAGCATGGTGGCTCGCACCCGTAATCCTGGCACTTTGGGAGACTGAGAGCAGCCTGGCCAACGTGAAATCCTGCCTCTACTAAAAATACAAAATTAGCCGGGCGTGGCGGCAGATGCCTGTAATCCCAGCAACTTGGGAGGCTGAGGCAGGAGAATCACTTGAACTCCAGAAGCGGAGGCTGCAGTGAGCTGAGATCACACCACTGCACTCCAGCCTGGGCAACAGAACGAGACTCCCTCTCAAAAAATAGAAAAAATTTTAGATTTACATAAAAATTGTGATGATAATACAGATTTCATATACCTCACACCCAGTTTTCCGTATTAAAATTGGTAATCATTATTATTATTATTATCATTATCATTTTTTAGAAATTGAGTCTCACTGTCACCCAGGCTGGAATGTAGTGGCCCCATCATAGCTCGCTGAAGTCTGTAGTTTCTGGACTCAAGCTATCCTGCCGGCTCAGCCTCCCAAAGCTCTGGGATTACAGGCATGAGCCACCCCACCTGGCCTTTCCCTATAATTAACATCTTACATTAGTACGATACATTTGTTTTTTGTTTGTTTGTTTGAGACAGAGTCTCTCTCTGTCACTCAGGCTGGAGTGCAGTGGCACGATCTCGGCTCACTGCAACATCTGCCTCCCCAGTTCAAGGGATTCTCCTGCCTCAGCCTCCCAAGTATCTGGGCCTGCAGGCACGTGCCACCACACCTGGCTAATTTTTTGTATTTTTAGTAGAGACCGGGTTTCACCTTGTTAGCCAGGGTGGTGTAGATCTCCTGACTTTGTGATCCGCCTGCCTCGGCCTCCCAAAGTGCTGGGACTACAGGCCTGAGCCACCCGTGCCCAGCCGGTATGATGCATTTGTTACAATTAATGACCCATATATATATATAAAACTGCTGAGCTCAAGTGATTGGCCCAGCTAGGCCTCCCAAAGTAATTGATCCATTGTTATCCAAAGTCTGTAGTTACTTAGGGTAACTTTTTATCTTTCTATATTCACTTCTTTTGGGGTTTGTGTGGGGGGGGGAGGGGGGCAGGGTATGGAAAAGGAAGTAATTTTACATCTTTACTTTCTGTCAACTTCCTGATGGTGGTGGAGTTGGGGAGTAGGGAAACAACAAAATACTCTGTGAGAACCTCCATTAAAGGGGAGACTCTCAGCAGAAATCTCCATGTCCTGATTAGATGGCACAACAAACAGAAATGACCGTGTCCTGGCTTGGGGATTTAATATTGGAAAACAAGCTTGTCTTAATGGAAACTTTCAGCCAGTAATTTTGTTTTCTTGTTTGTTTGAGATGAAGTCTCACTCTGTCGCCCAGGCTGGTGTGCAATGGCACGATCTCAGGCTCACTACAACCTCTGCCTCCTGGGTTCGTGGCAGTTCTCCTGCCTCAGCCTCCTGAGTAGCTGGGATTACAGGTGTGCACCACAACGCCCAGCTAATTTTTGTATTTTCAGTAGAGATGGGGTTTCACCATGTTGGCCAGGCTGGTCTTGAACTCCCAACCTCAGTTGATCCACGCACCTCGGCCTCCCAAAGTGCTGGGATAACGGGTGTGAGCCACCGCACTTGGCCATAGGCAGTATTTTTGTGTGTTTGAAACTCATCATTGTGGGCGTTTACAAGTTGGACTAATTCCAATACTGATTTTGGAATTTAAAGCTTTATAAAATCATAACGCAATTTGTAGTGTTGTCAATAGAAGGTCCTGATTTGTAGGAGCTGGCTGGCAGGCAGCTATTAGGGGAGGTGGTCACTCAGCCAAGACAGGCAGGGAACAGGAAACCCTTGGTCCTGAGAAAGGCCCCTGGAAGAGGCCAGCCCCGAGACTGTTTGGCTAGTGGTGGGGGTGGGCACCAGCTCTACCCCAGCCCTGTGAGTGCATCGTTCCCTTCTGTTCCTGTAGCTGATCTCCCTGCCCCAGCCTGCGATGGGAGGATCAGCAGTAAAATAAGTTGTCTAAGGTCGCGTGTCAGGATCCAAAGGAGAACCCGGTGCTCCAGCTGGCTGAGGGGAGAGTGGGGCCTCGGAGACAGCAGGGGCAGATTCCCCCAGCAGGGCAAAGCAACCCTGACCTCCAAGTTGCAAGGGAATAGGTGACTCAGGGAGTACCTCCTGCAGCCCTGCTGGTCTCAAGACTCCCACCTTCCAGGGCCTGGTCCTGTGCTCAGAAACCCCTCTGCATAGGGTGCTGATGAGTCCTCTGCAGCTCCCTCACCCAAGGGACCACACTGGGAAACCCAGTAGTTGTCTCGGCCATGGCACTAAGACCTTTGCACCCTGGCCATCTTGTTCCGGGACAGCCAGCATCTGTGGTGTGGTATAGAGACAAAGCTGCCACCTCCAGGACACTTGCTCCTTCCTGGCCTTCCTGCTGCCCTGAAACCTGTGGCCTGTGTGTTAGTGGAAACATTCTCAGTTTCATTGCTCAGTAAACCTTAGGTTATCCAAACTGCAAATAAAATGTTCTCTACTTTCTAGATTTTTATAACTTGCTATTTTGAGAGAAAGGGGATGGGGTTATGTGTGCAAATTAACATTTTCTTTTGGTTTATATAACTCCCTGTCTACGTAGTTTGAATTCTTTAATGTAGATGAAGTTTCACACTCCTGAATTTGGGAATGGTCATTGTATGGTGTTCACCCTGTGCCTAGCAGAGGCTCAGTGAACATCTGTGGTCAGAATGGACGTGTCCTTCGCAGATCAGGATGGTCGTGGGGCAGAACTCTGGTGCAGCTGTGAAGCTTCCCAAAATCCTCTGGAGTCTGTGGGCCTGGGCCGCATGGTGAAATTGGCTGTCATCTTCCTCGCTTTGCTTTCTGGCTGCTTGTTGGGGCTGAGTTGAGGCCCATCTGACTGTCTGGAGGTAGTGGGTATTCATCCGTTGTTGCTTGGCACCAGAGGGCAGGTAGATCCTGTGGCAAGTGGACAGGTGAGAGGCCCACCAAGGAGAGGTGAAATTGGGGGTGCCTCCTAGGGTATACATCGGACCCGCCCTGGGTCTGCAGCCCGGTGGCTTCTTGGGCAGACACTGCACTTGGCGGCTTCAGAGGTGAGGGCACAGAATGACGCGGGTCAGGGAGTCCCACCATGGGCCCTGCCCATGGGACTTGATGCTTGGGTCAGTGTACAGGTCAGGGCCTTCCTTGAACTAAAGGCTACGTGCACAGACTGACAGCTGACACTTGCTATAACTTACTGCTTTGAGAGAAAGAGAATGAGGGTTATGCGTGCCATTAATATTTTCCTTTGATTTCTCTCATATTTTGGTTTACATTATATCCTTTGCCTGGGTTTTGAGATGGTAAGATAAGAAGTTTGATAAATGGCATATATAAAAGCAGTTTTTTCCCTTCTAAATGGATATTTTTAAGAACAGTTTGATTTACAGAAACGTCTAGAAGGTTACATGGAGAGTTCCGTATCTCCTCACCTAGTTTCCTTATTATCATTTGACATTACATTAGTATGAGACATTTATTAAAATTAATGAACCAATTATCAATACATTAATATTAACTGAAGTCTACATTGTATTCTGATGATCTGATATCCTTTTTCCATCCCAGAATCCTGTCCAGTTTTTCACCTTGTATGTCACTGTCTTTCTCCTTAGGCCCCACATGGCGGTGGCAGTTTCACAGTCTTTCCTTATTTTTGATGACCTTGACAGTTTTGATTATGATAGTATATTTTGTGGATTGTCCCTCTACTGCAGTTTGTGTGATGTTTTTCTCATTCCTGGGCTGGGTTATGGGTTTCACAGAAGACTTTTTTTGTGTAATCTCTAAATAAAAAAATTCTTGAAAGAAAAAAGTGTAAGCCTTTGCCGGCCAATAATGAATCGCCCCACATAGCAGGTGGACGTGGGGGGTGTCTGGTTGTCCATCAGTAGGAGTCGCCCTTCCCTTATACCTGGGCCTGGTGGTCAGGCGGGGACTTCAGGAATTCAGCAGCCTTGCCTGCGTTCAGCTGACCAAAGACTTTTCCATGGAGCTGGGAAGACTGCCCAGGGGAGATAGGAAGAGGCACGTCGCACACACTGGGCTTCCCTGGAGACTTCTGGATTCTCGAGTTCACCCTGAGGCATTTACTGATCGACACATGGGCTAGTTCCTTTTTTGTTACATTTTAAAATTCTGGTGAGGTCGTTCCATTTATGGATAAGAAACCCCCAGGTGTGAAGGGCTCAGGTGATGTACCCAGAGTCACACAGCTCACGAGTCAGTGGCAGGACTGGAGATTACACTGAAGGTTGGTGCACTGTGCTCCCTGGCTTCTGTGCAGGTGTCACCCTCCTCCACCAGGCAGACTTTGAGTCGTGCAAACAGAAAAGATGCTGCCCACACTTCAGGGCCATGCTTCCAGTCCCCGTGAGCTACCCCCAGCAGGCTCCTGTACGAAACATGACAGCACTTTCTAGGGTGCTTGGCCGTGCCTGCTTCCCCCGTTACATCTGCGCACCCTGCTTGCCTTCCGTTCCTGCCCTGCACTCACCTAGCATGGTGCATGCACCTGACTGCTTAGAAGGCACGGGACGTTCTGACTTGATGTTTTCCCGATTTCTCGCTGGTCCTGATGTTGGTAGCTCCATGTGACACAAAGCATTGAGTCTCTGGCTCTGCTGGGGTTAGGATTTGGGATGTGGCTTGGTAGAGGGGTGGCTGCCTGTGCCTAGCCATCGCCATGTTAACAGAAGCTGTGATGTAGGGGCTCATAGCTCACATCCCTCAGCCAAGAGCCACTGGTCACTCAGACGTTGTCCTGGGTGTTAGGACATCAGCCTGAGCATTAGAGGGAGTTCACCATCAAGAAGATGACGGCTTTTTTTTTTTGGCTAGAGTGCCATGGCACAATCAGGGCTCACTGTAACCTCTGCCTTCTGGGCTCAAGCGATCCTCCCACCTCAGCCACCTGGGTAGCTGGGATTACAGGCGCATGCCACCAAGCCAGGCTAATTTTTGTATTTTTCTTAGGACAGGGTTTCGCCATGTTGCCCAGGCTGGTCTCAAGCTATCCTAGGCTCAAGCTATCCGCCCACCTCAGCCTCCCAAAGTGTTGGGATTATAGGTGAGAGTCACCACACCCAGCCGATGATGGCATTTTTCTGATAGACTGGAAAGCCAGCTGAATGAAATAGCTAGAAGAGGACAGTGACCCTCAGCTTCTTCATATGGAGCACGAATGGATGTAAATTTAGTGGGATTTCTTTTCCACTGGGGCTGGCCACAAGAGCTGGCAGTGTGCTCCTACAGTGAGTCCCTCCTCTAACTTTACCTCCCACTTTCTCCCTCCGGCCCCCTTAGCTCTCAGCTCAGAGACCCACAAAAACAAATCCTGGGGAGCTGACTGCGCAGGATGTGGACTTGGTATTTCCCTGATACTGGCATTTGTTAGCCGGATCCTGCCTCTTCCCTTCGCCACCTCGCCTTCCCCAAAGCCCCTGCGGGCTTTGCTCTTCCTTCCCTTTATTTTGCTGAAGTTGACAGTCAGGTATGAGCTGCATTAAAATGTTGACTCATCCTTGGGTTGTTTTCAATTTTTTAAAAAGTGCACATTGAGAAAAGCACAGATTCATGTGTGCAGCACAGGAAATCATCACAAAGAGAACAAGGCTCTTGTTGGGGGCATTTGAGTTCAAGCAGAGTGCCCCAGTTGCAAGACTTCCATTTGGATCTGATGATGGCTGGACCTCCCTGGAAAGACTGGAACCTGAAGAGCCCAGTCAAAGAACAGTCTGTCAAGCAGCCCCTCCGCAACCACAGTTTTTGTGCAGAGTGGTTTGGGGAGCCCATGGAATGGGGACAGTACGATGTATTTTCTAGTGGCAAACATTTCATCATCAAGTGAGAGTTTCTTTGCTGGGCATTTCCTGTTCTGTGTGAAACAGTTGTGGTTACCTGTGGGTGTGTTTCAGATAATCATTAGAGCATATTCTCTGCTCGTTAAGCAGTAAAACCAGTGAGGTGGGGAAGCTTGTGAAACTGAAATCCCAAATATGCAAAACTTGGCAAGAAAGTAGAGAAGAGCCAGACCAGCTCTGAGCTAAGTCACCAAACCAGAAAGGTTTCATTCTTTGTCTTTTCTTCCTCTGTCTTTAACCACAAGCCTTGGGCTGAATCCCCACATCTCACTACACAGTCAGGGAAGCAGGGTCAAGGCTGACTGGGGACACTGGCGTGGCGGGAATGGGTGAAGTCTCCTGGGTGGATAGTCACCTCTCTGCCTTTTTTGAAACTAAACTTCTCTGATTTTTATTTCAAGTTGTCCTGAAGAACATGATTCTAAAACAGATTCAGAGCACGCACTCTGACTATAAATAGAACATAAGGCAAACTTGGACAATGGATTGTGGCACTTTTTTTTCATGTACCTGAAATTCTTAGAGTTGGGGCTCTCTTCCCTTGAGAAGTAGAACTGCTATTCTTCGGAGACCGATGGGTGACCTCAGCATTGTCCTCACCAAGAACGCTGTTTCCCCAGGGATTGCACCCCTCCCACCACAGTTATTTTTCTCTGAAGGCCTGAGTTTGGAAGAAGTACTTGCCTGTTCCCGTAATTATGGAAACCGGAAGGTAACTTACCTGTTTGTGCCTGGCCTAATTCAGATTAGAAAAAGATCAATCCATTGTTGTCTAATGGACAGGGGACAAATGATGAAGAAAACAGAAATAGCCCATAAAATGATAGGGATGTCCCGGCTCCCAGGCAAACTCTGGTGAAAACCGAGGAGACTATGGTGTTCCCTGAGGTATTCACCATCTAACTGTCTTCCACACCATATATATAAGCTGTTTATAAATTCTTTGTCCTGGCCAAAAATACAAAACCTACTGGCAGTGATTTATTTTTTTAATGCATTTTAAATAACTGGATTCCTATGTGGAATTGGAGTTGGATAATTAAATTACGATGGCCTCTAAAGTTGGGGTGCGGGGGGTTGAGGGCTTCAGCAGAGAGCACCCCTGGAAGGTGGCACTGCAGCCTGGGGGTGGGGGAAAACCGTGCCTGATGGAGTTGCTGCAGGGGTCCCTACACGGGGTGTCCACCCTTCTTGCCCAGACACCCTGTGGCTTTGAGAATCGCTGTGACATAGCCACGGGAGAGCTGTGTCTGCTTAATGCTTTTGTTTACTTTGGAAGTTTGTCCTACATGAATGAATTCGCAAAACTTACATTCCCCGTAAAGCTGTCACTGAGAGAAAACACAGCAATAACTCAGGTGATGTAGTTAAACCACCATTGAGTTTGCGCCATCCATGAGCTGATAAATCGTACAGCTTCATTTGGTAGGAATCAGCAATTTTATGTGGCAATTAATTTTTACTACTGTAGGGGAGCCAGAGGATGAGCATTTTACTTCGGTTTTGTGTGTGTTGAGAGAAACTTAACGGTTTTGCCACAGCAAGAAAGGATCGTGCATGAGGCCTTTCGCACGAGTCGACGTGTTTGGGTGTTATCCTGGGGTGTCCTTGCCAGCTTTTGTTGGTTCCTCACGTGGGCAGAAGAGTGAATGCTCAGTCCCCATCGGGGTGCCACAGGCCTCATGACGTGTGGGGTAAAACACGTATGTGGCTTGCGGAGAAATAAATTCTCCGTATTTCTTAAGTATGATGTTTTTCCCCACCAGACCGATTCGCCCATGCTGTTTCCACATCAGAGATGAAGATGTGCGCAGAGTAACACGTAATTAGCTTTCCAGATTGCTTCGTAGAAGGATAATGTGATAATTTTCCCATTGTTCGTTTTTGGTTCCACCAATGATGGCCATTTAGCACAGCACACAGTTGCGGCTGAGGTCCAGCTCGAGGCTGGCCG
The DNA here is from genome assembly GCF_000001405.40 of Homo sapiens. Lineage (NCBI taxonomy): Eukaryota > Metazoa > Chordata > Mammalia > Primates > Hominidae > Homo > Homo sapiens. The sequence goes on along the minus strand of NC_000010.11, from coordinate 125,063,092 downwards.
AGGCTGTGCACAGCTGCCCAGGGCCCTGCCTCGCTGCTGGGGAGCTGTCCTTTCTTTGGCTGAGCTCTCTTCCTGTGGAGGCCCAGCCTGCTCACTGGAACGCCAGAAAGATCATCTGAGCATAGTTGTCTGTTCAGCCAGCCTCTCTTGGGGCCATTAGGAAAACGGGTGCACAGCAGATGTTGTTCCTTGGGTGCCCTCAGTGGTTTATTTTTTATTTTATTTTATTTTTTTGAGATAGAGTCTCGCTTTGTTGCCCAGGCGCCCAGTGGCGCAATCTCAGCTCAGTGCAACCTCCATCTCCCAGGTTCAAGAGATTATCCTGCCTCAACCCTCCTGAGTAGCTGGGATTACAGGCGTGTGCCACCGCACCCGGCTAATTTTTTGTATTTTTAGTAGAGAGGAGGTTTCATCATGTTGACCAGGCTGGTCTTAAACTGACCTCAGGTGATCCAGCTGCCTTGGCTTCCCAAAGTGCTGGGATTATAGGTGTGAGCTACCGCACCCGGTCCCTCCGTATTTTTTATTACTGATGGCAGCGACCCTAACCCTAACTCTAACCCCTCGCGCTGAGTTCTGCTGCGTGCTGCCAGCGGGTGTCTGCTGTCCCAGAACCTCCCCGCAGCCTTCAGAGTTGTCCCCACGTTACAGTGTTAGAGCTTTAAACAGGACAGACTTAAAAAAGCAGATGTCCTCATCACCCTCATTTCACGTGCGTTCTCTTACAGACACACCCTACTAGGCCATTATACAGTAAACCCTAGCTTCTATTACATCAACAAATAGTTCAGTGTATTTTCCTAAAATAAAAGGACTAACATTTGCTGAGTTTTGAGAGCACCCCTGTGTCCCCCCATTCAGGGGCACCTCTTTCTAGTAGTCCAGAACCGAGGCTGGACTCAGTCGTCCCCTGCTCACCCCGTTTTCCCCTGTAGGCACCGTTTTGAGTCCGCTGGGTTCTGCTTCTCCAGCCCTGGTGGGAGCAGTCGCTAAGGGCCCTCTCGGTTTAGCAATTGAAACAGGAAGTGAAACACACAGGAGTTTAGGTCCATCACAAACTCAGGGCGTGGACGATCCCTGGGCTACCCGGCTTCGGTCCCACCTCCACCCCAGCTGTGTCTTTGGCCCGTTGTTTTCTACCCTGGGCCTCTGTTTAGTCATTTTAGATGAGGAAAGCATACCTGGTTCCTAAGACTGTTGGGAGGAATGAGTGAATTCATGCAAAGTGACGGGAACAGTGTCCAGGATGCCGTGAGCCGGGGAGCCTGCTTATTGCTACAGCTGCTCCTCTCAGTAAGGGTGTGACAGTTGCAGTGACCGTGAGGAGGTGGCACCTCACCGAGGTGCATCTGAGAACCCAGGAATGCAGGCCAGCTCACAGGTCCAGGATGCTGCACGGGGGCTCCGTCTGGCCTGTGGTACCAGCTCTCAGTTGCCTCTGGCTTGGTGTGGGGGCCTCAGGCTTTGCTGCCGTAGACGCTGTTATATCCTCCCATACCCAGATCACCTGGTGTCTGAGTCCCAGGCCACTCCTGGAACTGGGATGTGTGGGATTTGGTGTCAAACTGGCTGTTCCTTGGAGCAAGGAGGAGGAGAGGTGAGGGAGGTCCTGTTCCTGGCGCTGCAGGGCCTGTACCCCTTCCTGTCCACAGGCCTTCTCTGGCCTTCCCCTGGGGCAGCTAGGGGTGTGGAGCAGGGCGGCTGCCAGTGGAGCCACCGTCAAGGGAAGTGTGGGTGTCGCCCCGGATGCCCAGCGAGAGCTTTCCCCTGAACCAGAGTGTCTGGTGCCAACAGCGCCACCAGAGGGGGCCGTTCCACTGGAAGTCCTATCGGGAAGTATTTTTACAGCGCTTGGCTGTCCTTGCAGACGAAAATAAGATGTTTGCTTTAGCAATTTGCTTAGCCCTGAAAACATTCCTAGACAATGCCAGGGCCTTAGTTGAAAATAGTATGCTCAGCTTGCTGGGATGGTCCCAGGAAGGATGTTTTGAGTGAAAATAAAATGGTACATACCAGGGCTGTTTGCCACCGCAGGAATCCTGGGAGAGTTCAGCATTGAGGGTTGCCGGGAGCCGGGATCTAGCAGGGGCTGGCTATGGGCTGCCCTAGCGTGCACCCCTGGGGCCGACCGGAAGATTCCAGAACAGGGAGAACTGTCTGCAGGTGTCACCCTGCATGTTGCTCTTTCCTCCCTTTGCACCTTAGCACACCAGCCCCCGCGGGTCAAGAGGGGTCTCCAGCTGCGGTCCACAGTCCTGGCCTCGGCTTCGTGTCCTCTAGGTTGGGGCACCGGCCTCTCTGGGGAAGCCTGCCCGTGTGCTTCTTATTCCTCGACTGTGAGAAACTTCTTTATCCATCTGCAATCTCTCCTCTTGGCTTCCCCTCTCTCCTGGTCATGGTTCTGCCCACGCAGAATACACCCAATCCCTCTTCCGCATGACTGCCCTGCACATAATCACAGGCAGAGATGGAAACTCGGGAACGTTCCCTGCTGGGGATGAGCATTGCCATTCTCTTCCACAACACATTTGCAAGTTTTTCACTTGCTCAGAACCAGTGTTGCAGGTAAGCCGCAACAGACACACACATGTACACACACACACACACACACACACACACACACACACACGTGGGGGGAATGGAATATCATGACCAGTAGTTAAGGAAAAATGCATTTCTGTTTAAAAGCCATGTTTTAAGAAAAAGTACTTGAACTCAAATAATGACGAGTGACTTATTTCATGACATTTGTCTCTGAGACAAGGTGGCAAATAGTATGCTATGATCATTTGTCGTGTGAAGAGTGAAGTCAGAGTAACCCGCTCAGCTCCAGAGCTTTGTTTTCCTCTGCGGATTCCCTTGGCAGCATTTCTGTGGAGGATAAAAATAGCACACGGTGCCTTAAAATAAATGGCTGTGGGGAATGCTTGTGTACATCAGCTGCGTGGCCACATATGTTCACATTCTCCATATTGTTCACTCTTCAAAAGAGTGACTGGGATAGACGGTTCGAATCTGCCCGCCATATGATAACTAAAGTGACATGGAAGAGCCTTTGGCCCCCGGGAAGGATGACTCCAGGGATGGGCAGTGGGGCAGGCTCAGGTGTGTCAGACTCGTGGCTAACCCGCGAGGTCCTGCAGGTGAGCCTTTTCTGTCCTTTACCCCATTTCATCCTAAGTGTCTCCCCACAAAAGATCAGCAAAGCCAGACCCAACACAAGCTCCCAAACAGGCCCCTTCCTGACTCCCAGTGAATCCAGACAAACGCTGACAAGCTGACAGATTCCGCCTCCTGGAGCTGGTGGGGGTGGGCGGGCAGGAAATTGGCGGGGCGAGAGGGGCAGCACACTGAGCTGCCCACTGATGCAGTGTCAGTGGCCTTGGAGCATGGCTTCTGGGGTCGACGTCAAAAAACAGTGTGAAAATCTTAGCGTGGACATTAGGCTAATGGGTCCAGGTCAGGTGTGGATCAGGATGGGTTGGTGGTGACAAGCCTTGGGTCTGGAGTAAATTCCATCTAAATCATGTCACTTTTGGCTGGAGTGCAGTGATGCAATCTCTGCTCACTGCAACCTCCACCTCCCAGGTTCAAGCCATTCTAATGCTTCAGCCTCCCGAGTAGCTGGGATTACAGGCGTGCACCACCACACCCGGCTAATTTTTTGTATTTTAAGTAGAGACGGGGTTTTGCTATGTTGGCCAGGTTGGTGTTGAACTCCTGACCTCAAGTGACCTGCCCGCCTCAGCCTCCCAAAGTGCTGGGATTCCAAGCGTGAAACACCATGCCCGGCCTCAATTCACATTTCTGAAGTGAAATTGCGTATGTCTTACCCCTCACGTACCTTCATATCGCTGATTTTCTCCTCTATAAGCCAACAAAACCCAGCAGGATCCTGAAACAACTAGCATTGCTTGTGTCTCCTTTTTACTTAAACACGCCTCCCACCCCCACCGCCCACACTTTGTTTAGCACCAGCAAAGGAGACAAAAGTGACAGTGCCGTCTCCAGAAGGTTCACGCAGTGAGCCTCCGGTATCCATGCAGAAGCCTCCCCCTGCCCATCCTAGTGGTAAGGAAATCTCCTGAAGGTCCTCGTCACCTGCCTGACCGTGGGGATGTGCTTTTGGTGGTGGTGGAATCTCCGTGTGAAGAATTTGGTAGACTTGATTCTCTGATCTCTCTGTGCCTTTTTATTTTGAGACAGAGTCTCACCCTGTCGCCCAGGCTGGAGTGCAGTGGCATAATCTTGGTTCACTGCAGCCACCGCCTCCCGGGTTCAAATGATTCTTCTGCCTCAGCGTCCTGAGTTGTGGAGATTACAGGTGTGTGCCACCACACCTGGCTAATTTTTGTATTTTTAGTAGAGACGGGTTTCGTCATGTTGGCCGGGCTAGTCTCGAACTCCCGGCCTCAGGTGATCTGCCCACCGCGCCACCACACCTGACTAATCTTTGTATTTTTAGTAGAGTTGGGGTTTTGCCATGTTGGCCAGGCTGGTCTCAAACTCCTGACCTCAGGTGATCTGCCCGCCTCAGCCTCCCAAAGTGCTGGGATTACAGGTGTAAGCCACCGCGCCCGGCCGTGGCTTCACATTTCAACAGGGGAATAGTTGCGACACACGCCCATGCCTCGCTGTGTGAACACCGTCCTCCAGATCCTTGGCGGTTAGCTTGGAAAAGGCAAAACTCAGGGGGAGAGGAATGGATGGTTAGATCAGGTGAGAGCACCTTTATGGGACGGTGCCCAGGAGGCATCTTGTGAGGACGCAGCACTGTGTGTGCAATCGTATCACGTGAAGAACTTTTAACATCTTTCTGGAGTTTTCTGGTGCCTGTATTCTTTATAGTGGGTGACTTTGGGGAGGGCGCAGCTGCATATTCCAGGCTGGCTGGGTGCAACTGGGACCTCCACTTTGCCTACTGCACAGTGGTCAAGTTCAGGTGACAGTCCAAGAGTTTCTCCCCGTCAGGGCTCCTGTAAAACTCTGTAACAGTTCATAAAGAACAAGCAGAATACTAACTCCGAGAGGCCTCCAAGTTAGAAATGCTTTAGAGGAGAAGGCTGAAAAAGCACCTCCCGCCACCCAGCTCGTTGATGGCATGAAAGCACCAGGCCTCATTCCTGCCACGGCCCTGAGCCTGGCTTCCCGTGAGACCCTCTTGGGGGCCTGTGGACAGGAAGTGGGACGGCCAGGACCCAGACCTGTGACCTGCGTCAGAGTGTAACGAAGTCCAGGCCAGTCTGTTGCCCGAAGCACTGGGATGCTTTTTACTGAAGGAGTGTTTAAAAGGTAAGCTGGATCTCAGACAAAGCTCCTCCAAGAGGCTTCCAGAGGCTGGAGTTTTGTCAACAAATGAAACAGGCCCTATTTTAAGCCACGCTGTGTACCAGGACTTCCTGTTTTTCCAGAGAAACTTCTTGTTTTGGTTTTTGTGATGATGGATTTATTGAAACATTTGCTATTCAAGTGACCCTCTTTGTGTTCCAAGGAAAAAGTCAAGCTGGAGATTCTGTGGCCTGGAAAAGGGATACGCACTCACAGCAAAAACGTCATCCCCAAAAGACTCAGTCGGGGGGAGTCTGGGCCTCAGTGGCCGATCAGTGAATGGACAAAGAGCTAATTGCCAGTCAGGGGCCCAGACGGATTTCATAGCTCGGGGTTTGGCCTGTTGTTTAGAGGGAGGCGGGGGCTGGTCACAGGACAATTGAAAGGGGTTTTTGTTGTTCCTCTCAGGCTAAGTTAAGCCATGTGTGTGTCTCTCTTTCGAGGAGTGCTGGTCTGGCCAATCCCAGCCACGTAAATCCCACTCACTTCCTGCTGACCTTTTGACACCAACAGATGTTTTTTCTTACAAGTGTCATTAGGGCCTCTCTACTCGCTGACCTCATCAGATTGTGTTGAAGTCGTTTTCATCGGTTTTGTCTCTAACAATCCGTTTAACCCTTCCTGGGTGCCTCTCTGGGAATAAGATTGCACTGCCTTCTGGCCTTGCTGTCTCCCTCCTGCCCCCAGGACCTGGCATGGGGAACGGAGCCCAACCCAGAGGGCAGAGAGGCATGCTTCCCCGGCTGGGGGCTGCCCTGTGTACCCCGGGGACAGAGGGACCCTTGTGTCTTCCTCGGGAAGGTGTGATGGAGAAAGCAATGAGGGGCTCAACAGGTCCCTCGGAGAGAACCTTCCAGAGCTCTGCCTGTGGATACATGCTCTGATCACACAGCTCATCAAGCACTGGGGCCACAGACACGGACTGGGAGGTGGGTCCCCATGGCACTTGTGTGACCTGTCCGCATTGCTGCCCGTGATGGGGTTGGGAGCGATGGAGTTGGAGGTCCTAAGGCCACGGAAGTTTCTGTAGCCAACATCCCTCGACTAAGAGTGCAGACTGTCATCTGACCTGACTCTGTGGCCGTTCTAGAGGCAGGAGGATGGCGTTGGTCATTTAACCTTTCCATGAAGCTGAGGCACAAAGAGCAGCTGTGGGGCTGGCGGGTGACTAGAGGGAGTGAGTTTTCAGCAGATGACCCTGACTCCTGGGCCGCTGTGTTGTGATGTTATCTTACAGGCTCTGGGCCTCCTGGGCTCCTTAGAGCCAATGGCACACTCTTCTGAAGGCATCTGGGGTGGAGGGGGAGTGTGTGTATCCTGCCTGCACCTGAGGTTTCGGGGACTCACCTGAAGCCTCATCCAGAGCTGACAGACATCTGTGCTGGGCGTGTCCTCCTCCATGGCGTGCACGCCTTCACTGTGCAAACCAGCCCAGCAGAATGGAATTGCTGGCTGCTTATGCATTGTGTCAGTTACTACTCACAGCCGCTTAGAATAGTTCTCATCGCACATGGAGCATTCTAGAAGTGGTAGCTGCTTTTGTTTATTAGTTATTATTATTATTATTACTATTATTATTATTATTATTATTTTTATTTTTGAGACACAATCTCGCTGTATTGCCCAGGCTGGAGTGCAGTGGCGTGATCTCGGCACACTGTAACCTCTGCCTGTCAGGCTGAAGCAATTCTCCTGCCTTAGCCTCCTGAGTAGCTGGGACTACAGGCACGTGCCACCACACCTGGCTAGTTTTTGTATTTTTAGTACACACGGGGTTTCACCATGTTGGCCAGGCTGGTCTCGAACTCCTGGACTCATGAT